>NC_000020.11:38738961-39041991 GCF_000001405.40 Homo sapiens | reverse complement strand
GTGGCAGGTGCCTGTAATCCCAGCTACTTGGGAGACTGAGGCAGGAGAATCGCTTGAACCCGGGAAGCGGAGGTTGCAGTGAGCCGAGATCATGCCACTGCACTCTAGCCTGGGTGACAGAGCAAGACTCTGACTCAAAAAATAAAAATAAAAAATAAAAAACACTAAAGGATGGTCTTTTATAGAGAATAAACTTAAGCTTTATAAAATGCTCATTACTACACATTCCTCATTTTTGCAAGACTCAGGAAAATTCATAGTGAGCTGACATTGATGCCTGCTGCCACAACCTGCCTGGGGAAGAATCCCAACCCCACAGATCTGTGTTCTGGGGAAACACGTAAGGGGAATTGGGCTGGGGTCTAAGCACACTTGTGAAGAAACAATTTATCAGCTTTCACTCAGACCTGACGCTCTGATCTCGAAGCTCTGATCTCCCCGCTGGGGGCTATCTGTCCATTGGGCTGCATGTCTTCACATCTTCAACTCCTGTCCCCAGGATTCCCAAGCCCACCACTTCATCAGAACCACCCGAGATGGGGCTTTTACAACTTACAGCTTCCCAGGCCTCACTGCCAGACATCCAGTCTTGTGGCTCCAGGACGGAGTCTTGCGGTTTTCCAGATTTAGGCCCCTTGGCCTGCGCCTCCCTCCCCCAGCCACCCAACCCTCTGTCTGGTCAGCGGCAGACATTCTTGCTCAGGCTAGGAGAAATGTCAGCCACACTGTCAGCGCCGGGCCCTGGAAAACAGAGCTGAGGGCAGGGCTGGGGTGCTGGGGACAACCCAGCACTGAATGGCAGGGCCCAGCCCATGAAGCTGGAGCAGCACTGGCAGTAGGCTGTGCTGACACCAGGACAAAACAGTGGAGATGGGAGCATGGAGCTGGGGCACTAGGCAGCTCTCCAAGTTCATGGCCCACATGAAATGCTCAGCAATGTGGGGATGGCCAGGGAAGAACATGAGAGCGGTCTGTCCTTTCACCAGGAAAGCATCTTGTCGTGGGGAAGTCTCTGTGGATACAGCCCTGGCCTTAACAACCCCTACTGGACCTCTGCCATCTCCTGCCACCCTGTCCTTCTCGTGCGCCCAGCTCCATCCTGGTCCACTCATCTGGTTACTTGTTGTCAAGTGTCTCCGCCTCATCCCTGTGCCATGCACATGGCCTGAGGGCTCAACATTTGCTGGCTGGACTGAGCAGCGCACTGGCTGAACCAGGGGCTCCCTGTGACGACAATGTCCAACCCCCGGGGAAGCCAGCTATGGCAGAAAACTGGCAGGGTCTCTGCAAGCCACCAACACAGAAAGCTGCCATCTCTGGGCCTACAGGGCACCACCGCCTCCATGCTTTCCAGCGCCAGCTTCTCTCTGCCCTCTCACTTGCTCCAAAGGGAAGACACAGCAATGCTGTGGGGAATTTTACTAGCAGTATCTGAAGACCTGTGTGGAGCCCGAGGGGACTAATTCTGTGGAAGTACTGGGGGACAGTCTGTGAGGTACTAGGCCCTGCTGTCACATCTGTGGGCTGACAATGGGAACAGGGACACAGACCTGCAACAGACAAAGTCAAAAGCTCTCATCTCTCTCGCCCAGGCC
Organism: Homo sapiens; assembly: GCF_000001405.40. NCBI lineage: Eukaryota > Metazoa > Chordata > Mammalia > Primates > Hominidae > Homo > Homo sapiens. The sequence goes on along the minus strand of NC_000020.11, from coordinate 39,040,396 downwards.
GGGCCCCACTCCCTGGTGAGTTGTGTGGTCCCAGCCTTAACCAACCCTACTGTAAAGGGGCCTCCCCATGGGCCCAGGATTTTGTAGTTGCTTCGGACAGCAAGGACCTGTCCCACCCATCACAGACTGTGACATAACACAGGACACAACACTGGGGGGTGTCGCCTGGGGAGGGCTGCCTTCTGAGAGGTGGAGGGACAGAGGGGAAGCATGTGCTCAGGATCAGGCGCCCAGGGGTAGAGGCAGCATGCAGGGACGGGCTTGCCTCTGGGTGCTCCCTCCAGATTGTCCGGGCTCCCAGTGGACTCTGGTCTCCAACCCGAGGGTGTGAAACCTGTACCTTTCCCCTTCCACCGCCATATAAGCTTTTTAGGATCAGCCCCAGTCCTAAAGCCAAACTTGAAAAATAATGTTTCTGACCTCTCTACAGGAAGATCCCAACTGGAAACTGGCAAGAATTAGCACCTCTTTGGGACTTCTTTTAAATGTCCCACAGTTTACTCTAATCAGGTCTTGAGGTCATTCAGTCACATCATCTTGCTTTAGGGGGCTTCCTGTGTCCCTGAGATCCCAAAGCTGCTGTATGCCACAGCATTAAGTTTCTTAGCTAATGTCAGGCCCTCACTTCGAACAATTCATTAGAACATCTTAACATACAGACACGAAAACCAGGTGTGGGAGGGAAGACATTTACTTTAGGTATAAAGGTTTACTATTATTAACAAGTTATCACTATTATTTACATGTTTATAAAATGGAAATAAAAATGACATACACGTTTGGTGCCAAAAGTGGCACATCCAAACTAATATCAGTATAAAAATAAATTTTCAAGCTATGTGTTTTTAAAATAAAGGTCATTGAAACAGTAAGGGGGAAAAAATCTGCATCTGGCATGTGTTGAAATGCAATCATCATCACAGCAAAGCAGCCCTGGGGCAACAAAACCAGTGCCTGCTGGAAGAACTGTCCCCACGCGCTCTTGCAAGAACCCAAGCAAACAAACAAAAAAACAAATACACCAGTGATGTTCCTGAGCTACAGAAGTTTAGGGCATCCAAACTGTTGTGAATTCCTGCTAAAGAGGAGGCCCTGTGGGATCTGAGCTGATGAACTCTCCTGAGTGCTCAGCTAGCGTGGCACCAGGACCTGGCACTACACTCTGAGAGGACGCTAAGCCTACCTGTGAAACACAAATCCTCTGCTAACACAAAACAGCGCACGAGTCCTCTCTGTCAATCACCAATCCCTTGCAAGTCTCCTGGCTGCAGATAAACAGGGACAAGGGCTGAGGACAGACAGAAGCCACTGGGTTTGGGAGACCCTGTGCCCATCAGACATGCCCTTTGGTGGTTTCGGCAGAGATCCCCAATGTTTCGTTCATTCGTAGAGACATGCTTGTTCACACCTGGCAGCAGACCTCATTGGTTAACACAGCTGTGGCCCCAGCAGGGAAAGCAAAGCCAGCCCAGCAAACCCTCTGTCCACCCCACATGGTGTTTTGGCCTTCAGTGGCTAACTTTCCTCCTTGTTTCCCATAGAGCTGGGCCAGGACTGCATGCCTGCTGGAAGTGGCATGCTGGGTTAGTGAGCGTGCTGAGTGAGCCAACTCCCACTCTGCCCGCTGCAGCACAGAAGGATGCCTGCCCATGCACAAAGTCCTCCAGGATCCCAGCAAGGATGCAAATGCTGTGGGCAGCGGGAAGAAAGGACTAATGAACAGGCCGCAGCCCACTTCAGAGCAACCAAACATTCCACAGGAGCTGGTGCCAGCTCACCCCACCTGGGACCAGGGGCAGCAGCATGGAGGAGAGGACGCCAGCAGTCCCTGCAGCTGTAGCTGTGGGCTCCTCTCACGGGTCCTGGACCTTGGCCCTTTTGGCTTTCAGAGACAGGTGCTGCAACAGAAGAGAAGACACTACAGTTGGGGTTGATTAGACAAAGAAACCAGACTGCAACATAATCCCCATATGAATGACCACATCAAATCTTCCATCTGGTCCACACCTTCCCAGTAAATGCTGAGCTGTTCATGAAACAGCCTGGAAGGAAAAAGCCCAAGTGGCCAATGAAGAAGCCGACCTGAATTCAGCCGCCAGCAACCCGAGGCCCAAGCCACAGCGGCTGAAGCTGGTTATACAGGGCTCTGCGGAAGCTGTCAAGGAAAGGTTTTCTTTTTGAGACACGACTCTCCCTCTGCCCCAGCCTAGAGGACAGCACCGCAGCCAGACAACTGTGCTCAGGAGACTGGGCTCAGTCTGGAAGTGATCTCAAATCTCCAAGAAGTTCCTGACAATAGTCAAGAAAAATTATCCTCTCTTTAGGACCAAGGAAGTCAATTTACCAAGCGTCTCAACACACCAGGTACCCATGCTCAAGGATGGAGATAAAGATATGGCCTCTGCCCACATGGAGGGTACAAGCTTGCTGGGAAAACAGAAAGGACACCTCCTAGTGACACTTTTTTTTTTCCCCAGAAATGTCACTTTCTACCATTATGAATAACACGAAGCACAATATTCTAATCATAGGCATCAGATAATAGGATTGGAAAATGAAGTATTTTTTACATTCTAAAGCAAAGCCAAAAGTGGCAGAAATCCTTAAATATGCCTTTGAGGCAGAGTGTGTAAATACAAGCTTTTAATGAAAGACCTCCCTCCACTCATCAACTGGGATATACCCGACAGCCCATTACTAATCATCAATAACCAAGAGATCCCTAAGCCGTGCCAACTAACACACAGTGGGAGCCTCACATGAGAATGCCCACCCTGACTGCTCCGGAGCTGGTGTGCCCACTACTTAGCACAGCCACATGGCCCCACAACATCAAGCCGCATCGCCCCCAGAGAGAACTGCAGGCCCTGAAAAAATGGAGGGCGTGAACGAAGACACAGCGCACCACCAGGTATGACGTGAGAGACAACAGAGCGAACAGGACCCGGGTATAAATGAGCTACAAGAACTCAGACTTTCCATCTGCTTACACCTGAGGGAGGACTACTACAGGCTCTTGCAAAGGCCTCGTTAAAAGGGTTTTCCCTAATAATGAAGATATCTCTGAGAATAAGGAAAAATAATTTAAAAGCCAGAAGGCAAATCTCTGAATAGGTCACCCCGTTCTTCCCCTGTCTAGCTGTAGGTCTTGCTGAATTTCTCTGAATTCTCTCTCTACACGTCACCTGATATAACCCCTACAGCTAATGTTAGATATCCACGGCCTTAGCTTGGGGATGGGAGATGACGCCATTGTGCCTGTGGGGCCATTTTTGGTGCTTTTTTCTGGGAAGAATGTTGAATATAAACAAAGCTGACTCTGAACCATTTCAGGCCTCCACACAGGGTGAGAGCAACATTCCGAAAAACAGTGGTGATGGAAAGTCTCCAAAGGTGCCAGGAACAGAGCCGTGAATGATCTGTGGGCTGTGGAAGGTTGTGAGGTGCTGCACTGTGTTCAGTAAAGGAACATCTACCATACATGGGCAACCCCTGTAGATCTGGAGGTTCTTTGAGAAATCAATCTGCTTTGGACAAGTTAATAGTAGAAGTGCCCTTGGACTATACAGTTAAGAAACAACACAAGTTTCTCTGTGGTTTGGGGACCATCGTTATACAATGAGGTTGTTGTATTAGGTGATTTCTTTTTTTTTTTTTTTTTTTTTTTTTTGGGGGGACAGTCTTGCTCTGTCGCCTAGGCTGGAGTGCAGTGGTGTGATCTCGGCTCACTGCAGCCTCCACCTCCTAGGTTCAAGTGATTCTCCTGCCTCAGCCTCCCAAGTAGCTGGGATTACAGGCACATGCCACCATGCCCGGCTAATTTTTGTATTTTTAGTAGAGACGGGGTTTCACCATGTTGGCCAGGCTGGTCTCGAACTCCTGTCCTCATGTGTTCCACCCACCTCAGCCTCCCAAAGTGCTGGGATTACAGGCGTGAGCCACCGTGCTCGGCCGCACTAGGTGATTTCTAAAGGTCTGTCCCAGCCTCTCTAAAAATACTCCGATGACAGTGGAGGTGATGAGCTTAAAAATAAAAAAGCCATTTGGAGAGAAGAGACAAATGAAGAAATTTGGGCTTGTTATTTTCTTCAAATTTCTGAAGCTATTTGCTCTTTAACTTTGTGGGTTTGACCTAAAGAAACTGGAATTTTGAGCTGAGAAGGGAAAATGACTCAGCTTCTGGGCTAATTCTGTTTCCAAGAGTCTAAATGAATCCAAGACAATTTCAGGCTTATCCTTCTCTGGCTGTCTGCATCTTCTTACTTTAACAGGCATTTTGACCACTGCACCATTCCTCTTTCAACCTCTAGTTTACCTTTCTGATCCCTTCTCTTGACTCCTGAAGTCTGCTGCTTTCCACCTGAGAGGTTTTGAAGGAAAAGCCTTTCTTTCACCAGGTTTATTCTTATCAACCTAATTCAGCAAAGACAACACACACTGCATTTTTATCAGTCCCTGCAGGCTGATCTGCTTTCCAGCTGAAATATCTGAATTGGGATGTGTGAAGAACTATAAAGGTGTGAAATGGTTTTTGTTTGATTACATAAAAATTAAATATTATAAAATTTTGAGAGGGCAATGTCCCTTGACTTTGCTGGAGCAGGAGAGATGAGGAGATCCTTCCATTTACAGGGTCACAAATTCAAATGTCTCCAAGAGTGCAGCAGGCAAGTAAGCAAGTGACATGGGACTACGGCACCTGGCGATGTCACTAACAGCAGGCAGCCACCCCTAAGCCCCTGTGATGCCACCACGTAGGAACGCAAGCCTAGTGTTGCCAGACTAAACATGTCTTTCAAGAGAAACCAGAAATTCATGTTTAATATGAAATCTCCCAATTTTTCAATGTGGCAATCAATTCAAATATCGCTTTGGAAACATTGTGTAGTCCAATTCTGGCCCTAATGGAGAAAAAGGTTTCAGACTTTCTCTTCTGCTGTAAACAACAGTAAACTTGGGCAAAATATGTAAAGCAAGTATTTTCAGGCCACAAACAGCACAGGGCTGTAACCCTTTTAAAAAAGGAGCTGGGCGTGGTGGCTCACACCTGTAATCCCAACACTTTGGGAGACCAAGGCGGGCGGATCACCAGAGGTCAGGAGTTCAAGACCAGCCTGGCCAATATGGCAAAACCCTGTCTCTACTAAAAATACAAAAATTAGCCGGGCATGGTGGCGCACGCCTGTAATCCCAGCTATTAGAGAGGCTGAGGCAGGAGTATCACTTGAACCTGGGAAGCAGAGGTTGCAGTGAGCTGAGATTGTGCCACTGCATTCCAGCCAGGATGACAGGGCAAGACTCTGTCCCAAAAATAAATAAATAAAAATAAAAAACGAACTGGTGGCATGGTGGCTCACACCTGTAATCCCAGCAATTTGGGAGACCAAGGCAGGAGCACCACTTGAGCCCAGTTATTCGAGACTAGCCTGGGCAACATAGTGAAACCCCATCCCTAAAAAAATTTTTTTTAATTAGCTCAGGCCAGGCCTGCTGGCTCATACCTGTAATCCCAGCACTTTGGGAGGCTGAGGTGGGTGGATCACTTGAGGCCAGGAGTTTGTAACCAGCCTGGCCAACATGGTGAAACCGTTGTCTCTATTAAAAATACAAAAAAAAAAAAAAGAAAAAAGAAAAAGAAAAAAATGAGCCAGACGTGGTGGCACACACCTGTAATCCCAGCTACATGGGGGCTAAGGCAGGAGAATTGCTTGAATCCGGGAAACGGAGCTTGCAGTGAGCCATGATCGTGCCACTGCACTCCAGCCTGGGCGGCAGAGTGAGACTGTCTCAAAAAAAAAAAAAAAAATAGTTTGGAAGAGCAAAAGGAGAAAGAAAGCGAGAAAGCGATACCTTTTTTTTCTTATGAGATTAGGGGGATTTATTTTTAATTGCACTTCACTATGAATTAAACGCTAGAGTGCTTTCCCAGAATGTTTTGGGGATATGGTAATGGCCTTTCCACCCTATGCACCCCTAGGGGGAACACACATAGGGCATTAAATTGGAGAAAAAAAGTACATTTAAAAACATGGAGAGGCTGTGAACAGGTGGCTGGGGCACAGACTCAGTTCATTCCTACCGTTCCTTGTTGATAAAAGTGTGGAGCCAGCTCCAACAGCCAGGCCGATTCAATGGCAGTCACATCTCTCATGTAGTACTTGGAGGTCTGTATAACTTCGTTATAGATGACCCTGAAATGAGAAAGAAACATGAGCTAATTTCCCCCTCTTGTGATGACAGTCAGGAACCACAGGTAGACATGCTGTTTCCTTTAACCTTTAACAGGTTCTACTCTATGTGCCAGACACTGTGCTAAACACATGCATTTATGTTGCTCACCACAGCCTCAAGACCTAAGTGCTGGGTAATGGTGTGTCCATTTTTCAGATGAGACTCTAAATCCTCAATGACTTCTGGAACATCTCAGTTATCCGCGAAGGACCTTTCTGGATCCTTCATCTGCATTTACAGAACTCTGAACTGAGCCTAATGACTTTATTAGAAAATGCAGAAATGGAGGCAAAGACTTGCCTGATTCTGAAAGAGGCTGGGAACTGACTGTAAAGAGACACAAAGGAATTTTCTAAAATGATAACAATATTGTATAATTTATGTGGGTCCAGGTTACATGGGTATACACATTTGTCAAAACTCATCTTGCACTGTAAATAAATTATACCTTTATTTAAGGGAAAAAATGTTTCTAAGGCTCAGGTAATAGACAACCGAAGAGCCAAGAGCATAACATCCAGTCCCCTGATTTTAGGTGTGCATATGAGTAGATATCAGTTTCTGAAACATCCAAAGTGTTAATTCAGGGCTTCCCATGTTATAAACATACCAGCCATACTGTGGTTCCCCACCCCTCAAAAACCAGTAAGTGAATCTCAGCTGATCAAAGGAAAAAGAAGGGCCCCCCCTGCAAAGAGGCCGTGACTGGGGGGCACTTTCTTTGCCACCTGAATGGTATGGCATGGCTTCAGGCTGGCTCTATTTCCCCAACCTTTCTTTGCCCTTCAGAGCTCCTTAGGAATGAAGCAAGAAAAAGAAAAGCCTTTCTCCTTTAAGCAACTCCCAAATTTAACCACCCAAAAGTCAGCAAAAAAAGGATCTAAAATTGAGGTTTTGCATCTCTCTTGATTTAAAAAAAAAAATTTTTTAAAGGCAGGGTCTCGCTCTGTCACCCAGGCTAGAGTGCAGTGGTGCAATCATGGCTCACTGAAGCCTGAATCTCCTGGGCTCAAGCGATCCTCCTGTCTCAGTCTCCTGAGTAGCTAGTACTACAGCCACGTGCCACCATGCCTGGCTCATTTTTTTTTTGAGAGTTGAGGTCTGGCTATGGCACCCAGGCTGGTATTGAACTCCTGACCTCAAGCAATCCTCTGGCCTCAGCCTCTCAAAAGTGCTGAGATGACAGGCGTGGGCACTCTTCAAATTATCCTGCACACGAGTGTGCGTATCCTGACCACATTAGTGTGGTCACTGGGTAACATTTCTAAACCCAGAACCGACCAAGGTGCTTTCAACCTAAGCAACTTCTAGGTCTGCAGTGGCTACAGGATAAATCCGATTCCTTGGTCTAGGGAAACAGAACTCAAACTTTACTGCCCAAAAGAAACATCTGGAGGGCTTGTTAAAATGGAGTCCTAGGCCCTAGTCCAGTTTCTGATTGAATGGGACTTGGCATGGCCTGAGAAGCTGCATTTCGTACAAGTTTCCAGGTGATACTGATGCTGGGCTGGAGACCACATTTTGAAAGCTGCAATTCTAGGGTACAAAGTGTTTGACCACAGACTTTCTTGCCTTCAAATCTACCGCTATCTTCTCTCCCTCTCTTCACACACACCCCACCCTTTTTCCCAGGGCTTCTCCATCTTCCAATTGGAGAAGGACAAGTTGTTGTCGTCTTTAAAATTTCCAATCTGGGCCAGGCACAGTGGCTCACGCCTGTAATCCCAGCACTTTGGGAGGCTGAGGTGGGCAGATCACCTGAGGTCAGGAGTTTGAGACCAGCCTGGCCAACACGGCAAAACCCCGTCTCTACTAAAAATACAAAAATTAGCTGGGCATGGTTGCATGCACCTGTAATCCCAGCTACTCAGGAGGCTGAGGCAGGAGAATCACTTGAACCCCGAAGGTGGAGATTGAAGTGAGCCAAGATCACACCACTGGGCAACAGATTGAGACACTGTCTCAAAAACACAGAGTGAGACACTGTCTCAAAAAAACAAAATCCAATCCATGGTTGATCAGTACTTTTAATCAGTACTTTTTATTGGTAAAATACAATATAAATGAATTCTAGAAAAATGAAATTGTAAACAAGAAAAATATAAGCCCCCAATTTTTATTATTAAATTGGACAAACATAAACTTAACCATTGAAATGTTATAAAGATGTCTAAAGGCCTACTCTAGACTTCTGTGCTTACCTCTTTCTTCCTAGGCAGTGTTACAGAGCAGCACCATTGCATGGGCCACCCATACCAATGATTCCCCACTTCCCAAACGCATGAGGTTCCTTTATGTTCCATGGCTCTGCCCCTGCTACTTCTCTACCTAGAATACCCTCCGGGTCCTTTCTGACTGAACACTCTTGTTTCCAGGTTCAGAATGAATGTTATCTCCTCCATGAAGCCTGCCCTGACTCTCACTGGCACATGATGTGCTGAGCCCAGCACTTCATCCATGCTGCTAGTAAAGCCCTTCCCCTAAGGTAGTTGACTCTGTGTCTGTCCCTATGTCAAAACTGTGGGCTGGGGCCGGGTACAGTGGCTCATGCCTGTAATCCCAGAGCTTTGGGAGGCCGAGGTGGGTGGATCACCTGAGGTCAGGAGTTGGAGACCAGCCTGGCCAACACAGTGAAACCCCATCTCCACTAAAAATACAAAAATTAGCCAGGCGTGATTGCACACATCTATAGTCTCAGCTACTCAGGTGGCTGAGGCAGGAGAATCACGTGGACCTGGGAGGCAGAGGTTGCAGTGAGCCAAGATAGCGCCGTCACTGCACTCCAGCCTGGGCGACAGAGCGAAACTCTGTCTCAAAAAAAAAAAAAAAAAAGAACCGTGAGCTGGGATCCCAATTCATCTCTGCATAGCTGTGCCTCATGCAGGGCTAAGCATCCAGTCAGTGGTTGAAAATGAACGTTTGCTGAGTGGATGAGTGAGTAGACAAATATCACTGTTTGCTTAAGAAGCTCTTTGCCAGAGCAGAAATTCTCTTTTTTTTTTTTGACATGGAATCTCACTCTGTCACCCAGGCTAGAGTGCAGTGGTGTGATCTCAGCTCACTGCAACCTCTGCCTCCCAGGTTCAAGCAATTCTCCTGCCTCAGCCTCCCGAGTAGCTCAGATTACAGACGTGCCCATCACGCCTGGCTAATTTTTGTATTTTTAGTAGAGATGAGGTTTCACCATGTTGGCCAGGCTGGTCTTGAACTCCTGACCTCAGGTGACCTGCCTACATTGGCCTCCCAAAGTGCTGGGATTACAGGCGTGAGCCACCACGCCCGGCCCAGAGCAGCAATTCTAGAGGCGATGTCAAGAAACATGTACAGGAGAAAAACAAGAACATGGCCCTGTTCAAAGCAGGCACAGGCTAAGCAGCAGGATGAGCTTACCAGCGAGGCGGCTTCTCTGCATAGAGGACTGACGCAGGGTGTATGTGCAGCTCATGGTCATCACGGATGGTCCTTGGAACATAGAAGAATTTTGTCTGAAGCACATTTTAAATACTTATAGCAAGACTTTCCCACAGATATTTTTAATATTACCAAAAAAGCATGCAGACTGAACTCGTCACAAGCAAAACAATTATCTCCATCTTCTCTTGCAACCTTTCTTGATCCCTCTCCTGGCTGCCACCCCAGAAGTCAAGAATAAATCACGTGGAAAAAGCGAAGAGGAGAAAAGCAACACGCGGACACTTAGAAAAAACATTTAGGAATAAAATGCTCTGCCTATGTTTATGTGTATCTTCTGCAGGTGCTCTTTCAAAACAATTTCCTTTGGAATGGAAATAATACATGTGATTTCTTCTATAATCTAAAAAGCAAAGTTAAATACTAAAGATAATGACTATAGGGGGACGTAACGATAATGAAAAAAGAAAGCTCACAGCCAGGCATGGTGGCTCATGCCTGTAATCCCAGCACTTTGGGAGGCCAAGGCGAGCAGATCACTTGAGGTCGGGAGTTCAAGACCAGCCTGGCCAACATGGAGAAACCCTGTCTCTACTAAAAATACAAAATTAGTTGGGTGTGGTGTCACATGCCTGTAATCCCAGCTACTCCGGAGGCTGAGGCAGGAGAATCGCTTGAAACTGGGAGGCAAAGGTTGCGATGAGCCAAGATCACCCCATTGCACTCTAGCATGGGCAACAAGAGCGAAACTCCATCTCAAAAAAAAAAAAAAAAGCTCAATACTGGACTATTAATTTCTCTGAAATAGTACTTCCAATTCCAACTCAGTAGAATGATCTGTTTCTTGGGGGAAGTGCTTCAAGTGCTGTGACGGAATGCCTCGTCGGCATTGTAATAAAGCCAGCGTCCTGGGGTCCTGGGCTGTCCTACCAGGGGGTGGTGAGCTGATCAACACTAAATGTTGTCTCAAAGGAATGATTAGCCTGGAACCTCTTAGGTAGCCCACATTGTTGCTAAGGACACTGATAAAAGAATTTTCCAAACGCTAGTCAAAATTGCTAACTCTCCAGGAGAGTAGGAGCAATCAAGATGACAAGCTGGCAGCACTCCTTAGGGAAGATCTCGGGCCACCGTGGGGGTCGCCTCCACATGGACAAGTTGCCTCAAATACAGACAACTCAGGGTGGGGAGGTGAGCTCATACAATGGGCAAATGAATCACAATACTGACAGGCTACAACATGCCTGGAGTAACAAAGAGAACATACTAGAGATCATTGTAAAGTGCTATCCTGCAGTTCCAACAGTCGGCTACTAGGATACTAGATGGAGCAGATCTGGCTGTCAAAATTAAAAAAGGCTCAGTGCAACTCTGGACTCATTAACAGGAGCCCAGGACAAGGGATATCTTGGCTGACCTCAAGATAACAGGGCAGTAATATTTTCTCTGGGAAAAAAAATTAATGACAAAATAATACATAGAAGAGCTGGGGAGAAATTCTTTGGAGTGTTCTCTTATTAAAGAACAGAAAATGATGATAGCTACACTTTTAGGAGGCTACACTGAGGTTATGAAACTAAAATGAGCCAAAGACAGAAAAGACAGAATAAAAGTAACAATTCAAAGCACTGGAATGATTAGTTTGGAGAATCATGATACTGACAGGCTACAGTATGCCTAAGCTATGCTTAGTTTTCACTGCATTTGAATATAGTAAAGACCATTAGGAAGGCATCAATGAGTGATTTCCTATGCCTAGAAAATGGAACTGGAAGAATCAGGTTATGTAGCAGGAGGCACATCCAGCACATGAGAAACACCTGGCTACCTCCAAAGACACCAGACGTGGCCACACTATACCAGGGTGGGAGGGGACTTCAGTCGTGCAGATCTCTAAAGACATAATAAACTAGCCAATTGTAAAATAACTTCTCTGAGAAACATTATTTTTAATAGTTTCTTCAGGTCATATTATTCTGTCATTAGAATTGAAATATTACCAGCCTCAAGATGTATAATTGTCATCCTTCTAAAACATACAACATATAGATGAGCTGAATATGTGAGAATCATTTTTAGAAAGTCAAGATATTTTGCTTAAAGCTATGTCGCTAACCTCAACTCAGTTTTGGAAGGAGACATGGTAGAAATTACAAATAATTATGCAATTACTATCTCTGCACAGCTTTCTGTGGGGTTTGGGTCATTTGTAAGATTGTTCCTTTAACAAATGACTTCACCAAGTATCATGTTACCTATAAGCTCCAGTAGAATGAAACCTCGCTGCATTGGCGAAGAAGCCGGAGACAATGCACCTCAGAACCAGATCCGGGTCACCTACATAGGCAGCCAACAGAGAGGCGGGTGAAACCCTTGCCTGCCCTAGGCTCCGTGTGCTCTAATGCACAGGATCCACTCCCAGCACCACCCCAGGCTGCTTCAAGACACCTGGAAACCCTCTCCTGAAATGGCTCCAGCCCTACCCTTCCCAATGCTGGATGCCTGCCCCAGCACCATCTAAGGAGGTCCCACTCCCCACAACTGCTGCTGACAACAATGCTGGTCTGCTCCTTGAACCTGGGACCCCTCCAACCTCCCCTAAGCCACAGATGACTGGACCATGGCTGGGCACCAGAACCTAAGAGTGCTGCTCTGCAGGCTGGTCAGTGACCTCAGAACTCCTTTGTAAAAGAGTGTCATATGGCAACAATGTTCTTTCTATAAAACACAAACTGGAGATAGTATACAACGTTACTTCTGTGGTTATGAGCTAGTGTTTGAAAATTGAAGTAATTCTTCAAATTTTTCAAATGTTCCATTTTAACTGGTGTTTCTATTGCTACAGCTAACATCTTCCATGAATAAAGCTTCCCCACTATTAGATGATGTCCATAGGATACATTCCAAATTGTTGTGCAAAAGGCTAATGTTATTTTTATGGTTAATGACATATCACATCTCATCAATTTTAAGACTCGCTCTTTTTCTAACTTTAATTCACTGAAATTAGGACAGCATTTTACAATGATAACTGGCAGCATTTTTTTTCTTTGGTGACACATAAAATAACGATGTTTCTTACACATGATGGTATCTTAGATCCAATGGAATAAAGCATGTTGGTAAGTAAGTTCCATAAAGGTGGTACTATTTCCAAAGCCATCAACAATATATAAAAATGGCAGTTTCACTGCATTCTTACTAGCAATGTTTTGGCAAAAAGTGTTACCTTCTGTTACCTTCTTTTATATTACATTTATTTGATTACTATCGGCATATTTCTTCTTTTGTGAATTTTTTGTTCTAATCCTTAGCCCATTTATCAACCTGAAAACTGTTTTTTCCTAAATATATTAAATAAAATCATTCTATAATAAAGTTTTTAATCTTTATCATTTATCTCATGACTGCTGAAAGTATCTTTCACTAATTGCTTTCTATTTTTTAACCCTTAGATGTTTTAAATTTGCATGTAATTTATTTAGTCTCCATGATTTTCTGTATTTTTCCTAAGCACTGAGCTGATAAAATCTCAAATCTACATGTCTAAATATGATCTAATCCGATATCCAGTCTCTTCTCTCCTATTGTCCATAAGAAATTTCCATGTAAAATATGCACTCTAAACAGGGGTGATATCACTTCCAAAGGGGTGGAAACTGGTTCTTGGAGGCAGGGGGAGGGGAGCATCTTAGACACTACAATGGCCGGTAGCCCTCCAAAGCTCAATCCTACCCTACAAAATCTTATTCCTTAGTATTTAATTTCTCAGGCTGGGTAGAATTTAAATTTAACTTTTCTCCTGGGCAGGGGTCTGATAATGAAACACAGGTGAAGAACACCAATTGCTGAAGTAAGGCTGTCATCTACCTGCTGGGTGACAGGCGTTTGACGAGCTGCTCTCCAACTAGGTGCTCCTTGTAAGCATCCTGTTTCTATCAATGACTCCAACATGGCTCAATGGCCCAGGTTTCAACTCTTCCCTCTCTCGTGAGTGTATTCACCCATCAAATATTCTCTGAGCGTCTCATATACTCCTCACTCCAAGCACTTGTCTCCAGTCCTCCTTCCCTAGAGTGCTCTTTGCCACCATTTTCTAATTCAACCAGACCCCAAAGCTTGACCGGACTCCCACCACACCTCAAGGAAGCTGAAAGACTTCCCAAGCTAGCCCTCTCTGGATTCCTTCTTCCCGGCATTCCTTCCACATCTGCCAGCACGTCTTCTATGATTACTAAAGTATCTACTACTTTAACTTCGAAGAGGACTGATAATCTTAGTACTTTGTCTATCCATATGAATCTCTCCCTTCATTACACTGTTCCCTTAGAGTAAAAGCCAAGACTCCGTCATTGTTTAATCACTTGCTCTTAGTATAAAGACAAAAGAAGACTTAAATGGAACCGCCTGGGCTCAGGTTCTGACTCCATCATACCCTCACTGTGTAACTTCAGCAAGTTACATTTTACCTCTTAGCCACGCTTTTCTCACCTATAAGATGGGGAAAAGAGCACACGTTTCACAGCGTTGTTGTGAGCATTAAATTAATAAACACATGGAACACTCAGTGCACTGTCTAGCCACTTATAAGCACTCAGGAAATGTTACCAAGTACTAATGGTGCTGAGGATGTGGCTGAGTACCTGGCACACTAGGCTTTCAGGCTGACTGCTGAGGCGGGTGTGTCACTTCCTTAAAAGCGTAGACTTCTGAGCCACATACAGATCTGGCTCTCCTCCTTACCAGTTGCGTGGTCCTGAATTTAATCTACCTTCTCCCTAGGATCTTACGACTAATTGTAAAATGAGGATAACATTACCGACACCTCACAGAGTGCGAGATTGAGCAAGAGAATATTTGGAGAACCCCTGCCACAGCGTAACCTACTGTGTCCCTGATTAATAGTAGTCACTGTCACTGCTAGAGGCCAGAGACTACGTCTTACATAGTACTTTTCTGTCTTACCTTTAGTGGCTGCCTAGGCTAAATATCCAGCACTTGCTTTAATAATACTTGTCTTTGAATATAAAATTTAATTTTTATGTAATAGCTACTAATATCACTGATCAAAAAGTAATTTTTCTTGCAAAGCCTACATGGGAAAATCAATGACATGATGTGCACTGATGTGACTGTTAGTGATTCTTAAGTATTGTCATGGGCTATGAAATTCCTTTAGTAAGAATGCCCATCAGAAAGAAAAATAGACCTCCTTGGAAAAAATACGCAACTTGACCTTCAGCTTTTCACAGATGCAGGCAACTCAAAATATAAAACCCAGTGTTGGTACAGAGCACGCCACACTGCCTCGCACCAGCCCAGCATGAGAACTTTAGGAAGACAACTCAACAGAATGAAGCAAGGGAGGTCACCAGCTGGGACGGTTTCTTCTCACCTTCACTAGACTTCCTGGGCACTTGAAACTTGACAAGAAGCTTTTTCAATTGTTCTCTTACAGTCGCAGCTCTGACAAGACCCTTGTAATTCAGGAAATGTTCCTGACACCATTTAGAGTCCTTATTGTGCTACAGAACAACCCAGAGAGAGGGAGTTAGAAAACAGATATGTTCTCGACTAAGGCTATGTTGTAAAGATCATTCTTCTCTCTTCCCCCATGTGCTGTTCAACGGCATAAGATCTAAAGATGGGAACTGGCCCTTTTTTGCCCCATCTCTCAAAACAGATGTTAACAACCTTGCACACATCTGACTGCTCTGCAACCTCACTCTTTACACTAAAGGGCAAATGAGAACTTAATGACACGCAGAAACGGTTTCAATCTTACATACCTTCATGAGATGTGAACTATCAGAAAGAACCATTTCTCCACGTGGTTCTTTGTAAATCAACTTTTCTTCTTTGGCATGCTTGAATGTATCACTTTATTATACTAGAAGCCAACAATATGACACTTGCCAATGTAGAAATAATTTACAAATTACTATTATTTGTCCCCAAAGCATGATTTTTCTATCAACAGTATTTAATTTTTTCTGCATTCATAAGTATGATCATTATGTCTTAGAGTAAATTATTGCTGTGGAAATGTACCTCTGAAATTCTATTGTAAGTTAAAGTGCTTTAAAAAAGAAAATGTAATTAATAGAAGATATTCCAAGAAGGCAACCATAGAATAATACAATGTAGACCTATACCCACTTTCTAGTGGTAGAGAAAGCTTCAGACTGCAGATGATACATTGTGCCTGTACAAATGAATTTTAACTGATTTAAGCCGTAAGTCTCAAAAAGAGTGAATTTCTTTTTTCTGAAAACTTTTCACCAACTGAATAATCTTCCTCAAATCACTGGTAAACAAAAATTTAGTATTTCTTCACTTCTAAAAGAGTATTTAAGAAATGAGTATTAAAAATCTGAAGTATTATACCCTTTCTTTTATGTAAGGTTACTTTTTTCATCATTTTCATCACCTTTATTAACAATTTTTCATGAGAACTTTAAGCTGTATTATTTGCTTAGTTTTAAAGAATATTAACAATAAAAAATTAACATCACTTATAGCTAAATATGGGTGGGATATGTGAATATGCACAGATCTCAACTAAATGTCTTCTCATGGCAGCTGGGACAGCTTTGAAGATTCAACCCAGGACTACAAGTTGCTCTCAGCCTCATTCACCTGGCAGAAAATGTAACAGAACTTCCTATTCAAATGTTGCCTTTCTGTCTACTGCACAGTGGATGTGAGATGACGTGAGGCTGGGCCACTGGCCTGCCACTAGTGTACCATATCTCCAAGCAAGGGAAAGCAATGAATGATTCCTGTGTTCTTCTCAGCAATACCTCACCACAAACTCAGGCAGAAAGCCCGACCCACCAGTTAGAAGTACTGGCAATAAATCTAACAGGAAAATCAAGGGCTCTCTTGGACATTCCTTTACGAACTGAACTTCTGGGATCCTCCCTCCTAGATCACCTCCAGAGGGTGGTGTGTTGAGGCGGCACTTCGAGCAGTAGTTGTGCTTACTTTGATAAATGCTTCATATATATTGAGCATAGTGAGGTGGTCGCCCTCCTCCACAGCAAATTTACGGTGCACTCGAATCTGGAAAGAATGAAGCAACATTCAGAATTTCACTCTTTGCTGGGTGTGGTGGCTCACACCTATAATCCCAGCATTTGGTGAGGCTAAGGTGGGAGGATTGCCTGAACCCAGAAGTTCGAGACCAGCCTGGGCAACATAGGTAAACCCCATGTCTACAAAAGCTAAAAAAAAAAATCAGCAGGGCATGGTGGTGTATGCCTCTAAGCCCCAGCTACTAGGCTGAGGTGGAAGGATCGCTTGAGCCCAGGAGCCATGTTTGCACCACTGCGCTCCAACCAAGGCAACAGGGCGAGACCCTGTCTCAAAAAAGAAAAAAAGAAAGAAAGAAAGAAATTGACTTTTGCACTGGAAGTAATATTGCATGGTGAATAGCGTGTGGGTTATGGATTCAGAAAGACCTAGTTTGCAGCATTCTAGCTCTGCCATATCTTGAAAGAACTCAGCTTGGTTACTTAACCTCTCTCAGCCTTGATTTCCTTATCTGTAAAATCAGGAAACTAAACCTATCAAGATTGCTGTGGATTAAGATAATTTATTACAAGGTATCTGGCAAAGAAATTTGATAAAATGTTAGTGTTCTTGTCTCTCTCCTCCTCCAGGTTAATTAAAAACAAAACTAAACAAAAACAGACATAAGCATCTGGGCACAGAGGCAGAAAAACTTTGTAATCTATAGTTATACAACTGACAAGGAGGATCCCAACAATCCCTAAGAAAGTCTCTCTCCTCCTCATTACACATACAAATTCAGCCCCTCCATGCATAAGGCTGCTAATTCTCTGACTTTCAAACAGGAACTGACTTTGAACTCATCTCTGACCTACCTCTATCAACACACCTTACTTCTGAGTATCTATCTCTTCAGTATCAAAACTTGTCCTTCCGTCTTTCCAGTGTTCACTCAATTAGTCATTGCTGATGCCTGCACCTTAGGTGGGGATTGGATCTCTCTAGCTTATAATGGCCCACCTGCAACATGACCATGATGTCGTGTGGTGCCCAGAATCAGCCTGCTATACCCTGGCACCTGACTTCTTATGTCACTAATGTGCCCACCAAGGTTTCTAGCAGAGCAGTCTGAATGACAATTTCCCTGACAGAAACTAGAAGTTGGTAGTTCAATGGTTAAGGTGTGGGGCTCTGGACTGTGAATCCAGAGCCAACAATTCTGGCTGTGCAACTGTGAATGAGTTACCTAACCTCTCTATGCCTCCATCTTTAAAATATGATAATAGGCCGGGCACGGTGGCTCACGCTTGTAATACCAGCACTTTGGGAGGTCAAGGGCGGATCACCTGAGGTCAGGAGTTCGAGACCGGCCTGGCCAATATGGTGAAACCCCATCTCTACTAAAAATACAAAAATTAGCCGGGCGTGGTGGAGCACGCTTGTAATCCTAGCTACATGGGAGGCAGGAGCATCACTTGAACCTGGGAGGCAGAGTGCAGTTGCAGTGGGCTGAGATCACGCCACTGCATTCCAGCCTGAGCAACAGAGCGAGACTTCCTCTCAATAAATAAATAAATAAATAAAATATGATAATAATATCTACTTCCCAGGCTTATAATGAAGATAAAGTGGAATGATGCCTGCAAAACACCTGACACAACATCAAGCACGGAATAAACACTCAAAACATGAGCAGATCACATTTGTACAGCTCTGTCTTCAGCAGTTCCTGAGTACAGTTTTGACAACGAAAGCTCAAAGCAAAAGAGACTGGTACAGACAGCCTGGGGACAGAGCTGACTTACTGCGTGAGACTTCTGGTTTGGGGGGACCACAAAGATATTCTGGATCTGCATCATGGCAGCGATGCTTAGAATTTCCTGAGAACAGCCGAAGTTTCCTGTAAAACAAAAAGCATGTTTGGTTTCAACCATATAATGTGCCAACAAGAAGTGAAAGACATTTTCTGATACTTTCCTTGCACCACACTGAAGACTAAGATCATATTTTTTCTAGAGCTTAATTTTTAAAGTGTATAGTATATAAGCCTGGGCAGCATGGCAAAACCCCATCTCTACAAAAAATTAAACAATTAGCCAGGCATGGTGGTATGTGCCTGTGGTCCAGCTACTCAGGAGGATTGCTTAAAGCTGGGAGGTCAAGGCTGCAGTGAGCCAAGTTCACGCCACTGCATTCCAGCCAGGGTGACAGCACAAGACCCTCTCTCAGAAAAATAAAAACAAAAAAATGAAGTTTATAAAATAAAAATATTTCACTCAGCCAAATGTGAAGTCCCATATGTAACCCAGATGAATAGTAGCCTTGAAGGACTCCAAAAAAGGAGGTGTTACTGCCCTCTGCAGCTGAAATATAGGGGACTCTGACTATAAGCCAAGGTCAAGACTGGCCCCATCACTAAGGGCAGGTCAGCTCCGCACCTGCTCCCTACCCTCCTGTGGGAACATCTGGAATCCTGGCAGGAAGTCCGAGAGGGGACAGGGAATGAGCGGCTTGTGCCCCTTCTGCTGTTTCTCTGCTCCTGACCCCTTCTATGAAGTGGCTTCCTTCTCAAAAGGGTTCATCTCAGCTGGGAAGCCCAAGGCACAACTAGACCAGCAAAGCACGCTGGGGGCTGCTGGAACGCCTGGAAACAGTCACCAGCAATCACCACTCCAGGGCACAAGGCAGAGTACACTACACTGCTCGTCCCATCTCCCCACTACCTCCCATCTCATGAATGATGCACTTCCCCAGTCCACACTTAGAATCCTGTTTCTCGGCCAGGTGTGGTAGCTCACACCTGTAATCCCAGCACTTTGGGAGGCCAAGGCGGGCAGATGACCTGAGGTCAGGAGTTCAAAACCAGCCTGGCCAACATAGTGAAACCCCATCTCTACTAAAAATACAAAATTAGCTGGGCATGGTGGCACATGCCTGTAATCCCAGCTACTCAGGAGGCTGAGGCACAAGAATTGCTTGAACTGAACCCAGGAGGCAGAGGTTGTAGTGAGCTGAGATTGCGCCACTGCACTCTAGTCTAGGCGACAGAGTGAGACACTGTCTCAAAAAAAAAAAAAAAAAAAAGAATCCTGTTTCTAAATGGAAGGCTGAGAACAAGTGGTTGTTCCAAAACATAATTAGTTAGCTTTCCCCATACTGGGTCTAAAGTACATCTTCATAAATTGCTAGTTGACATAAAAGTTAGACAAAACCAAGAAAAAATTAAACTGTCTTTCCCAGAGGTAAAAAAACAAATTATACTTTCTAGATGACTTTGATTTCTAATTACGAGAAGACTTCCAGATCTTTTAACCTAGAACCCATGTCCTCACAAAAATCTGAAGAAGTCAAAGAAATTGGAACCCTCGTGTACTGCTGGCAGAAATGCAAAATGGTACACCTATTAATGGAAAATAGTAGGGCACTACCTCAAAAAACTAAAAATGGACTTATATGCTCTGACAATCACACTTCTAGGTATATATGCAAAGGAACTGAAACTGGTATTTCAAGGAGATATCTGCATTCCCATATTCATTTCAGCATTATTTACAACAGCCACAATTTGGAAGCAATCCAAGTGTCCATTCACTGGATGAATGAAGAAAGAAAATGTGGTTTATATAAATATGTACACACACAATGAAATAACATGCAGCCTTAAAAAAGAAGAGAACACTGTCATTCATGACAGCATAAATGGAACTGGAGGACATTATGCCAAGTGAAATAAGGCAGGCACAGAAAGACAAACACCATATGATCTCACTCATATATGGAATCTAAAAAAGTCAATCTCATAGAAACAGAGAGTAGAAAGGTGGTTACCAGAGGCTGGGAGATCCCCTGGGTCAGGGGGTGAATGGAGAAAGAGGAGGTGTTGATCAAAGGGTACAAAGTTTCAGTTAGACTGGAGGAATAGGTTTTAGTGATCTATTGCACTGCATGGTGACCACAGTTAATAATAATGTATCGTATATTTCAAAATTGCTAAGAGAATAGAATTTTAACATTCTTAGCACAAATTCTTAGCACAAAAAAAATGATAAGTTGGTGAGTTGGTGAATATGTTAATTTGCTTGACTGAATCTACAATGTGTACATAGATTAAAACATCACACTCTATCTCATAAATATATACAATTATTATTTGTCAATTAAAAATACATTTTTAAAAATTAAAGAATTATCATGATTTAGTAATTCCACTTCTGGCTATATACCCAATAAACATAAAAGCAGGGACTCAAAATGATATTTGTGTATCCATGTTCATAGCAGCATTATTCACAATAGCCAAAAGTTAGAAGCAACCAAAGTGTCTGTCAACAGATAAACAAACAAAACATGGTATAGATATACAATAAAATACTATTCCGCCTTAAAAATGAAGAAAATTTTAACACATACTACAACATGGATGAACCTGGAAGACATTATGCTAACAGAAACAAGAGAGTCACAAGGACAAATACTGTGTGATTGCACTTCTGAGGGTTCTCAGAGCAGTCAAATTCATAGAGACAGAAAGTAGTGGTGGTTGCCAGGGGCGGGGCAGAGGAGAGAATAAGGAATTTGTGTTTACCAAGTATGGAGTTTCAATGGAAAAGATGGAAAAAGTTCTAGAAATGGATGGTGCTGATGGTTGCACAACAATGTGAACGTACTTTGTATCACAGAACTACACACATAAAATGGTTAAAACAATAAATGTTATGTTACAGATATATATATACTTCTTTACCATATTGTACCCTCTTCCCCAGGGTGCTCAGAATTCAGGCAAACAACACCTCTGACAGTCAAAATAAAATCAATTCAAGCTATCAGGCTCTACCCACCTGATTCAAGCAGCATTTTGGCAAACATGGGATTCAAAGGAAACTCTGCAATTCTCATGCCAAGCGGTTCAGTTAGGCGACAGTCTTTGTCCAGACCTGCCATAAGAACAACAAAAGAAATCAGAAGGCAGGTACCATTGTGTTGGAAGGCACACAGTTGCTGAGAGAATAAAAGATAATGTATGCTAAAAAGAAGAAAGTATCCAAAAGATGATTCATGCACTACACCAAACTCCATTTGACACTAGAGTGCCATTACCTTAAAAGAAGAAAAGATCTCCACTGAGCTCTTGAATACCCAATTTTTTAAAAAACTGATACTTCTAAAGACTTCTATTCAAGGACTTAATTATAAGGAAATCCCCCTGCAGCCTTCTCCTGCTTGTACCCTCTCCTCAATCCACAAGAGCCTCACCTGTTCCCACTACTCCGAAGAGACCACTCTTCCCAAGAACCTAACAACTGGGTAGCACCAAACGCAAGGCATCTTCCTGATGGCCTCAGCAGCACTCGGCTCTGCTGGCCGCTGCTTCTTGGAACTACTCTTCGCCAGCTCCCGGCCCCCAACTCTCCTGGTTCTCTGCCATCTCCATTGCCCCCTCACTGTCTGGACTTTCTACCACCTCCAGGACCGGACAGGCCACAGATGTGCCAGGATGGTATCGATGGCATCCCGTGTCCTGTGCCCTTCTCATACTAAATGAGTGATATGGTTTGGCTGTGTTCCCACCCAAATCTCACCTTGAATTGTAAACATGTCAAGGGCGGGGCCGAGTGGAGGTAACTGAATCACAGGGGCAGTCTCCCCCATACTGTTATCGTGATAATAAGTCTCACAAGATCTGATAGCTTTGTAAATGGGAGTTCCCCTGCACAAGTTCTCTTGCCTGCTGCCATATAAGACATGCCTTTGCTCTTCCATGACTGTGAGGCCTCCCCAGCCATGTGGAACTGTGAGTCCATTAAACCTTTCCTTTATAAATTACCCGGTCTTGAGTATCTCTTTATTAGCCACAATGAGAACAACAATGAGCAACTACAGGGCCAGCAACTTGGAATCTAAACACTAACCCAGATCCCTCTGGTGCCAACACCAGCCCTGTTCATGCAACTGCCTCCTGAACATTTTGCTGAACTGGGCTGACTCTTTCAACTCCCCACCTGCCCTTCTTGCCCTCTATTGGCAATACCTTGCCAATATCCAGGTATTGGATTCCCAAGATATAGACTACTGTTTTACTACTTAAACGCTGCAAGATCTCACAGTAAGGCAGAGCTCAGTAAGACATCTCTTTAAAGGTGGTAATTCAGCTTGAAATCAAATGAAGCTGGCGGGGGGAGGCGGGGGGTCCCTCTATCTTTTCCAGCTTATTTAGGGTATTGAAGAAATAGGAAATATCTTAAATTTCATTCTGTTTGACTGGAGAAAAACCAGCCCAAATAAAAACTCCTATGCTGTCAACATTCTCTCATCCTCACTACAGATCAGCCCAGGAAATGTGCTTTCGAGTTCCCATTACATGCTTGAGAAGAAGGGGGTGGAAACCTTCTCCAACACACATTCACTCCAGGCTGATCTTATGTAAATCCAGCTGAAGGTCTTTTAAATCACTGGAGATCTTTTAAATCAGTAATTGGCTATTCACAGAGAAGTAAAATCAACATAATGAATGAAGATGGACCCCTACCTCACTCCATACCAAAAAAGTAACTTAAAATGGATCAGACCTAATGTAAGGGCCAAAACTATAAAACCTAGGAGAATATCTTAATGACTACAAGTTAGGCAAGTTTCTTAGACATGACACCAAGGGCACACGTAACAAAAGAAAAATACAGATAAATGGAACCACACAAAAACTTAAAATTTTTGTACTGCAAACAATACTAATAAGTAAAAAGTAAGTACATGTAAGTAAAAAGCCAAAACACAAAAATGGGAGAAATATTTACAAACCACATATCTGATAAGAATATGTGCCCAGAATGTATGAAGAACTTCAACTCAATTTAAAAAAAAAAAAAAAAAAAGACAACAGCACACATAAAAATGGGCAAAGGATTTGAACAGACTTTTCTCCAAAGAAGATTTACAAATGGGCAGCAAGCACACGAAAAGGTGCTCAACATCATGACTCATCAGGGAAACGCAAATCAAAACCAAGAGATACCATTTCACACCCACTAGGATGGCTATAACACAAAAGACAATTACAAGCATTGGCAACAATGTGGAAAAACTGGAACTCTCATACATTGCTGGTGGGAATGTCCACCAAAACCACATTTATATGCTAATATTTATAGCAGCATTATTTATATCAGCCAAAAAGTGGAAACAACCCAAATGTCTATCAACTAATGAATGGATAAAAAATATGTGGTATATCCATACAACAGAATATTATTCAGTGATAAAAGGGGATAAGGTATGAATATACGTTACAACATGAAGGAACCTGTGAAACATGATACTAAATGAAAGAAGCTGCTATGGTTTGGATGTAGTTTGTCCCCACCAAAGCTCATGTTGAAATTTGATCCCCAACGTGACAGTGTTGGGAGATGGGGCCTACTGGGAAGTGTATGGGTCATGAGGGTGATCCCTCATGAACAGATTAATGCCCTTACCCAGGGTGAGTAATGGATTAGTTCCCATGACAGCAGGTTCTTAAAAGAGCCTGGCTTCCTCTGTTTCTCTTCCTGGCTTCCTCTCTTGCCATGTGATCTCTGCACCCGCCCACTCTCCTTTTGCTTTCCACCTTGAGTGGAAGCAGGCTGAGGCCCTCCTCAAATACAGCTGCCTAATCTTGGAGCTTTCAGCCACCTGAATCGTGACCCAAATAAACCTCTTTAGAAATTACCCAGCCTCTGGCATTCTGTTATAGCAACAGCAGACAGACTGAAACAGAAGCCAATCACAAAAGACCACATATTATACAATTCCATTTACATGAAATGTCCAGAAAAGGCACACCTATAGAGATAAAAACTCTCTATAGAGACTGAACCAGAGAGTGGTTGCCTTGGGCTGGGGGACTAGGGGGAAAGAGAATGAGAAGTTCGGCGCTAATGGGTAAAGATTTCTTTTTTGGGTGATGAATATGCTCTACAATTAGACTGTGGTGATGGTTGCACAACCCTGAAAATATGCTAAAAGCCTCTGAATTTGTACACTGTAAACGAGTGAATTGTATAGTACATAAACTATACTTCAATACAGCTACTTAAAAAAAAAGTAACACTCAAAATAAATCTCAAAAAGCAAAATCTCCACTAAAACTTAATTCAAAATTGGAAATTATATTCATTTGTGGTACCAATCACAGAAGAAACAGTACTCCCCAAAGCGGTGAATTCAGACTATGATTTTCTCTATGTCAAGATAAACGCTATTAAGGTTGGGACAAAAGCAATTGCGGGTTTTGCCATTACTTTCAATGGCAAAAACCACAATTATTTTTGCACCAACCTAATAACATCTTCAATCGACAACTGAATAGAAGTTCCCCCGTAACATGGTGTTAGAAGCTGATAATGTCCCCAATTCTCCACAAGCAACTCCAGGAATGAAATGAAGAGGATTTAGGGAGAGAATACTGAGCCACGATTTTTAAGGATGTGGTTGTTGGGTGGAGAAAAAAGGTCTGGGGAGGTAAGATCTGACATCCTGGTAGGGAACTGCTGATCTCTAGACATCTCTTAGGAGTGTAGCCCTGGTGATTCTTACTAATAGCTTCTGACGAACTGGCATGTTTTATATACTGGCTGTCATAATTAGCTTTCATGTGTCTAATTATGGTCCCAACTTCCTATTTCAATAAAGTATCATTAGGGGGATTATATATATGGGGAGAACCAATCCCATTCCTGAAGATACTAAAATCCCTAAAGTGAATATGACCTCACTAATATCACAAAAGACAACACATAATAAGAGAGAATGATGAGAGAAACTGGCATACCTCCCAGAGCATACAGTAACTCCAAGGCTTGAACCATCGACTGTGCTGGAGGGGGCTGGAAAAAACATAAAAATCTTCCTGAATCAATTTATTTGGGCAACAAACATTAAAATGTGGCTGTTTCCTTTTCAAATCCATTCTCCCCTCTAACATGCCCCATTCTTCCCAGCCTCCATGTTTCTGTTCTTGCTGTTGGCACCTCTTGAAATGTCCTTCCTGTCCTTCTAGGCACCCTTGTACTGCTTGGCCTTTAAGGCTCAGCTTGATGAAACATTTCCCTTTGAAGTGCTCCCTCATCCTCCCCTCCATCAGACGTGATAGGTCCCTATCTTAAACTACCTCTTCATTTTCCTTAAACCCTCCTGAGACATTTCTAATTTTTACTTCACAGACTCAACCTTCTACCACACCGGGGCCCCAGGACACTGCAGCACTCAGGGCTCGGGGATGATTTATCTTTGCATCCCCCATAGACCCACTCCAGGCCCCGTGGTGGGTAAATAACATACGCTGAATTTGTTTTTTCTTAATCCCTGTCTGGAAACTACAACATATGTCGAATCTGAATTTCAAAAAATAATAGCTCTAGAGACCTTAAAGTTCATAAGCAAAGCTGATGTAGTGAGCCTCAGTCTGATTTTCCAGATCTTTACCTCCTTTCCTTCTACAAATCTTGACTGAGCACCTAAGTGCCAGGCATCATATTTTTTCTCTCTAAATTATGTGGTTTCTAATAACCCAGGTAATAAAATTACAGTACATTTTTAAACTGCATAGGATGTTTTCTAAATGCATTTTTTCTAAATTCACATAGCATTTTTTTCTAAATGCATTCACATAACAAATGTATTTTATTCATCACATTGTTTTAGCTCAGTTTTACAGATGAGGAAACTGAACTGCAATAAGGAAAAGACAGCTGAACAAGGTCATATAGGCAGTTGGTGGCAAAGCTGAACTCAGGCCTCATTTTTCCCAGTCTACCTTCCCTACTTTGTTTGCCAAAGACCAAAGTTAAACTTTTTTAAAAGTTGTAGTGACCGTACACACAGGTGAACACACGAGGGCAGGAACTAAACCTATTGGATTCATTACACAGAGAGGATTCAACAAATCACCATTGAGCAAATCATGTAAATGATCCACTAGCCCTTCCTTGGTGCTTACAACATCTTTCTCTACAAAGAAGCAAAATGGGCAACACTTAAATGAAGGAGCTTAAACCCTGTGGGATCTTTTATACTGAGAGTGGATGAGGTAACAGGAATAGCAATCTCTGAACTAGGCTTTTAACAATTACAGAAAAAGCTAACAAGGTCAGCTCTGACTCAATTCCTGGCCCGATTTCCAGTCAATTAACAAAAAAAACTTATCCCCCTCTCCACAAAAATCTTATCCATAGTATTTTCATCTAATCACATTCACTAGTATTTCTCTGTGACCTCAACTGATTTGGGATAATACAGAAACACTGTTTTAACATATCTGGAATTACTGTTTATGTATAGTTTTAGTGTGGTCTTCTCACTACATGTTTTTCTGTTTTCATTGTTTCTTGCACCCATACAAACTTCACAGTAACTACTTGGGATGGCTGCATAATACTCTATGACAATCATACTCCATAAAAAAGTCAATTTTCTTATTGCTGGGCAATTAAATTGTTCCAGTTTTTCACCATTGTAAATAACATTGCTAAATATACAAAATTATATGTACTCTGTAATTTCAATCATAAAAACCACAATTTCAGGGGATAATAACCAGAAGGAAATATGTGAAGATAAATTTGTATTTTTTTTTTCATTTTTCAACTGTCCAAAAGTTTTACGATAATTTTCATTATTTATATTTTTAAATGTAATATAAATGCTATAAGCATTATCACATATGTAAGCTTTTTTTCTTCTTCTGAATTATTTTTTCAGGAGAAATTTTTATGAGAAGAAATAGCAGACATTTCTACGGCTCATTAAATGTTGTCAGAAAGTCCTCCATGGGGACAGAAACGGTATAACATGGGAGGAATTTACTTTCCCAAATTGTGGCAGTTTTCGATTTCACCATTTTTGTTTATACTCAATCATTTAATTAGTGTAAAGTCAACTGCGCACAGTGGCTCACACCTGTAATCCCAGCACTTTGGGAGGCCAAGGTGGGCAGATCACCTGAGGTCAGGCGTTCAAGACCATCCTGGCCAACATGGCAAAACCCCGTCTCTACTAAAAATACAAAAAATTAACCGAGCATGGTGGCTCTTTCCTGTAGTCCCAGCTACTTGGGAGGCTGAGATACGAGAATCACTTGAACCCAAGAGGCAGAGGTTGCAATGAGCTGAGATCGCACAACTGCACTCCAGCCTGGGTGACAGAGAGAGACTCTGTCTCAAAAAAAAAAAAAATTAGTGTAAAGTCATCCTTTATAGCTATATCAACGTGCAGTCACCTCTCTCCTAGAGAAGCTCAACATGTCCTAATGATAGTTGAAATTTGAATTTGTGCTGTTTTTTTCCTTTAGCTTTATTTAGTGAATATTTACTGTAAATGATGTGCATATAAAAACTCTTCATATTTTTTGAGATACTGATCTGTCATTTCTGTCACTGTATGTTTTTCTTTAATTTTACATGCGGGGCTTTTCATAAGCTTTCAAATCAGCACATACTGTTTATCTTTTCTTTTTTTTTAAGAAAGAGTCTCACCCTATTGCCCAGGCTGGAGTGCAGTGGCACAATCTCAGCTCACTGCAACCTCCACCTCCCGGGTTCAAGCGTTTCTCCTGCCTCAAGCCTCCCAAGTAGCTGGGACTACAGGCGCATGCCACCATGCCTGGCTAATTTTTGTATTTTTAGTAGAGACGGGGTTTCACCATGTTGGCCAGGCTGGTCTTGAAGTCCGGACCTCAAGTGATCCACCTGCCTCGGCCTCCCAAAGTGCTGGGATTACAGGCATAAGCCACCACGCTCAGCCTGTTTATCTTTTCTTTATAATATCTTCTACTCTACACCAATAATCAAAGGGTCCATTTTCCCTATACTTATGGTAAGTACACAATTTTCTTTGGGGGAGTTGATATTTGTATGTTCTATTCTTTCATTCACCTAGTTTACCATCACATATGACATTAGGGACTTTACTATCCAAGAATCCAGACTTTCCAGACTTGTCATATCATATACAGTTGGGAAAAAACAAAGTTCTCAAATCATAAAAATTCTAGAAGAAAATATGAGAGAATATGTATTAACTGACCCAAATATAAGAAGTACTTCATAAGGGCAAGAATAACCAAAGAGGCCGGGGGTGGTGGCTCACGCCTATAATCCTAGCACTTCGGGAGGCCCAGACGGGGTGGATCACCTGACCTGCTCAGGAGTTTGAGACCAGCCTGGTCAACAAGGCAAAACCTTGTCTCTACTAAAAATATAAAAAATTAGCCAGGCGTGGTGGCACACACCTGTAATCCCAGCCACTCAAGAGGCTGAAGCACAAGAATCACTTGAGCCTGGGAGGCAGAGGTTGCAGTGAGCCAAGATGGCACCACTGCACTCCAGCCTGGGCTACAGAGTGAGACTGTCTCAGAAAATAAAGAAAGAAAAAAAGAATAGCCAAAGAAATCATAAAGGCAAAAATAGATTACTGTGAATATGTTTAGAATGTCCACACATTAAAAAAAAAACAGTAAAATATAAATAGAAAATATTTGTAAGAAATATTATAAAAATTAATGTCTTTAATATTCAAAGGACTCTTGAAAATCACTAACTGACACAAATTCTAACAGATAAATAGCTTAACAACTCAGAAGAAATAAAAACTGACTAATAAATGTTTTTATAAAAATCTATCTTATGAAAAATTTAAAAATAATTATAATAAAGGTGATTTCCTCTCTCTGGCCAATCAAATCAGCAAACCCAAAGAAGATAACATGGCACAATGGAAGTACCACAAGGTGGGCATTCAGGCACTGCTAGAGTTGACATTGGTAAAGCAATCTGGCCATGTAACAGGACCCTAAACAGGACAACGGCCCTTTGACCCAGTCATTCTACTCCTAGAAATCATCTCAGGAAGCAATCAGGCACAAGGGTCTTCCTGCAGCTCTATCTAAAGCTGCAGGAAGGATCCCCCAATCATGGTACTCCTGCATCTAGGCCTCTACAAAGACTAGCTGTCCTGGAACTCTCCACTCCTAACCTGGTGAGATTCTATTTGGGTTTCAGGTTTCACCTGGGAGGCCCTTCCTTTGTCTCTCAGAGCCCTGGGCACACTGCTCTGTAATTACCCACTTACTTGTCTCTATTCCCCAGCAGACAAGAACAGGAACTATGTAAGAATAGGAATTGAGGCTACCTTGTCTGGCTGTTTTCCCCTACGTCCTGCACAGGGCCTGGTTGCAAAGCAGACACACAACACATGACCTGAGTAGGGAAAAAAAGGAAAGATGGCATGCCCTACGACAATGTCCTGACATCCCCCTGTGAGCTCCCTAGCCTCCCTATGGCCCCAGACAGCAGGCAGGACTTACCGACATGAAGTGGAACCTGAGGACATTGTCAATTCCTAGTGCTTTCAGCTGCAGGATGACAGGTGCCAAATTACTACGCTGCATCTCAGGAACCGTAGACTGAGGCAACTTGTCAAAGGCTTCCTCTGAGGATAGGAAATCAGAACTGTTTGGGACCAAATGTCACAATCAAATGCAATCACTATGCCAAGGGACAAATTTTCTTCTCTATCTTGAACAAGGGTCTCTAGGATTCTAGAAGCAGATGCACATGATACCATGATATAAAGTTATTTTTATACTTAGGAAAGACCATTCTATTTTTAAAATGCCTTAGATAAATATATTTGAATACACCTTTATAAAACTTTATCTAAAATTCTGTTTTTTAATGTTTTTTGTCAGCAAAACATTAAATCAAACCAACAAGTACTTGCTGAATCACTATCAGTTCCCAGTTGCCACCATCTCTGTTTGGAATAAGTCAAGGAAGCAAGAGCTTCACATACAAGCAAAGAACAATTTCAAGATAAATCACCAAAATACAACAAATGACCAAATCTTATAAAGAGCAAAAATTGTCCAAATCAAATTTTTAAATCAACAAGCCAGGTACACAATATCATTCCCAGAATCCAATGCTGCCCCAAACCAAGAAATGAATGTTTACATGCCCTACCAGGAAGAAGAGGTGACCTTACACAGGAAAAAGCATCCTAAGACACAGAGATCCCAAGACAGGAAGGGCAGAAAGGGAGGGGGAAGGAGAAGAGACTTTGGAAGAAGGCCTTTTTATAAAAGCTAGGCAGGAAGGGTGGGGAAAAAAGAGGAAGAGATTAACTCATTTTCATGTATATTCAGAAAGCTTAAGGATTATATAGAGAATGCTCCACCCACCAAAACCTCCCACATCAGTCAACATTGTAACTGATGTACACCCTTCTTAAACAATACAAGGGTGACCCAACTTCCATTTAGATCATAAAGCTTTAGTTAACTAGAGGAAAAAAAAAAAAGTGCCATGAAGAAATACCACTATCCCCGAAAAACTTCAGAAAGGTTTTCTTTGAGAAAACAGACAACCAATATTCTGTGGACTAATTGATACAAATTGGGTCTAACTAGAAGGTTCTGGATGACGGCCAACAGCAGGAAGTTCCAAATGAGCTACTTCCTTTAGTTTCAAGAGAATTTGGGGTACAGCTTCTTGATAGGATAACCCCATTTTCCAAGCACACTACTAACCAAAGGAGAAACAAAGTTAACACATAAGAGGACCACCCTGCTGAAAAGCTCACAGGAAGTGGGTGTTTCCTAAAAGTTCAATGACAGGCAAGCTCTCCTGAGGACTCAAGTGTGTGAAGCATGGGGCCAGAAGCTGTAGGAGTCACAGCCAATCCCCTTGAAAAGCTTCAGTGATATGCAGGGGCCTGGGACCTGGACCAGAAACAGTTGACCCTCAAGGAGAAATAGGAAAAGTCCCAAGGAGTGGTCCTCCCAAAGAGAAATGGAGGCTCAGGGAAGGAGGAAGCAGGGTGGCTGGAAGAAGGCCTCCAGGGAAGCTGCATGTTGCCATTTGAGGGAGGATTTGAAGGACAAGGAGGATCTGTTGGGCAAAGAGGAAACAGCTCAAGGAAAAGGTATCTAAGCGTTTCTCATGCAGAGAGCATGTCGTGTAGTAGTTCAGCTGAGAAGCAATTTGTAGTGGTTAGTAGGAGAAGATAAGCTGAGGAAAAATCCTGGATGGTTTGAGAAAATGTGGAGGGTCTGAGCAGGTGGTACCCTGTTCAAAGCAATACTTTCTGGAGGCTCCTGTGGAGGCCTAGAGGCTGGACACCAATGCACTCATTACAGTCAGGGGCCCTCCCCAACCCCACTTCCACTAAACTGCTCATGCAAAGGGATTCAGTGACTTTTCACCCAAATCCACCTGCCTATCTTTAGTCCATGATTTCTTGGCACATGAGATAATGCTGGCCTCTTTAAAAGTAACTTGAGCTCCTTAAAAGTTAAACAAAATTACATATAACCCTGTAATAGCCAAAACGAATTAAAAACACCTACTCAAGTACATGTACATGCAGGTTCATACCAGCACTATTCACAATAGCCAAAAGGCAAAAACAGCCCAAATGTCCACAACTAATAAATGAATAAACAAAGTGTGGTTTATCTATACAACAGAATATTAGTCAGTAATAAAAAGGAATGAAGTACATGCTACAATGTAGATAAGCCTCAAAACCATTATGCTAAAAGAAGCCAGACACAAAAGGTCACATATTGTATGACTTTTTATATGAAATATCCAAAAGAGAGAAATCCATTGAGAAGAACACAGGTTGGTGATTTCCAGGGACTGGTAGCCAGAAAGAATGGGGAGAAACTGCTTAAAGCATAAGGGATTTTATTCTGGAGTGGCTGAAATGTTCTGAAACTAGATGGAGGCAGTGGTCACACAACATTGTGAATATAATAAATTGTTCACTTTAATGTGTTTAATGTTGTGTTATGTAAATTTCACCCCAATAAATAATTTTTGAAGAGAAAAATGTCTTGAAACCTTCTCTGCATGTCAGAATCCCTTTCAGTCCTGGCTCTCCCTTTTCCACTCTAGTCATTCCTTCTTAGCATCTTCAGTGGTTGCCCTTGGTCCTCAGGCCCTGGGTTCTGCCTATTCCCTCCCTTCTGTGAATGTTCCAAACCCACTTCCTTCCCTGCAAGTACTTGTACCTTCCATTCCCTCTGCCTGGTGCGCTGAAATTGAATCTCCCCAATCACCTCTTCGCCTAGATAAGGACTGTATTGCCAGTAAGATCAGGCTCAAACAACACCCTGGTTGTGAAGTACTCCCCAAATCCCCAGAAGGATAACACCAGCTTCTAGGAGAAGGCATCTAAGGTAGCTTCATGAGGGAACTGCCATCTGAGAGAGGATTTGAAAGATAAGGAAGATCTGCTGGGCAGGGAAAACAGCCCAAGGAAAAGCCTCTGCTCTCTGCTTCCAAGGCTCCCGATTCTTTATGGCTCCCTATCATACCATAATATGCTGATCTGTTTTGAGGTCTACCTCCACCACCAGACTGTCAGTCACTGTGGCCACAGACCATGGTTACTAGCCCCAGATCTCCAAGCTCTAGCACCGTGGCCAGCATACAGCAGGTGCTCTGCAAACATCTGCTAAAAGAAAGATCAACATCAAAGACTGAACAAGGACAATAATAACCAGAAAGGAAAAGAAGAGACAAATGGCAGAGCTAAAACCCCTGGACCTTCTTTAGGGGCAGCCACACCAGAAGAAACAAAACAAAATAAAAAACCCTGGGCCTGGTTAAGTGAATGCAGATGGATACTGGATAAAGAAGAGAATTAACAATGACTTGGAAATTGAGTCTGGACAACTGGGGAAAATGTCAGCAGCATTCCCCACAGAAGAGAAGTGCAGAGAAAGAGCAGCTCTGGGTCCATCACTGTCTATAGGTAAGGCTGTCTTCAAGCTGGATAGAAAGCTCCAGAAAGGCTGAGACAGTATTAAAATTGCCTTCTGTTCCCTCAGAGCCTAGCATGATGCACAGCACAGAGGAGGAGCTCACCAACTATTTGTTTTCTATGAATGAGTCTCCGGACAGACCTTCCATTTTCACTTGGCAAAGATGCTCTGAACCAGAAGTAAAAGGGGAACCCAATGTGAGGCTCCGCAAGACTCAGGGATCTTGGAATACAAAAACAGCACATTAAGTCAAGAAAGAAAGGCAAGAAAGACAGGCTCCAGGACACACAGCCCACACCCTAGGGACAAATGGCTACACAGGCCTGTGCCCAGATGTTAGGTTAGAACAGGATAGCAAATAAGCAGTCACTCACAGGCCAGCTTTGGCCAATGGGGACTAGTAACAAAGAAACACCATATTTAGAGTGAGGAAAGCAGTGGGGATCTGATTACACAGGGCCTTGTGAGGAAGGCCTGTATTTTATGTTAAGTTCTACCATTAGGAGTAAACATTTGCTACACTCTGTTGCCCAGGCTGACTATAAGAAAGTCAAAAACCCTTAGGGAAAGCCACACTAACCTGTATAAAGGCGATAACATTTTCCCGAGCGACTACGACCACCACGTCCTGCTCGCTGATTAGCTGATGCCTGGGAGACTGGCACCACCACCAAGCATTCAATAGCTGTCCTGGGATTGTAGGCTCGGAGTTTCACAAAGCCACAGTCGATCACATACACAATGCCGCTGATTGTGATAGAGGTTTCTGCCACATTGGTGGCCACTATCACCTACGTTCCCCACAGAAAGAAGAATAAAACTCATTTTATTCTTTTTGCTTTTAACAAACTCGTAAAAATCCTAAAAGATTTAACATTTCCAACATTGCAGAATCTGTGAGAGGCAGTTTAATATACTAGAAAGACTGTGAGTTTCCAAGTCAGGGGGTGCCCTGGGTTTGAATTCTCCCTAATCATGTGACCCTGGACAAGTTACTCAACCTCCTGAACCTGTTTCCTCATCTACATAATAAGATTTACCACCTCCCCTAGGGCTACTGAAGGGACTATATACAATTAATATATAAAGTGATCAGAGCCTAGCATTTGTTAGTTTTTCCCTTTGGCATAACCAAAGTAAATCACCCTCCATCTTGCGCAGGTATAGTCATTTATTCATTCATATCATGATTACTTTCTGAGGGTGTGCACTTTGCCAAGCACTGTTCAAGGTGCTGGGATGTAGGATAAACAAGACAGACAAGGCCCCTGCTCTGCCAGAGTTTACATTCTAGTTTGAGTGTTTAGGGTGAAGACATGCTGAACATAAACAAGAAGATAATTTCAGAGAACAACAAATACTATAAAGAAAATATTAACACAATGAGGCAATATGATATGATGTAGTATATAACATGTATATTATATATTATTGTAATAATAGGGCATGCTACTTTACTTTTGTTGGCCAGGCAGAGCCTCTGTGAAAGATTTTGAGCAGAGACCTGAGTAACAAGCAGCAGCCAACCCTATAGAGATCCAAGAATAAGAAACAGTTCAAAGGAAGGAGAAACAGCCAGTGCAGCCAAAATACAAAGTACAAGATGAGGTTGCAGAGGGAGGCAGATATGCAATCATATGTGGTCTCTGGGCCACCATGAGGTATTTGAATTTTATTCCCAGTACATTGGGAGCTGCCCCTGAAGGGTTTAAGTAGCAGGGGACACATATATATAGCAGTTAGAACTTTTTTCAGGCACTTTACATTTTATAAATCATTTTATAAAAATTATTTTATAAATGATCATTTTATAAAATAATCTTTCTAATATTTTTATGTAGTTGGGATTAAGATGTTATGCTATAAAACCACCTATCTGAAAGTTATTATTATTTACGTTTTACAGCTGCAAAAACTCAGATTCGAGGTTAAGTCAGTTGTCCCAAGGCACATAGTAGCTCAGGGGCAGAATCCAGGTCTCCTGATTGGCTGGCTGCAATTAATGTTTGACAGGGCAGACTCATGTTGCTCCATCCCAATGGTCAAGGGGCTGAGCACCCTCTTCCAGGTGGTCTGAAATTGGGAGTGGATCCTCAGACCATCCCTCACCTGCTCTATTCTCTGCCATCTGTTGATAAATAGCTACTACAGTAAAAGCTGTCCTCGGGCTGGTTCTGTGCAGTCCTCATCTAATGAAAGGAAAAGGCAGAGTCAGGCCCAGGTGGACTGGCTGCCTGCCAGCTCCTTCAAACCAATGCTTTCCACCACACCCTTCCTCACTCTCACTTCAAGGCTAAACATTTTTAAGCCACACCTTGAATTAATTGATTTAAACTTGGCCCTTTAAAATAGGCAAGCTGATACTTAAAACAAATTATTTAGAAACCATGTGTACCAATTTTTCTATTGCTCCTGACTGACCTCAATCCCCCTAAACAATCCCTTAAGCCAAAGTAAGCATGTGTCGTGGGAAATATTAGGAAGGCAGAAGAGAAGAAAAGAGAAGTCACCTGATCTGATAACTACTGTCAAAGTGATCCTTCAGTGGGACAGGTTTAGAATCTTCACAACAGGCCGGGCACGGTGGCTGACGCCTGTAATCCCAGCACTTTGGGAGGCCAAGGTGGGCGGATCACAAGGTCAGGAGATCGAGACCATCCTGGCTAACTTAGTGAAACCCCGTCTCTACTAAAAATACAAAAAAAAATTAGCCGGGTGTGGTGGCGGGCGCCTGTAGTCCCAGCTACTCAGGAGGCTGAGGCAGGAGAATGGCGTGAACCCGGGAGGCAGAGCTTGCAGTGAGCTGAGATCGCGCCACTGCACTCCAGCCTGGGCAACAGAGCGAGACTCCATCTCAAAAAAAAAAGAAATCTTCACAATGTATTATTTATTGTGTGCTTTTAGATCTACTACACAGAAATATGGACCTAGAAGTCTGCCTTGTGTTTAGCAAGTTTCAAAACAAGTAAAGGAGCATCATTATGATTATAGACGGCTGCCAACACCCTTGGTCATCAGGATAGTCTCACCTTTCTGACACTGCGTGACACCCTTTCAAACACTTTCATTTGCTCAAAGGAAGGCAGTCCTGCATACATGGGGAGAACTCGGAGGTGTCTCTTCATCCCAGTGCGAGCTAGTGCTCGAGCCTGCTCGATGAGCATCGACACAACAGTTTCTACCTCTTCCTAAAGACGTTGAACCAGGAACCAAAGAAACCGAGATCAATTTAAAGCATGCTATTTTATCATACTGAAAGAAAATAAAAGTTGGGATCTGGACTTTAATTTTGGTCAGATTCAAGAATTTCAGTGCCGTCATGTTCCACTCTGGGATGGTATTTAATTAAATGCTAATACACAATGATGACAATGGGTGAAATTTTGCAACTACACTATTAGTTACTAAAAACTCGGTATGATCTGCAATGAATGGAAGAGTTCCCAATAAATAAAAACGATGACTATTTTACTCAGCATACATATACGGTGTCAAACAAGCATCTCATGCATATAGACAAGTTGCAGCATATAAAATCACTGTAAGCTTTCTCCAAAAAAGATTACTGAACCATGGAAAGTGTTTGGCAGTGGAAAAGATTACAGTTGGAGGGCAGGTCTGAATAGTGCTGGCCACCGTCAGCGAGCACTTGGGTCTGTTCAGTTGTTTTACCAGTAATATGGCCACTTATCACCTCCAGGATGAGCTGTAAAGGTGTCACTGGAAAAAGAGGTACACAGCAGCAACATGTGTGCAGGACATGGACCTAATGTAGTATCCAATTCTGGCAAACAAAATAGCCCTCACTCAACTACCTAGTTTATTTTGGAATCAGCTAATACATTTAAAAAAACATTTAACCCTCTGCAGACAGAACAGGCAGGGGCTAACGAGTCCCTGACAATCTAGATGGTAGATGAATGACATCAAATCAATTTTCTACACAATTATGGAACCACAAAATACAACAAAACATGAAATACATGACTGAGTAAAGTAACAAGGCTCTGTATTACTTTTGGTGCTGTCTTAACATGTCTATTCATCAGAGAAGTACAGTGGCATTACCTGGCCAGTAAGAAATGCTAAAACGTCTCCGTCTCCCTCTGTCTGGTGAATTTTCACCACAGTTTCGACAGTTGATTTGATATAATCTGGAACAGGAC
This sequence comes from Homo sapiens, assembly GCF_000001405.40. NCBI lineage: Eukaryota > Metazoa > Chordata > Mammalia > Primates > Hominidae > Homo > Homo sapiens. The sequence continues at coordinate 39,002,770 of NC_000020.11, read as the reverse complement.
TGAAAAGACAAATGGGATGAATTCATCACTAGAATATGCTCATTAATTACAGATCAATTACCCTAATAATCTGGCAGCAAAGCTCATCAAAGTGAGTTTGGGCCTGCCCAGTAGGTAATTAGTACAGGATAAACAAAATAAATATTCATTTTTTTCAAATCTAATATTCAAGAATAATCCATAATTATATGTCAACTATGATTTTTAGCTTTATTTGGAAAGAAATAACATGATATACCCATACAAATAGATGTGCTATCTTTAGTATGCAAAGACATCAGACCAGTGAAAATCGGAAGCTGTGGTCCCAGTGCTGAAGCCCACGCTCTTCCCAGCCCATTTTCCCTCCTAACCAATAGCAGCATCTATGGGTCGGCTGGATGGCCCTGATGGATGAGCTCTCCAACAAAACGATTCAGAAATCAAGTCCACGACTCTGGATTTATCAGCCACTGGAACAGGCTCCTGGTCTTTTTTTGTCCAGTGACTAGTACAGGAATTAGGATGGCCCCTTCCTTGTCCAAGTAGGCTACTCCTAAAAATGCCAACTGGGCCTTCTCGCTAGGGATGTAGAGAACTGAGAGCCAAATGATTCAAATCACCAATACTGCCCCTGCTGACAGGCAGCCTTGTAAACCCCAGTTCTGAAAACTATCAAGCTTCCCTCCCCAAAACCTTTCACCACTTTTGCTCTCTCTGGCTGAGCTACTGGCCACAGACTTACGGAAACTTGCATGTCAGTGTGAACAGTTTAAACTAAATTCAGCAGTGATCCGGAGCAGGGTAAGAACATTCTAGACCAATGACTAGGGACACAAAACATGCTCCTCCCCATCCTTTAGAGTTGTGAGCAAATGCAGTTCTGACATTCTACATCAGAGGCTGAGTTTTCTAAACACCATCATCCAGAATTCAAGCATCATCAAACCTTTGTAGATAAAAGATATCCACCGGAAATGTTCTCCCTTCCACTGTAAGGATCACACATGTATCCCTTGCTGGATCACTGGTTTCATTTTGATTAAAGAAATCCCGGAATTTCTAAAAAGAAAAAAATTAATTCTTCATTTCTCTTAGAAAAAAAGGTTCGTAGCGATTCATGGAAAGAAAAAATAATATAAAACTTGCCAAAGACAGGTGAGTAGCAAGATTATATATGTGCAATACAGATTATGGGTTGCAAAATACATTTTTTAAATTCACATTTTTCTAACTGTAATTGTGGGGAATCACATTTCAATGACAGTGTCTTTACTAAAGTTTTAATAAAAATAATAAAGGTTAGATTTCAAAACTGCATTCAGCATAGCATCTGAGTTAACATGTAGCTTTAGTATTATTTATATTATTCCTATCCTCTGTATTTCATTTAAGCAAAAATTAGGTCAAAGGTGTGACTCAAGTTCAGTACAGGTTAGATGAGGTTGGTGGGTAACTCTATCTGGAAAACACAGATATGATCATTTGATAGGAAACTTTTCCTTCTGTGAACAGTAGGTGTGTTTCCGGCCCCATTGTTACTGGTTTTAGGCCACTTGATGGCAGGGATAGTGTCTTCTCCATCTTTACACGCCCTACAGTAGTGAGTGCGAGGCTTTGTATGGGGTAGGCCATCAATCATGTACTTCCCCAACACTCGTGCAGTACCCTGTTGGGAGAAGTGTCTCTTGGCAGTTTCTGCCAAACAGGTGTCCACATCCTATTTAATGGTACTTGACCACCACTTGCAGCCCACAAGGAGACCTGTCTTGAGGGCTCCAGCCAATGATGGGGGAAGGAAACGCCACCAAAGATCCTCTCTTGGGGAATGTGACCCTAAGGTACAAAGAGAAGCTGAGACTGAGAAGAGCTAAGTGACCATGCAGGCAGGCAAGTGAGCACCAGATGGGAAGCAGCTGGTGCCCACTGCAGAGGGGGCATGGATATCCCGTCGGGTGGAGTGCTCCATTATTTGAATCTGGGTGCCCTTTCCATTCCCCACCTCTACTCATTTCCCTGAGGCCTGGCTACATAACTACAAAGCTTGTCTTTATTTCCCTATGTACCTTTACAAAACATGCCCATCCTGCTCCAGGAAACCCAGGAGCCCAGGAGCTGTGCTAACGAATGGCATCAAACGCTAAGTGAAGGGGCTCTGAGGGGTACTTTTAAAAGAGTAAACTGGATTTAACCACAAAATACAGGGATGTTATATATTAACCTCAAAATTGAGAAGAATAAGCACAGACATCAAAGTGCCTCATGTCAACAAAACTATGTTTTGCTATGCAGAATTCCACACAGTACTCCTGTTCACTTTCTTTTGGGTAAATTCCCTTCAAGTTGCTTCAGCCTTCCTGCATCCCTATGACATGCACAGCACAGGTACACTAGAAGTGACATACAAACAAGTGGGAACAGACACCCCATGCCCCAAAAGAGTAAACAGTTCACAGAAGGCAGACGTGCAAAGAGTTGATCATAAAATAATCCCTGAGGCAGATGACCCTGTGACCAGGAAAGAGCTGCAGATTGCAATCTGATAGAAGGAAAAGTTAAGAACTACCGGCTTTCAGGGAGAGCTTCATGGAGAAAGCAGTATCCCTTGCCTGCACTGTAAAGGCTAAGGAGGATTATTACTGGCTGGGAAGGGGGAGACATCCCTTCCCAGGACAATAGCACAGTATGGACTAAAATGTAAAGGGGTCCCTAAGGGAGGACAGAGGCAAGGTCTAGGCCTCCTCATCTCTGAGTCAGCTCTCTCATCTGCAAAATGGACAAACTGCTATCCACCCTGCAAGGTTGCTGTGAGGTTCAAATAAACTATGTGGGATAGTTGTGACACACATCTAGCCTAGAATGGCACTCAATAAGTGATGTCAGCCATAACTCTGAAGGGACCCAAGTGATCAGCTGCACTGGCACTTTATTCGATGGGCAAGACAAGGGCAGTGAGGATGGGCATGATATTATCAGACCTGTGAGCTGAATCCCAGACTCCAGTGGCCATTTTGGAGGAGGGCAGAGGAAATAAGAGATTCGAGGCAAACAAACTAATTAATGAAGCTATCATAATAGTGCAGGGGAGACAAAGTGTGAACCTGGGCAAAGCATTCCAGAGATACAGCTGGTGGGAACTGGCAATCAGTGAGTGAACGTGCACACACGTGCACATTGGAAAGAAGGCTAGAGTGACTCTTACTCGACCGGGGATAAAAACTTCTTAAAGCAATGGAGGTCTTGGCCTAAATGACTATGATCATGAGAAAGAGACTGAGATGGAGAATCAGAGAGTCACAAGTTTATGAGTTTAGGATGTCTGTGGCTAGCCAGCTGTCAGACAGCTAAGGCTGGTGTGCAAGCACACAGTCAAGACTGCCACAAGCACGAAGGCTCAGCTGAACCAGGGACCACAGGGGTGTGCAGCCTTGAGAAGGAAGAGCAGACAGAGAAGGGGCCCAAGAGGAAGCCAACAAGGAGGTAGGAGAGGGAAGTCAGCAGGGCTCCAGGAGCTATGGAAGGAGAAGGAGGAAGATTTTACCAAAGGGCTTGGACAAGGGTGAATGTTACCAAAAAAGCAAGCAGAACAAGGAAGAAGATGATGCCTTGACAATTTTGTTAGAGTAGATGCCTAAACCTTACCGTTAAGGACTATGTGGTACTGAAAAGTAAAGAGTTACTCTTTCAAGAATTAAGACTCGGCCGGATGCGGTGGCTCATGCGGTGGCACTTTGGGAGGCCAAGGCGGGTGGATGGCCTGAGGTCAGGAGTTCAAAACCAGCCTGGCCAACATAGTGAAACCCCATCTCTACTAAAAATACAAAAAAATTGGCTGAGCGTGGTGGCAGGCGCCTGTAATCCCAGCTACTAGGAAGGCTGAGGCAGGAGAATCGTTTGAACCTGCGAGGCGGAGGCTGCAGTGGGCCGAGATCACTCCATTGCACACCAGCCTGGGCAACAAGAGTGAAACTCTGTCTCAAAACAAAAAGAATTAAGACTCAGCATTTACTGAGAAGGCACAAGACCTTTAAGATCTTTATCTTGTATCTTTATTTGGAAATACAAAATACATAAAAAAGTAAATAAATATAGTACCAACAATGCAAGAATCTTGAGGCAGAATCAAGGAACAAGAAGAGTAAAATAAGTTCAACACACCCAGAAAAGAAGAATTTGAGTCAGGTTTGAAAGAGGTGGGGTCACATTGACATACAGACATGGTAAGAAGCATACATCATAAAAAGGCAGGGGACAGTCTATGAAATGGAATGTAAATGATATGGCCATCTGCAGGGTTGTCTTCTAGCTCACCATAGGCTCCTTCCCTGGTACCTGCTCCTTCCTAACCCACTGGAGTGGCCGATAAGCAGCTATGTCTACCCAACACACCCATGATTGGCCAACAGCCTTGGCCCATGTAGACTGGTCCAGGGTGGAGACCTGACCCCAGCTGATGCTAAGTTCCTTCTCTAAGAATCTGGAAAGAGAAATTAGTCTCTCTTCAAGTAGCTGGACTTATGACAAAAAAACTATGGGAGCTACCAGCAACCATATATTCTGCCATGCAGTTGGACGCAAATAAAAGAAAAGCAATATCATCACGTGATACAGGATCAATAAATACTTCATAATTATATCCAGTCATGTTATATAATTGTTCGTTTAATTGGGCTTACATTAAGAAAGCAGATAAAGCAACCAAAGCAGCTATTCGATCAGCCCCATCATGCTCTGCAGGTCTCTGCCTCCCGGCTGCAGCCACTGCTGTCTTTGTCTGCAGGCTGGGCCACCCCAGTCCCTGAGAGAAACCACGGCAGGTGGCCTATCAGCAGCCCTAGCTCTAGGAGGTTTGAAATTAGTCTGTCACCCACAGACCCAGCCGCTGGGGGGCAGGGGATGAGTTCTGGACTTCCCTACGCCTCTAGATCAAAATGTTTCCTAAGCCACACCCAACCCCCCTGCCACTCCCACATAGTCCTCATTCTTGCCCTCTTTCGCCCACTTATATCCTCTTTCTTTCTTTCACTCACATACGAACTCACATCCCATACCTCACGTAGGCCCCTCACACACGGACCCACAACCCACACAGAGATGACTCACACACACAGATCCCCCATTCACAGACACTTAGAAACCACCGTTCCCCTCACACAGGAGGCACTGGCTGAGCAGCAAGGACAGGATAAGAAGGAATGGCCCAGCTTACCAGAGGTCCAGCATGTCCCGTACCACAGCAGAGCAAGGCATGACAAAGTTCCTACATGCTGTCTTCCCGCTTACAAAATTGCTTCCAGAAAGTCATCTATATCAACTACCATAGACAGAACTGAAAGAAGCTATTTTTTTCATCTCTGTGTTCCACCAAGACAATAAAAGGCAATTGTGAACAATTAGTAAGTATTAATTAACAATGAATCTGGCCAGGCGTGGTGGTTCATGCCTGTAAATCCAGCACTTTGGGAGTCCAAGGCGGGAGGATCACCTGAGGTCCGGAGTTTGAGACCAGCCTGGCCAACATGATGAGACCCCATCTCTACTAAAAATACAAAAATTAACCAGGCATGGTGGCTCATGCCTGCAGTCCCAGCTACTTGGGAGGCTGAAGCACGAGAATCACTTGAACCTGGGAAGCAGAGGTTGCAGTGAGCTGAGATCACACCACTGTACTCCAGCCTGGGCAAGACAGTGAGACTTGGTGTCAAAAAATAAATAAATAAATAAATAAATAAATAAATAAATAAAATGAATCTAAGAAAAGACTTGGACATTATAGTTTTCAACATAATAAAAACTGGAATAATTTTTAACTTAATTTAATAATTTTTAAGGTGGGGGGTGAAAAAGAGATACAGATGTTCTGTGTAATGTAGCCACAGAGGAGCTAACTAGAGGTGAAGTCAGCCACAGTCCACAAAATAGCATGCCAGCAGATACCATGGGTGAGGGAGATGACAATTAAACAGGGCAACAGAGGAGCTTTAACCCAAAAGTTACCATGGGCAGACCTAAAACAACAGACTCCTACAGCCTGTGGAAAGGTCTGAGAAACCAGTCTCGGGACACGTTGGACATTTACCTTCGCTATGGTAAGCTTTCTCTCTCTCCAAGTTGTTCTGTATCCCAGAAGCCACAGGGAGACTAGGAGCCAGGAGCCAGGGACCACATCTCACCTGGATTTCAGAACTGGCCTCCTTACTAGAGACTCCATATCTACTCTCATCTCCTATACACAGCACTCAGAATGATCTTTATAGAGCTCAAACATGATGAAGTCACTGCCCTCTCTCACATGTTCCCATGGCTCCCAACCAGATACAGGATGGAGTTCATCCTCTCTGGCTGAGCCTCTAAGGCTTTCCGTCATCTGACCCCAACCTCCCCATTTTAATCTTCCATTACTTCCCAGTCAGTCAAAATTCATTCAACCCAAGTGCCTACTCTGTGCTAGACATTGTTTTAGGTGGAAGAGATAAAATAAGACAAAGTCCTGATCTTCATGGAGCTTATATTTTAGTGACAGGAGACACACAATAAACAATGCATATAATGTTAAATAGTGATAGACAAGTGAGAAACATAAAAAAAATCAGAATAAGGGAATAAAGAGCAACTGGGGTGCTGTTTTAGAGAGCGCCTCTCTGAGGAGATAATAAATGCTCAAAACTGGAATGAAATTAGGAGAGAACCTTAGGCTGTCCGGGGAAGGAATGGTCTAAAAAGAGGGTTCCTCCAGAGCAGAAGCATGCCTGGGTTGTTTTGAGGAACAGCAAGGAGACCAGTGAGGCTGAAATGTAGGGAGCACTGGAGAAAGTGGAAGAAGATAAAGTCAGAGAGGGAGTTCAAGGGTAATTCACCCATGAGGGCCTGGCAGGTAAGATAAGACTCGAAGCTCCATGAACTCATGGTCATGTCCCTGTGATTTCACTTATATTTAGGGTGCCCTTCCCCACCTTCATCCATCTGGAAAACGGCTGTCCATCTTTCAAGCACAGCTGGTAGGTCACCACCTCTGCGAAAGTTTCTGGACACCCCCCAGCTGGCTGGAGTTAAGGGCTCCCTCCTTAGCTGCCTCAGAACTTTGAACACACTGAACTGCAAACATCTATTTCTGCATGTAAATATAGTAAGTGGTCAAAAGTATTTGTTGAGTTGAGCTGCTGTTTAAACTATAGGTCCACAAGAGAGAAAAATAATGTAAACCTAGCCACAGAAAACTTTAACATGGAAATTATTATATATACAGGAGAAACTTTTTTTTTTTTTTGAGATGAAGTTTTGCTCTTGTTGCCCAAGCTGGAGTGCAATGGAGCGATCTCAGCTCACTGCAACCTCTGCCTCCCAGTTTCAAGCAATTCTCCTGCCTCAGCCTCCCAAGTAGCTGGGATTATAGGCATGTACTACTACGCCCAGCTAATTTTGCATTTTTAGTAGAGACGGGGTTTCACCATGTTGGCCAGGCTGGCCTCAAACTCCTGACCTCAAGTGATCCACCCACCTCAGCCTCCCAAAGTGCTGGGATTACAGGTGTGAGCCACCGTGCCCAGCCCAGGAGAAACTTCAATTGCACAGAAAAATCTAAATCTATACAGTATAGTCATAAATAAACAAATTCAAGAAATACAGGCTTATACTGAAAAAACAACAAAAAGAAGCTGTGTAAGTGGGGAGAAAGACAGTATGTAGATAAACAAGACAGGTAGGTAATTATGAGCTCAATTAATTACAGTCTAATTTCACAAGCTGAAAAGGAGTAACCTCTGATTATATGAAATCTAGGACATCAGATGGTCCCATAAAGAAGATAGGGCATTCTGCCAAAGATAAGCTCTTGCTAGAGGTAACTTCCCAAGGATATATAGGACAAAAGTGTTTGTGAGGAGAGGAGGAAAGGGGAGGCAAGGCTCTTACGTCTGCATCCAGAGTGGCTGAAGCTACAATCAATCGAAGATCCCCTCGCTTTTTCTGAATCTAAAAAAGAAGACATTTGGAAATAATGATAATAGTGCAACACTTATGGATGAGATCATTTGATATCTGAAATGTATTTCAAAAATTCAGTGTCTTTTTTTTTCTTTTTTGCCTGAGGAGGAGGTAAGGGAGCTTACAGATGAAAGGACTGACTACAAATTAATAATTGTCAATAAAGGGGGGGGGGGGTCATTACACTATTACTTCCAATTTTGTAAATGTATGCAATTTTCCAAAGTAAATTTTTTTAAATTATAAAAACTATAAAGAAGCTTTAAGACCCAAATTTGAATTTACTGAGAATAAAACCATTTTTTCCTGACACCTGGGTCTCAAGATAGTTTGAATCTATGTATGAAAAAGTATATTAAAAGCAAACAAACAATAAATGATAACACCAAGACAGAAATATGGCAAAAAAAAAAGAGATAAAAGATATTAACAGTTACTCAAAGAAACACATAATCAACAGGCATTGGAGAAGTGACCAAATGAGCTACAGCTAAGATATATAATAACAATGAGATTTTTTTTTCCCCATCTATCCCATTGGCAAGGATTTATTTTTTTAAGGCTAATACTCAGTGTTGGCAAAGATTCAGTGAAATCGGCCCTCTTATTATACCGTTCCTGAAAAAGGTAATAACATGGTACAATAATTCCCTTAAAGTATCAAAAAATCTAAATCTTTGGCAATGGAATAAAATAACAATGAAAATAATAATAATAACAACTAATACAGACTAACTTATGTGCTAGCCCAGAGGCCCTGCATACAGGTACACAGTGTACCCACTGTGCAAAGATGCCTGGCTGAGGGGGCTAGGGGCTTCAGCAATCCGGTCCACCTGCCTCCCACCTAGCTCTAGACATCCTCCCAGAGGGAACATCTTTTTCTAATTTGCACAAAAGAACCTCACAGTCTAGCTGTGACCCTATGCCAGGCACCAACCTAAAAGTTTTTTGCTATCTTACTTAAGCTTCATAACAAATCACAATATACAGTACCTATGTCTAAAAGAACTCTCTGCAATGATGAAAACTTTCCTTATTTGTACTGTCCGATGCATAAGCCACTAGCCACCTGTGGCTATAGAGCCCTTGAAAAATAGCCAACGTGAAAAAAAAAAAAAAAGAAAAGAAAAATAGCCAATGTGGCCGGGCACAGTGGCTCACGCCTGTAATCCCAACACTTTGGGAGGCCGAGGCAGGCAGATCACCTGAGGTTGGGAGTTCAAGACCAGCCTGACTAACATGGAGGAACCAAACCCCATCTCTACTAAAAATACAAAATTAGCCAGGCATGGTGGCAAATGCCTGTAATCCCAGCTACTCGGGAAGGCTGAGGCAGAAGAATCGCTTGAACCTGGGAGGCAGAGGTTGCGGTGAGCCAAGATCACGCCATTGTATTCCCGCCTGGGCAACAAGGGCAAAACTCCGTCTCAAAAAAAGAAAAAAAAGAGAGAAGAAAAGAAAAATAGCCAACGTGACTGAGAACCTGAATTTTTTTACTTTCTTCTATTTTAATTAACTTTTATCTCAATAGCTACAGGTGGCTAGTGGCTACCATAAAGGAAAGTATACCAGCACAGATATAGAGACTACTATTTTCCCCATTTTAGAGATGAGTAAACTCAGCAAAGCCAGAATTTGAACCCAGGTAGTCTGACTCAATGCCTATGCTCTTAATCACCCTGTTCTACCACTTCTTTCTAGACTCTAATTGGGAATCTGTCCAAAGAAAACAATCAGAAAATATGGGAAGGGAGGAGAGAGTGGAGGTTAAGATTGAAACAAGATTGGCTGTGAGTTGTAATTGTTGAAGCCAGATGAAGGGTACATGGGGGTCATTATACACTTCTTTGGGATATGTATGAAACCTTAATAATAAAAAGTTAAAGAAAATAAACAGAAATGCAGCAGATTCAATTACAAGGGTGCTTGCTACAACAGTATTTATAATATTTAAAATCTGCAAGCCATATAAATTGCTAACAGTAGGGGAAGTTAAATACTTTATGATAGAGATGTGATTAAATAGCCATTAAAAATAATATCTTCAGAGAATATTTAAATGACACAGAAAAATGATCCTAATGTAATGTTAAGGGAAATATGCAAGATACAAATTAGTATATATAATTCAATCAATCCCTAGTATGCCAAAACAGATCCAAGTACACACACACTCACTCACACACACACACACACACACAGAAAAGAGAAGAAAATATACCAACATTCTACCACTGATATTCTCTGAATGGGTAGGATTATGGATGATTTTAATTTTCTTCCTTGGTATTTTGTTGTACTTTCCAAGTTGCTACAGTTGCTTTTGTAATTAGGCAATAAAATAAACACACACAATGAAAAGCTGGCAGTGAAGTCATACCTTTTTTAGCAAGCCAATGGCAATGTCAGTGTACAAGGTCCTCTCGTGGGCTTCATCCAGCATGATGACACTAAGAATCAAAGAGAAGCTCTCAGTGAGCCTCTAAAAAAGCCACACATCATCTCATCTAGACCATCAAAGAGCTTCTGGGTATTTAGTCCTCATACAATCACTTTGCATCAAAAGTAAACCTAAGTCACTCTTCTTTGACAATGAGGCAATTCTTAGGTTAATAAAAACGGTGACATTAACATACCTGAATTTTAAAAAGTGTACTATTGTTATCTTTAAGCGTTTTACCATCCACACTGAATTCCAACAGAATTTAATATCTGATTTTAAATGAAAACATAACCAACCTATAACCCCACAGAACACATAAAAATCAGAACAAAGCCCAACCATCTGAAGACTGTTAAGCTATAACAACAGTCAAAGAGGTAGCTGACTACAGTTGTGACACACGTGGGCCAGGGGGTCAAATGTGACACTCTCCTCGAGAACACCAGAGCCTAGGTAGGACAGCTTTAATGCTGTGAGTGACAGACAGATAGACAAAGAGGGGGAAGTGATAAAAAATTATTTGGACTCTGTATATTACATTTAACACAGGGCAGTTAGTTCTCTGCAGTCACCATCAATACTGGAGTGTGACAAGGCAAAATAAAAAGGACAAGTCACCAGACTAAGTAATGATAGGAATTTTAATGTGCCCATTTTTGAGTGTCTGTAAAGGGCCATACTATTTAAATTCTGAGAAAAACACCAAGGGTCCCAACAGCCAAGGTCAAGAGAAAAGCTTTGGGGCAGCTGAACACAGACGTGAATCCCAGCTACTAACACACCTGCTTCTCCGTCTACCTGGGGACTTTGGAAACTAGGAAAGCTATCATAAGAAAAACACATTTACCTATATTTTGTTAACAACGGATCAACCATCATTTCCCTGACCAGCATTCCATCAGTAAGAAACTAAAAAATAAAAACACAAAGCTTTAGAAATAATTCACTTACACTACATATTAATGGTATTTTTTAAGTTCAAGTGCAACCTCTTTGCCAGCATGTGTACAAGTAAATTCCCACAAAGGACTGTGAGAAAATGCCCCCATATTTTCGTTATCAAGCAATGTAATTGTTCACAAAAGGCTTTAAACACAGGGTCCTCAGCTGGAGTTGCAAATCTTTGAGCAGAATTTCACTTGCCTTTATTATGGGAACATCAGCTATGCCCCATTTCCTCTGGGCTTGCACCACCAGTACTATCGATAAAGAGGCAGTGAAGACTAACTGGTATCTGCCCAAAGAAACACCCTAAGTGTAAGATAATTGCTCTTCAAATGTCCCAAAGACTATAGATTGCAGTTCTTGAGGTTATTAACTTAAACTTCAATTAATATTATTTTACAGACTCTAGATAGGATCATGGTTAAGCACATGGGCTATGGTGTCAGACTGCTGGGAGTTCAGATCCTGGCTCTACCTCTTACTAAGCTGTGTGAACCTTGGACAAGTTACTCATCTTCTCTGTCCCTGATTGCTCATTTGTAAAATGAGGTAATCAAAGTATTTACCTCACCAAGTTAATGTGAAAAATAAATAAGATAGTATAGTAGTTCCTCGGTATCCTTGTGGGGTTGGTTCTAGAAACCCCCCCAACCCACACCAAAATCTGCAGATGCTCAAGTCCATTATATAAGATGGCATAGTATTTGCATGTAACCTATGCATACCCTCCCATATATTTTAAATCATCTCTAGATTATTTAGAATGACTAAAACAATGTAAATGTTATGTAAATAGTTGTTATACTGTATTTTTTTAAATTTACATTATTTTTTATTTTTATTTTGTAATATTAGCAATTCAAGGTTGGTTGAATCCACAGATGCAGAACCCGCAGGATGCAGAGGACTGACTGTACATGTAAAGCGTTTAGCATAGGACCTAGGACAGAGTAGTGTTTAAGAAAAGTCAGCTAATATTATTTCAGATTAATGAATCTTTATAAAATGCTTCAGACACATACAGTAACAGCCTTCTTAACGTACTGAATTTGTTTTCAGGTTAAACCATCTCCCTTGCATGCTGTATCTTAGGTGTTTTTTACTTTTTTTGTTTTAAGAGCAGGATGCATTGCCATCATATTTTTCTTGGACCTGGTACTAGCTGCCACATACATACGTAGTGAGAACTTCCACCAATGACAAATCACCAGTCGAGAACTGAGCACCTTGAAATTGTGACCAAATGGAATACAAAAGGTTTTTATGGACGGCTCAAAGGTTTTCATGGTTATGCAAACCACTGAAAATTAGCTAGTTCAAATATATTTGATGGTACAGAAAAATATTCCCTTCACCTAGCAAAATGAATATAACAAAATATGGCAATCTGGAAAATAAGGTCTACATTTTTACAAATCACTACATTGGTCATTCAGCTCATCTGATTTTCAATTTTCCTCTGTTGCAAATTAAGAGGTAACTGAGATTCTAATAATCAATTTTCATTTCATCAGATTATTTTCATTCACTGTTTTATTGCACTGTCTGATTAGACTTTGATTCTAGCACGGTGGTAGGTAGTACACACCCTGTTGAGTTGATTATACACTGATTACTATTGATACTAATTATTTTAACATTAGCAACAAGGCCAAAGAACACACATGTAAAATCCATTTTCATATGAAAATGGAAAAGTACTAATTAGTGAAACAACATTCATGAATTCTACACTTCATCAACTTATACTACTCTATTTTTAAGCCTTTTACAGGCTTGTTTCTATATTTCGATTGCTATTTGAGTCAGTGAAAATACAATAAAATACACATAAGAAAAGACAGCTTTGAGTCTTGGTCCTATCACTGATTGGCATATAATATCAGGCAAGTCATTCAACCTTCCAAGCCCTTAACCTCTTCATCTTTGGAATCAAGGACTAAACCTGACTTCCAAGCTCCTTTCTGGGATAAGATTGCAGGACTCTTTGAAAGAGCCCTGTGTCGGCCGGGCACAGTGGCTCACGCCTGTAATCCCAGCACTTTGGGAGGCTGAGGCAGGTGGATCACGAGTCAGGAGATTGAGACCATCCTGGCTAACACAGTGAAACCCCGTCTCTACTAAAAATACAAAAAAAAAAAAAAAAAAAAAACTTAGCCGGGTGTGGTGACGGTCGCCTGTAGTCCCAGCTACTCGGGAGGCTGAGGAAGGAGAATGGCGTGAACCCAGGAGGCGGAGCTTGCAGCAAGCAGAGATCGTGCCACCGCACTCCAGCCTGGGTGACAGAGAGAGACTCTGTCTCAAAAAAAAAAAAAAAAAAGAAAAAAGGAAGAGCTCTCTGTCTCCTAGCTGACTAAAGTCTCTGAATGTCAGGATACTTTTCTTCACTTTCTGCCATGGTATCAATGTCCTGTACAGCAGCAAGGACTACATGTTTTTAATTCTCCCAAAATAACCTTCTTCCTTATTTCCACTAGGAAAAGCAGCTTGAGCACTTTACCTTAATTCTCGTGGCCAGCTGGTCGGTGCAGTCATCAAAGCGGATGCAGTAGCCCACCTCGTGGCCCAGCACTGCACCCCTTTCTTCAGCTACTCTCCCTGCAACCTTTGGGAAGAAAGATCATGCTGAAAATAGAGACATAGAAATTACTGCACAGCGCACATACTATGGAAAATCTAAAGGTCATTTATATTTTAAATAGTATGTGAACACAATGAAAAATGAAAAGAGACAAGTTATTAGAGAACAAGCATAATAACTTTTGCAATTTTTATTATTATTATTATTGAGACAGAGTCTCACTCTGTCACCCAGGCTGGAGGGCAGTGGCACAATCTCGGCTCACTGCAACCTCCACCTCCCAAGTTCAAGCAATCCTCCTGCCTCAACCTCCTAAGTAGCTGGGATTACAGGCAAGCGCCACCAGGCCCAGCTAATTTTTGTATTTTTAGTGGAGATGGGGTTTCGCCATGTTGGCCAGGCTGGTCTTAAACTCCTGACCTCAAGCAATTTGCCCGCCTCAGCCTCTCAAAGTACAGGGATTACAGGCGTGAGCCACCACACCCAGCCAATTATTAACTTATGTATCTCACTTCATTCTATAATGGTCTTGGGGCAACTTATAAGAACATACACAATGAAAAACAAAATCACATAAAAATGTTACGGATCAAGATCCAAAAAATTACAGAAAAAATTTCAAAAGATCAAAGCCAATGAGAAAATGTTAAACATAGATATGCCAAAATTATTCAAGTTGAGCCACAAATTCAGCTCTAAATTTGGTGGCCAAAGCAAAAAGGAAAGTAAAAGAAATGACAAGATTCACCCTGTTCCTAAACAAAGGGCACACTAACCAGGGACAACTTTTCATCTCCACGCTCGAAAAGAAAACCCATCCCCCGGGACCATGAAGGCAGAACAGGAATTACCATATTCAAAGCTGGGCCAGTTTCATTTTCTCATCGAAGGCAAAAAGCTAAGTTTCAAGAATGAGATACCTGAAACAGTTCACAACTGTGTCCCAGCTGCCAAAGCCACTGAGAGGGGAAATACAGACAAACTCAGGTTTAAAACAAAGGGGGCAGATGAGTGGATGAGAAGATCAATAAAAAATCCAAGGTAGCATAATAAAGTGAAAGACAAAATATGTAATACATTATGAAGACCATAAACTATAGACAAAATTTCATCCATCAAAACATAACAAATAAAAAATGAATGCAGGAAAGAGAAAAATGAATCCAACAGCAAGATCTCTGCATTCCCCCAAGAAGGCTATTCAAAAGTTAACTTATTAATAGAAAATATTTAAAAGAATGAACAAGCATAAAAGTGGAAGAGCAATAATGAATATCATTTAGTTTAATTTAAAAGAAAATAGGACCGGACGCGGTGGTTCACACCTACAATCCCAGCACTTTGGGAGGCAAATCACCTGAGGTCAGGAGTTCAAGACCAGCCTGGCCGACATGGTGAAACCCCATCTCTACTAAAAATACAAAAAGTTAGTTGGGCATGGTGGCATGCGCCTGTAATCCCAGCTACTCGCAGGAGGCTGAGGCAGGAGAATCACTTGAACCCGGGGAGGTGGAGGTTGCAATGAGCCGAGGTCACACCACTACACTCCAGCCTCGGTGACAAAGAGACTGTGTCAAAAAACAAAAAAAGAAAGAAAAGAAAGTTTAGTATTCACCACCACATAAACTACCTAAATGAAAAGAACCAAAGGGAAGCAATATTAATAGAGATTTCCCAGGGCCCAGCACACCAATCCCCACAGAAGGAAGGAGTTCAGTCTCCCTCTTTCACAGGTGAGACAACCTCCCCAGCACCCACGCAGTTCCCAAGTCCTGACTTTAGAACATGGCTGGCACATGTGGTGTCCTGAGACAGAGCTTACTGCTCCAGCCTTTCCACCCCAGCAGCCCCAGGCTCAGGAGGGCAGAGGCTCCCTGCCCTCAGCTTCTGAGCTAGGCACACCCAGGCGTTTCCTGCCCATCAGTGTTTAAGACACTGAAGAGCAGATGAGGATCAGAAGCAGCTCTGCCTGGTGACTTGAAATTATAGAATGGGGAGGCCAAAACCAAATCAATCATCTGGCAGCTGGTCTATATCATGTAGGCTTTCAAAACGTCTTATGAAACCAGAAAGTTATCCTACATTGCTCTGCCTCTGGTGGTTGTATTTCCCAATGACCAGCATTTCACCAGGACAGATTTGTTATTGTTACTGTTCCAATTTCAACCCTACATGTCGTTATATTATAAATCTCAGAATATGGTACAGGTAGAGAATGTGTGCATAGAGATACTAGGAACTTATGGAGAAAATAGGCTTATAAGAATGAGCATACATAAATATATATACACCTACGATGTACCCACAAAAATTTTAAATTTAAAAAAATGAGCATAAATTAACAAATCTCTGTAAAAATATAATCATTTTATGGGTCTATAAGGTAAAAGCCAAACCTGTTTATTCTTACTCCTTCACTATTTGAATACATTTGCTATAAAAAGTATGTATTTTTATTTTCAAACTCTATTTTTAAATTTTTATTATTTATAATCACACAAGGTTATATTCTCTTGGCTTTTTAATAGATTTTTATCTCTATCACTTTAGTTCTGCTCCCAATAACCTCATCAACTAGACTGGACAAATACTATCTTTTTGACAGACCAAAAGGAAAGGGAGGTAAAAGACCAAAAAAAAAAAAAAAATCACTGAGCACCTACTACTGGCAAGTGCTGTGCTCTAAGCTTTCACAAATTTGTATCTCATTAAATAGACACACAGCCCATGAGGTAGACGAGACACTGTTGTATTTACAAATGAGGAAACTGAAATAAGACAGGTGTTAGAGCTTATTCTGAATCACAGGTCAGGGAGGACCTACCTGGTCTTGAAGTCAAACCCAGACCACATGAGTTCAACAAGCATACTCACTACTAATTGCCTCTCACAGAGATCAAGCAACAGCTTATGCAATCTGTTTTTAGGCTCTGAGATTGTTTGCAGATTTTAGTCTGCACATAAAGTACTTTCTGAGATGTAGCATTTCAAACTTGACAGCTCTATTAATATATTACATGCTCTTTGCTCTTTCAAGAGAAAGCTGTGGTTTCATGGAAGTTATCCATGGCTACAAATTTGGAACTAAGATGCAAACTGATTAAGAGCTGGGATTCCAAACCACAAACAGGAAAAATTGTTCTAATTTTAGGTAACTGAGTCATCTTTTAGTGACAAAAAAGATTAACTCCAGCAGCATTTGCAACTTGGTTTCCAAACTGTTAGCCCCATTTTCATACAAAAACACAACACACACACACACATAACTTCTAAAACTGTATAACTTCTTAATTGAACACCATTAGAAAATGAACTTTGGGCAAAACAACGACACAATAATTAAAACTCAGTACAGAACAAAAATAACTTGGGGAAATAGAATTAATTGTTTGTCCAGGTAAAGGCCACAAACTAAAGGCCCTACTTCCTTTTCTTTAAGCCTTTTTTTTTTTTTTTTTTTTTGGAGATAGGGTAAAGGTTGGAGTACAATGACACGATCATAACTCACCGCAACCTTAACTCCTGGGCTCAAGAGATCCTTCTGGCTCAGCCTCCGAAGTAGCTGGGACCACAGGCAGGTGCCAGCATGCCCAGCTAATTTTTTTAAAAATTGTTTTGTAGAGACAGGGTCTTGCTATGTTGCCCAGGCTGTTCTCAAACTCCTAGGCTCAAGCAATCCTCTTGCCTCGGCCTCCCAATGTGCTGGGAATACAGGCATTAGCCACCACACCCAATCTCTCAGAGCTAATTTAAAAACAACAAAAGAATTCAAACATACTATCAACAAAAAACTTATGGTGGCTCAGACTTCTACACAGTGATCCTCAACGCCAAAAGGCAGTGAGCAAAGTCTGCAGTTTGCAGGGACAGTGTGAATCAAGAATTTTATATCAACAAAAACCACAACTGAACATTCTCAAGCATATTAAAAAAAAAAAAAAGCTGAATGATAAAATTCAGCCAATACAAGAAATAAAAGCAAAACAAGCAATTCAAGGTTAGCAAAACCATAGAAAATAACTAATGATGAGTAATGAATCCATTCAAGCTAGAATTAAGGTTAAACACCTGTGAGAATTATGATTAAGAACATGTATATTATAAATCTTGAAATGAAAATGACAGGACTGTATCTACAACAAATGGAGAAAGGGAAGGTGGAAAGAAGAATACATGTGCTAATTTCCTCTTCTTTCATAACAGGAAACTATAAGGCGTAATTTGAAATATAGGTAACATCTTGAATTTTTTTGTACTCTTTTTTCTTACTTTTCAAGCTTTAATAAATTATCTTGCGGTGAACATTTATCCAAAGTACAGTCGCTACTCCTATTTCACTAAAGTTTCCTATTTTGTTAAATTCAATAAAAAATAAATATTAAATATGATCTCATTTTTATAAAATTATTTCTATCCAGCCAGTCAACCATTCATCTTCATCTTTAGGAGAAGCTTGGAATGATGTTCACAAATGTTCACATTGTTTATGTTGGATGGTGAAATTTGGGGTTTTAAAAATATATTGTTTTTTTATTTCCTCAGCACTTTATTGTTTAAAACGTTCATAATGTGCAGGATCAATTTAACAAAAATATTCAAATCATAATTCTTTTAAAACAGAAGACCTGGCCAGGCACAGTGGCTCATGCCTGTAATCCCAGCATTTTGGGAGGCTGAGGCAGGCAGATCACAAGATCAGGAGTTTGAGAACAGCCTGGCCAACATGGTGAAACCCCGTCTCTACTAAAAATATAAAAAAATTAGCCAGGCGTAGTGGCACATGCCTGTAATCCCAGCTACTCGGGAGGCTGAGGCAGGAGAATTGCTTGAACCCAGGAGGCGGAGGTTGCAGTGAGTTGAGATAGCTCCATTGCACCCCAGCCTGGGCAACAGAGTGAGACTCTGTCTGAGGAAAAAAATAAAAATAAAAAAAACATAAAAACTGAAGACCTAAACTCTTAAGGAGCAACTTCTATTCATTTAAAGCCTTTAGGAAATGTAAACAAATCACAAATGTAGACAACACAGATAGAATCTTTCCAACACAAAAAGAAACTCACTGTAACAGCAGCCACTCTTCGAGGCTGGGTCACTCCTACCACTCTTCCTTCAGCTGTCCAGCCGGCTTCTGCAAGGTACTACAAACAAAATCACATCTAAGTATACATATGATACCACTTTTGCAGAGCAATCTCCCCCAAGATGCTCCCGTATTGTGTTAAAATCACTAAGAAAGGAAAAAGTACAGTTCTTGTCCCAGCAGAACTTTGGGAATTATTTTACAGATGGAGGATCTGAGGCTTGGTAATGTTAGGTGATTTACTTAAGTTCACATCAAAGCTGATCAACAGAAGAACTAAGGCGCAATTCCAGCATTCTGACACCCCAGTCCTGGAAAATCACCATGTACTACAGATGCCTCAGGGAACAAAAAATTATCCACAGGTCACTCAAAACAGTGCTAACTCTGTAGAACAAAGAATTTTTAAGCACATATAGAGATGGCTCAACATAAATATCAACCACACAACACATTTCAGCCATATTAAATAAAACAACTGGATTTTATATATATGACTATACACCATTAGATTAGTACACATATATAAAATTTGATTGAACAGGCACGGCGGCTCATGCCGGTAATCCCAGCACTTTGGGAGGCTGAGGTAGGCAGATCACTTGACGTCAAGACCAGCCTGGCCAACATGGTGAAACCCCGTCTCTACCAAAAATATAAAAACGTAGGTGGGTGTGGTGGCACATGCCTGTAATCGTGACTACTCAGGAGGCTGAGGCAGGAGAATCGCTTGAACCTGGGAGGTGGAGGTTGCAGTGAGCCAAGATCCTGCCACTGCACTCCAGCCTGGGTGACAGAGAGAGATTCTGTCTCAAAAAAAAAAAAAAAAAATTTGATTAAGTGTATTTATCTGAGTTACCTACTTATTTAATATCTATGTATTTATTTGATTATATGCACTTAAAATCCAATACGGATAACAGTGGTTATCAGTTACATGTTTTTCTAACATCTAATAGTTTTACAATGAACATGTATTACTTCTACAATAGAAAAAAGATTTTAAAAGTTACTGCGTGTACCTGCTCATGTGTTCAAAAGAAATAAAGGAAGGATAATATAGATACTAAGAAATGGTTGTCTACAGGGAATGGGTGGGAAAGGTGTAGAAAGAAGGGGAAATGGAGGGAGGGGAACAGGGATAAAGAGGGCGTGTCAATGCTCTCAATAGATCTTTTTGTGTAGCTCTGACTCTGAGAATCACAGCCATGCATGTTTCACATACTTTTTAAACACCCAGAAGACAAATAAAACCAACCAGGATGTGGAGGGAAACCTAAAGGAAATATAAACACTAACAGATGACCCTTTCTATACTACAAATGAATAACATAACCACACTGCAGGGGGTGGAGAAGAAAAGAACTTACCTAAGGAATGATGGAAAAATATATCTTGACTGTATGTTGTAAGGCTAAAGACAGAAAGAACTGTACATAAATGCTGTAATCTAGTTAGTAAATATCCAAACAAGGTTACAAGTTAGCAATTCTGAAACTATTTTAATGAATCCACAAATATACTGTAGATGATAAGGACTAAGCTTCTCATTGTTGCAGAGAAGTTATAAATAAAGAAAGGCTCAAAAGAGCCCTATGGTATTAGATTGGAATCAGAAGCATTTGCATAAACTCATGGTGTTTAAAATATAGATGGATAGACAGATACAGATAGCTAGATGTTTTTATAATGTATGGCTTAATATTCATACATATATTTCCTAAGTCTGCTCACTGAGACTCAGCAATGACATCTCGTAGCAATGAGCACTCTAGCATCCGGATCATGATTTCTTTTTTTTTTTTTTTTTTTTGAGACAGAGTCTCGCTCTGTTGCCCAGGCTGGAGTGCAATGGCGTGATCTCGGCTCACTGCAACCTCCGACTTCTGGGTTTAAGCAATTCTCCTGCCTCAGCCTCCCTAGTAGATGGGATTACAAGTATGCAACACCATGCCCGGCTAATTTTTTGTATTTTTAGTAGAGACCAGGTTTTGCCATGTTGGCCAGGCTGGTCTCAAACTCCTGACCTCAGGTGATCCACCCACTTTGGCCGCCCAAAGTGCTGGGATTACAGGTGTGAGCCACCACGCCCGGCCCCAGATCATGATTTCTAAACATCATTCTCCAATAAAAGGAACCAGGGCTTGTGTAGGAAAAAATATAAGACAAGCCTGAAACATCTTGTAGTACTAGAAAGTAAGGAAGCGGTCAAAAAAATGAAAGCTTTAGAAAGAAAACAGGAGCCAAAATGAAGGAGCTTCTAATGTTCAAAGATGAAACAATCTGAGCAACACAATAAATAATGACAGTATTGGGCTTTAACACATAGAAAAAAATAAGTATCTATGAATCCATATTGATACACGCAAATAATCTAAGAAATAAGTGAGGAAGAAAGCACAGTTCTTCCTTACAGAAAATTACATTTAATAAAGATAGAGGGAAAGAGGAGAAAAGAAAATCATCACTGCTACAGACAAGATCCACTGAGGGGGATACTAAACTTAGTAGGTGAGAGTTGGAAGAAAAGTAGACTATTTGCAGTGTGAAAATATGTCCCCCAAGATACATATCAACTAAAAAGGGAAAGACAGTAGTTTCACAGGCAAAAGCTGGAACCTTAACCAAGTGACCAAAGTTGCTATTACCAGTGACAAGACATATCAACATTATGAACCCTTGAAATGATGCACTAAGGATACAATATCATTTCTGTAGTATTCTTGCCAAAAATACATAAGCTCCTTCTAATCATGAGAAAACATGACATAAACCCAAACTGAGGAACATTCTACAAAGTAAATCCCATTAGTCTTTTAAAGTGTCAAGTTCATGAAAGATGAAGACATATTGAGGAATTCGCACAACCTAGAAAAGATTAGGGAGAAACAACAACTAAATGCAATGTAGGATCCTAGAACTAAAAAAGAACCTTAGTAAGAAAACTGATGAGATTTAAATAAGGCCTATAGTCTAATTACTATTATTGTACCAATGTTAATGGCCTGCTTTCGATCTCTGCACTAGTAGTGAAGAGTATAAGGGAATTCTGTATTGTTTTTTGCAATTTTTCTATTAGTCTAAAAGTAGTTAAAAATAAAGTTTAGAAAATGACTGTAAGAAACAAAGGGTTGAAGATAATGTAGGGTTTTTGCTATAAAAACTATAAAGTTTATCTTGTATTAAATACATATACAAAATACTACCAACCACCCCAATCAACACAAATACAAAAAAAAAAAAAACAGAACTATAAGAATAATAGCTAAGAGTCAATGAGTACCTTATTAAGTGCCAGGAACTGTACTGAGTGCCTTATATGCATTGACCCATTTAATCCTCAAAACAAATTCTATAAGGAAGGTAACATCATCATCAACAATACACAGATGAGGAAACAAAGAGGCCACATAATTTGTCCAAGGAAACAAATAAAAATCTGTATCCTGGACTTCAAGCTCAGCAAACCAAAGTCATGACACATAAACAGAACACAACATATTATCCTACTTCAAACACACATAGCCAATCTCTTAGCAGTAGTGTTAAGTGAAAGAAAAACAATTTCCATAAAAATAAGCCTGTCCATAAAGCTAGTCACCTCAATACCCTGTGTGATTCAGACTTCTATGGCATGCTTATGATTGCTGAGAGGTGGAAATTTAAAGCTACTGAAAAAGCAGGTGTAGTGCTAACGTCAAGAGGCAGTGGAGAGTCACGGAGGGAGATCACTAAAACGTAGCTGAAGTCCATCTGAGTTCTCCACTCTTTTTAAGGATCACCAAATCTGGGCTTCTGGCTAAAGGACAGAATTAGGAAGAACTCCACCAATAACAGTACTAATAAAAATTGTACTTAAGAAGAGCTTGTGTTCATAGCCCTTATTTTTGTTTTTTTTTTTTACAGAACTCTAGTAAAAAAAAAAAAAATCATCTAGGTTCTACATATAGTTTGTAGAATTTCAAAATTATTAAGTATCCAGTGCTTTTGCACATTGTTTTTTCCCAAGGAAAGGTACTATATAAATCTAACAAGAGAGAAAAACCTGCTCCGTATCCTTGCTGTAACCTTTAGTTCCTCAGCCATTCCAATTTTCCTAGATCATAGCCCAAATTTAGCTTCACAATAAGTTGGAAACAGTGACTGTCTCAGGTACGGGGAACTGAGTGGCTAGGAGAAAAGGGAATACTCCATAAGAGGGGTAGCAGATATTTGGACCAATAATACAATCTATTACAATGATCTAGTCATTTTCAACAGCAAAGCTTAGGAGATTAACTTTTCACCATTTATTCCTTTGTTCTTTTTGAATTTTGTACTATGTAAATGTATTTCCTATTTTTAAAAAGTTTATAATAAAATGCAATTCCTTAAAATAATTCAATTCAAATGCACATGTGTTTTGAGCCAGCAACCCCATAAGTATTTTATTTATTCTATAAAAATATCTATATGTGTGCAAAATGATTTATGTGCAAACTGACTCCACTGCATCATTGTGATAATACAAAACTGTAAACAACCTAAATGTCTATCAATTGGGGATTGGTAAATTATGTTCACATACTAGCATCTATGGAACTGGAAAAAAAAACCAACAATACATTATGTGAAAAAAAAGACCAAGTGTGAAGGCATTACCTGACTTCAAAAAACGTTACAAAGCTATAAACAAAACAGCATGGTCCTCACATAAAAACAGACACACAGACCAATGGAACAGAACAGAAAATCCAGAAGTAAATCCACACATTTAAAGTCAAGTGATTTTCAACAAAAGCACCAAGAACACATCTTAGGGAAAGGACAATCTATTTAATAAATGGTGCTGGGAAAACTAGATAATCACACGCAGAAAAATGAAACCAGTTCCCTAACTCTCACCACATATAAAAATCAAATCAAAATGGATAAAAGACTTAAATGAAAGGACCAAAGTTATGAAACTACCAGAACAAAAGAGAAGGGAAACACTTCATGACACTGGTCTGGGCAAGGATTTTTTGGATATGACCTCAAAAACATAGGCAACAAAACGCAAAAATAGACAAACGGGATTGCATCAAATTAAAAAGCTTCTGTTCAGCAATGAAAACAATCAACAGAGTGAAGAGAAAACCTACAGAATGGGAGAAAATAAATGCAAACTATTATCTGATAAAGAGTTAATATCTAGAATATATAAGGTGCTCAAACAATTCAATAGCAAAAAACTAAAAATCCAATTTAAAATGAGCAAAAGGGTGTGATTCCGCCCTGCACAGCTGTTCTCTGGAGCAGGGGTCATTTATCTCCATCCGCCTTCTCTCCCACCTAAGTACGTGCCACCACCCCATGAAAGATGTGATGGACACGGACATGAGCCCTGTGAGGCCCCAGAACTATCTTTTTGGTTGTGAACTAAAGGCCATCAAAGATGATCACTTTAAGGTGGATAATGATGAAGATGAGCACCAGTTATCTTTAAGAACGGTCAGCTCAGGGGCTGGTGCAAAGGATGAATTGCACATTGTTGAAGCAGAGGCAATGAATTACGAAGGCAGTCCAATTAAAGTAACACTGGCAACTTTGAAAATGTCTGTACAGCCAATGATTTCCCTTAGGGGCTTTGAAATAATACCACCGGTGGTCTTACAGTTGAAGTGTGGCTCAGGGCCAGTGCATATTAGTGGACAGCACTTAGTAGCTGTAGAGGAAGATGCAGAGTCAGAAGATGAAGAGGAAGAAGATGTGAAATTCTTAAGTATATCTGGAAGGTGATCTGCCCCTGGAGGTGGTAGCAACGTTCCAGAGAAAAAAGTAAAACTTGCTGCTGCTGCTAATGATGATGATTTTGATGATGAGGAAACTGAAGAAAAAGCCCCAGTAAAGAAAGCTATACAAGATACTCCAGCCAAAAAATGCACAAAAGTCAAATCAGAATGGAAAAGACTCAATACCACCAACACCAAGATCAAAAGGACAAGAATCCTTCAAAAAACAAGAAAAAAATTCCTAAAATATCAAAAGTTCTGTAGAAAACACTAAAGCAAAAATGCAAGCAGCAACAGTTGATATCTGGCTGTTCTTTTTATAATGCAGAGTGAGAACTTTCCCTACCGTGTTTGATAAATGTTGTCCAGGTTCCATTGCCAAGACTGCGTTGTCCAAAATGCCTGTTTCATTTTTAAAGATGGAACTCCACCCTTTGCTTGGTTTTAGGTATGTATGGAATGTCATGATAGGACATAATAGTAGTGGTGGTCAGACATGGAAATGGTGGGGAGACAAAAATATGTAAAATAAATGTGAAATAAAACTCAGTATTTTAATAAAGTTAAAAAAAAGATGGGCAAAAGACCTGAATAGACATTTCTCAAAAGAAGATGCACAGTGTATTATTTCATATATACGAAATAATGCTCAACATCACTAATCATCAGGAAAATGCAAATCAAAACCACAATGAGATACCACCTCACCCCAGATAGAATGGCTACTATCAAAAAGATGAACGACAGCAAATGTTGACAAGAATGTGGAGAAAAGGGAACTCTTGCACACTGTTGGTGACAATGTAAACTAGTACAGCCACTATGGACAACAATATGGAGGTTTCTCGAAAAATTAAAAACAGAACTACCATATGATGCAGCAATCCCACTACTGGGTATTTATTCCCAGGAAAGGAAACCAGAACATCAAAGAGACATGTACACTCCCATCACTATTCACAACAGCCGAGACATGGAATCAGCCTAGGTGTCCAACAACAGATGAACTGGTTTTTAAAATGTGATATATATACACAATAGAATACTATTCAGTCATAAAAAAGAATGAAATCCTGTCATTTGCGCCAACACAGATGAACCTAGAGGACATGATATTAAGTGAAATAAGCCAAGCACAGAAGGACAAATACTGCATGAGCTCACTCACATGTGGAATCTAAAAAAGTTGATCTTACAAAAGTAGAGAATAGAACAGTGGATACTAGGGGCTGCAGAGGGAAGAGGGGAACAGGGAGTAGGGAGAATAAAAGGTTGGTCAACAAGCACAGAGTTATAGTTATATAGGAGGAATAAGTTCTGGTGTTCTACTGCACAGCAGAGTGACTATAGTTAACAATAATGTGCCATAGACTTCAAAATAGCTAAGGGAGATTTTGAAGGTTCTCACCACAAAGAAATGATAAATGTTTGAGGTGATGGATATGATAATGACCCAGATTTGATCATTATACAACATATACATATATCAAAACATTACACTAAATCCCATAAATATGCACAGTTATGTGTCAATTCAAAACAGTTTTTTTTTAAAATGAAAGAATAAGTAAAAAAAAAAAAAAAAGTCAAGGCATACTAAAACATGTATAGATGTTTCATGTTTAAAATAGGGCATATATGTGCATACACACACACACACACACACAGACACTTCTCTGTAAATGCATGAAAAAATTTCTACCAAGAAACTCATAATACTGATTATAACTGCACAAAGGAAATGGGTACCAGGAAGACAGGGCAGAAGGAAATCTTTGTATGTCCCTTTGTGCCTTTTGAATTTTAAATCATGTGAACCTATTAATGTTCAAAAATATTAAAAATATTCAAATCTTAAAATTAAAAGAAAAAAAAACTACCTTTGTTTGCCCACATTACCCAGCCTAGATCCTCAGCCTCTGCTCTTTCTCCTTCCCACCAGCTTTCCCTGGACTTAGTAACACAGCAGGCCCTCTCTGTTCCCTGGCAGCTAAGCCTTGCAGGAGTAAATGGCCAAATCACTGTGATATATTTATCATTGTTCCAAATACCTGCCACCCATCCCTATGGGAGGATTATATACACTGTCACCCCGTTGCTATCAGGCCTGGCCATATAACTTGCTTTGACCAATGAAATGTGAACAGAAGGCCCACTTTTGGTCAGAAGTTTTAAGAGCTGTCTCATGATTCTGCCATCTACCACAAGATCAACAAGTGCCTCATAAGAGCAGTACCATCAGCCTAAGGCCCAATGATGATGTGATAGAATCTCAAAGCCAACCCAAGATAACCACACAGTATGAGCAAGAAATAAACCTTTGTGTTTTTAAGCCACTGAGATTTTCAGGTTCTTTGTTACCAGAACATAGTTTATCCTAAGCTGACTACATAACGTCACAGACTAATTCCCAAACAATTCTGGAACATCATGTGGTCTTTTACCTCTGTTCTATATTCCATAACCTCATTACTCTCTACAGTGTCCTCACCTATAAAATGAAGATAATAATGGTATTTGCTTCATAGGGTCATTGAGGATTAAACAGATCAACATGTGTAAAATCACTTTATGTAGCACTTATTACTGTTATTACTTGTTATACTATTGTTATATTACTCTCTAAATGACAATCACACAGTAATTTAACCTTTCTCCTGTTTCTTCCTGTAAGAAATGAGTAACTTACTAGGCTCTCAATTCCATCTGCATATACGGTTATCTTTTTCCTCCAGGCCACCATTTCCTCTGCTGCATGCATTTCAAGTTGTCCTTTACTAGGTCATCTACCTTTACTAGGTCTGTCTACCTTTCCCTAGCTGTCTATTGGGAAACTTTAAAAAAATACCTACATCTGGGTCCCAACCTATTTATAAACCCATTATTCAAAATGGAGTTGGGGAGCAGACAAAAAAAAAGATCTACACAGATCCTGGCATGACCACAAGTCTGGACCAAACAGTCAACAACACATTGTTAACATATTCAAATATGCAAAGGGATTTTTATCATCTTACCCTTAGACACCCTTAACCCTAAAACCCTACCACTGGACGTGCTATCTCCAAGATGAATAACCCAGGACTGAACCAGTTCTCCTGCTCCCTGGCCGCTCTGTTGGCTGAAACTGCCACCTACCCACCTCTCCAGAAACCTCACTCTGTCTTTGCTTTCTCTAACCATGAAGAGTCTGCTGGTTCCTCTGTCATTTCCCTGGCTGCCATTCTATCTCCTTTCTGCTCCTGACTCCTGAATGTTGATGCTCCATGGACTTTGTCCTTAATCCTCTTCTCAGTTATTTCTGTTCCATCTCCTTCCTGCATGTATCAGGATGTTCAATCCCTATGTCCACACCTTCTACGTCTGACCTCTGCCAAGCTTCAGATTCCCATTCCAAACTTCCTGCTAATGTCATCAAAGGCCATCAATAATATAGGAAAAAATAAATATGTTTAAAAACACACACATTAATTTCCCCTCAAAAAAACAATCTTTACTTTTCTATCACATTTAATACTAGCACTGTTCGCCAAGGCAGCAAGTCGTGATCAGTCACTGTGCACCTTTGTCCCTTCCCCTTTGTCATCACAAATATCCATCTATTAGATTGGTGCAAAAGCACCAACCTAAGTTTCTAATGTCTACAGACCCTAACGCTAAAATTGTAAATTGTTCTCCTTCCCATCCTCACCAGATTATCCCACTATCACCTCTTGGTTGAGGACCCCGTTACACCATCCTTCTCTAGACCACTGCAATAGCTTTCTATGGCCTGCCTCCTCCAGTTTCTAAGTCACCTTATATCTCAATATAATCATTTATCTAAAGCTCAGCTTGTCATATTGTTTACTTGCTTGCAAACCCTACAAGGACACAACCACTTTGAATATCTTAGACATTATTTACTAAAGTTGAACACAGGATCCAGCAATGCTACTCTTAGGTAGAGCCCAGCAGGAGAATGTGCACATACGTTCACCAAAGACAAGCACATGAATGTTCACAGCAGCACTATCCATAACTAAAAACTAGGAATGACTCAAATGTCAGTAACAACAGGAAAAATAAACAAACCACAGAATACTCATAGAGTGGAATACTAACTAGCAGGGGTTAGCATTACATTTTACATTTCTGTAAAGGGCCAGATGGTAATTTTTAGGTTTTGAGGATCGTAGGGTCTCTGTCAAAA
This sequence comes from Homo sapiens, assembly GCF_000001405.40. Classification (NCBI taxonomy): domain Eukaryota; kingdom Metazoa; phylum Chordata; class Mammalia; order Primates; family Hominidae; genus Homo; species Homo sapiens. The sequence continues at coordinate 38,973,811 of NC_000020.11, read as the reverse complement.
CTGTTCAACCCTGTGTGGTAGCCTGAAAGGAGCCACCGGCAATATATCAACAAGTAGGAGTGGCTGTGTGCCAGCAAAGATTTCTCTACAAAACAGGCAGCGGGCTGCATCTGGCACACTGGCTGTGACTTGCCGAACCCTGCTATGCAGTAATGAGAATGAACAAACTGCAACTAATTCAACACCAAGGAAGACTCACACATAACGTTGGACAAAAGCAGCTATATTATTCCTTTATAAAATTCCAAATATACGCAAAACTAATTTATGAGGTTAGTAGCCAGAATAAGAGCTACCCTTGTGTTCATGATTGTAGGGGTAAGCAGACATGGCAGTTAGAGATGAGAACAGAACACAGAAGAAGAGTTCTTGAGGTTTTGGTAATGTTCTGCTTCTTGATCTGGGTGCTGGTAACACAGATGTATTCCACTTGCAGAAATGTATCAAGGTGTACAATTATGATATAGGTACTTTCCTACATATATGTCATACCTCAAGAAAATTAACATTAAAAAAGGAAGTAAGAACCTGCAAGGTCTCTCAAGCTCAGTCAGTCTTCACTCTTCAAGTTAAGGTTCTTAAGACACACTCTGAACTCACCCTACACTTCTCCACCCCAGTATTTCTAACCACAATATTCACTGGCTTGGAATATCTTCTCAGTCAGCTCCCAGTCAAGGTCAATTTCAAATGCCAATTCCTTTACAAGGCCTTTCTTGATCCTTCTTTCTACTCCTATCCACATCACATAGGATTTTTCCTAGTAAGAAAGGGTTCTTCCATAGCACTGCATAATACTATAACAGCCAATTTTTATTTACAACTACAGCAAAATTCATTTTACCCCACCCCTTCAACTGTAACTATTTAAGGATAAAAACTCTATATTTCACATCTTTGAATAAATCTCCATTGTAACTTTCAGAAGATGGCCATTCCATTACTATTTTGGAATTATAATAAATCGAAGACAAACTGTTACTTTAGTACTCACCAAAGAAATTATAAGCCCTAAAAGTTTAATAAAAAATATCTAGTTGAAGTGAACATTTCCTGAAAGGAGACCTTAAAAATGTAAATGATAGTAAAGAGAGCTCTCAAGTTACAAAATTCTTCCAGCCAAATCGAAGTGTAAAGACACTTATTAAATATGTACTCACCTGAGGAATCTGTGTGCTCTTCCCACATCCTGTTTCACCAACAATCACCACTGTCTGATAATTTTCTATCAAGTATAAAATATGATTCCTAAGCTGAAAAAGAATAACACACCTTGCAAATAGCCATACATTGTCTCAAAAGACCTAAACAACGATATTTAAACATTGTGAAATGAGCTGTTTTCAAAGGAAAGTGAATTTTAAGTAGAACTATCAAAATGTATTTCTAACCCTCAGGTACTGTTCCTCTCAGTATGAGCGAATACAACTGCAATCGTGTTAACACTTATCAAAATACATAATGCATACGCCCTTTACATTTTCACTTATAAGAAATTATAGGCCGGGTGAGGTGGCTCACGCCTGCAATCCCAGCACTTTGGGAGGCCAGGGCCGGGGGTGGATCATGAGGTCAGGAGTTCAAGACCAGCCTGGCCAACATGGTGAAACCCTGTCTCTACTAAAAATACAAAAATTAGCTGGGCGCAGTGGAAAGTGCCTGTAATACTAGCTACTCAGGACGCTAAGGCAGCAGAATTGCTTGAACCCAGGCGGGGGGAGGCTGCAGTGAGGCGAGACCATGCCACTGCACTTCAGCCTGAGCAACAGGGTGAGACTCTGTCTCAAAAAAAAAAAAAAAAAAAAAACAAAACAAAACAAAAAAAACAAGAAATTATAGACATACTGCTACATACTATATGTGTACAAAGACATAAATACAAGCATACTCATTGCAGAGTTGTTTATAATAGCCAAAAATTCAAACAGCCTAAATGTTGATCAACAAAAGTTTGGTTAAATCAGTCATAAAATATTCCAATAATGGAATAATTTGTAGTTATTAAGAAGAGGAAATATCTACTTGTACTGATATGGAATGAACTATAAGATATGTTAAGAAAAGGAAGTGAGATGTAGAACAGTGTGAATAATACCCTAGTAACTGCATTCTTCTTAGGGCAAACACGTATCTACTTGTTTATGCGTAGACTGTTTTTGGGGAAAAACAAAACAAAACAAGAAGCTGTCAATAGTGCTGCCCCCAGAGAGGTTGACATGTTCTTACACTAAGGACAATATACAAAGCAGAAATCAGGAGGCATTTATAAGACTGGGTCTAAACAGAAGTGAACATGGCAGACTTGCATCCAAGATAGAGTCACTATTGTCTATACAGCAGCCTAAAGAAGGCAGACAAGGGAACAGGTGGCCTCATAATGGTGCTGGGGAAGAGGCAGTGATCTTTAACAATCTCTTGATGCTTTAGTTCCAACATTGTTTTGTTTTGTTTTGTTTTTTGAGATGGAGTCTCGCTCTGTTGCCCAGGCAGGAGTGCAGTGGTGCAATCTTGGCTCACTGCAACCCCCACCTCCCGGGTTCAAGAGTTCTCCTGCCTCAGCCTCCCAAGTAGCTGGGATTACAAACATGTGCCACCACGCCCGGCTAATTTTTTATATTTTTAGTAGAGATGGGGTTTCACCATGTTTGCCAGGTTGGTCTCGAACTCCTTGTCTCAAGTGATCCACCCGCCTCAGCCTCCCAAAGCCTATAGGATTACAGCCGTAAGCCACCACACCGAGCCTCCAATTTCTGTTTTTAAAGCTACTTTTACTTTTTGTTTGAAAGGGAAAAAGGATGGCGTAGAGGTAACTTGTTTTCCTTTTTGTCTCGATTCATCTTCAACATCTTATAAGATCTCAACTGTACTTAAACTCTGCTTTGCTTTATATCAGTAACTTACACCCTTCTTCTTACCATTTTAATTTCATAAACATTTCTTAACTTCTTGTTGCTTTTTTTTTTTTCATTTGCTGTTTCATTTATGTTATCTTGTAAGTACAGTTGGGAGACAAAGAATAGTCAAGAAAAGGCCAAAATTTAAATACTTGAGTAAACAGTAATTTCCCTTGTACTTGAGCATTTACTACATGTCAGGTATCTTGCTAAATGCTCTGCATGGATGATCTCATCTGGTCCTCATAACAGTCCTATGAGGTAGGTGCTCCTGTAGTCCTACATCACAGATAAAGAAAAGAAGCTCAGAATGGAGAAGTGAGGTCACACAGCACACAAATGGTGAAGCTTGGGTTTGAACCCTGAAGTCTAGCTCCAGAGTCCGGACACTTCATCACAGCTCAAACTGTCCCTCAGTGGTGAGAAAGCAATAGTAAACCTATCATTTCATCTCCTGAAAGTCAAACTTGCTAACATTCATACATAGTGAATGTGTTAGTCACTTGAGGAAGAAACCCAGAGACAGTCAGTTCACTTGTGACTAAAATATTGGGAGCCACATAAAACTCCAAGTAAGGCAATCTGGCTAAATTAAGAAGGCTGCTGTTGCCTATCTGTTTGGAGAAAGAACACATTAATAGAAGAGGAATTATCAGCACAGTCTAGTCAAAAGAACTCCATGAGTATAAGAACTTGGCACCTTTTGGCTGCTCACACCTGTAATCCCAGCACTTTGGGAGGCCGAGGCAGGAGAACTGCTTGAGCTCAGGGGTTCGTGACCAGCCTGAACAATATAGGAAGACCCTGTCTGATAGATAGACAGACAGACAGACAGACAGACAGATAGATAGAACACAGCAACTTTCACCCAGCACCGTCCAGGAGAAAGAAAGAGACACAGATGCTGGTGGCCACACCTACTCGGGTCATTCCAAGGGCATCCTGTGGAGCAGGGAGAATTCACCCCTCATCAGGGGCTGTATGACATTTCTGTAACCTGTCTTGGCTCTGTACTTCCTGATTACAATTTGGCTTCCCATGTGGATGTGCCAACAGGGACAAAGTGTATATGTCAACTGTGTCCATCTGTACTGGAGAATTATTGCTAGCCATAAATGAACAGTTCTGAATGAATTCTAGTTTGCACTTTGGTCTCTTGTAGCTGAGCACACATCTGTTTCGTGAGCGCTAATAAAACTGAGTGTCTGGATGTGCACTTGGTAAGTAGTAACCATACCAAAATCCTGTCACTGTCTCAGAGGAAGTCAGAGTATTAACTGATGTCTTCAGCAGAAACAACCTCATATTCCCAATTAAACTTGTTTAAAGGAGTGACTTTAAAAATAAAGCAAAAATTGGCCATATGTTGGTAATCTGTTATATAGAAATTAACTGCTATTTTCTCTACTTTTCTGTATATCTGAAATTGTCCACAGCTGAAAGGAATAAAGGGGAAAACAAAAGTCATTCTAATTCCTCCAGTTTTCCAGTATGTACGATGCAACTGAAAAAATCTTAAGGACTTTCAAGATTTATAAGGTTAACTAAAAAATACACAGTATGAAAAGTCATCCCTTACAGTAAGGGTTTCTCTGAGCTCACTGTGTTCTAGAAAGAGGCCATCATTCCCTTCAGTGCTGAGCATAAAGCTAATGCAGACACACGATTCAAGCCCACAGGTTGAACATGATTATTTGACGTACCTTGAATACCGGCAGCTTCTGCCTCTGCTGCTCTATGGAAAGGGCAGCATAAGGGTTGTAAACAACCGTTGTCCCAGAGTTTTCAGCCAGACTTTGTCTCTCTTCAGAGATGCTTACACCTGGCCCCTCTGTACCTGCAGCAGAAATGTTTTTTTTTCAGATTCTCTGATACAATGAACAGAAAAAGGTGTTAAGTTTATAAACTTTCAAAGATGAAGATATACAGAAGAAGCAATACTTTTTATCTCAAACTACTCAAAGGTATTCAACCTTAACTTTAGGAAAGAATCCAGAAAAGTGCCTACGAGGAACTAAAAATCTTCCCTAAAAGCTTCACTGCAGTGTCAAAAACAAACAAGACAGGGTTAGGTGCAGTGGCTCACGCCTGTAATCCCAGCACTTTGGGAGGCCGAGGCGGGCGGATTGCCTGAGCTCAGGGGTTAGAGACCAGTCTGGGCAACAAGGTGAAACCCCACCTGTACTAAAATACAAAAAATTAGCCAGGCGTGCATGGCGGTGTGTGTCTGTAGTCCCAGCTACTCGGGAGGCTGAGGCAGGAGAATTGCTTGAATCCAGGAGGCAGGGGTTGCAGTGAGCCAAGATCGGGCCCCTGCACTCCAGCCTGGGCGACAGAGCAAGACTCTGTCTCCAAAAAAAAAGAAAAAAGAAACGAGATGGCAGTCCCACTGGGCTCCAAATTGGCCACTCAGAACTGTGTATTACAGAGCACAGTGTCTTTACTTCTGGCCTCCATGTCCATGTTATTACTGAATTCTTAACAGAAGTGAAAGAAACCCAGTGGGAATTAGCTGAGGTAAAAGGATGAATCTTGTTACTGTAGGATGGCAATAAGGCTCAGAGATGACAGAAACTGGGCACTCAAAGCAGCCATGGCTTTCTCCTTCTCTCATCTTGGCACGTCTTGCAGGTTCCTTCCAGCCCCTTAGGTTGGCTACTGTACAGGAGCTGGAAAGACGGCTGCCGGCAGTGCCAGGGTTCACGCTTACAACTCCTCTACCAATCATTCATCGTGGTCCAGCAAGGACCAGCAAGGATGGACCAAGGGCCCACTCCATGTCACGTACCACTCTAAGCACTAGAAACACTGCAGTGAACAATACAGATGCCAGCCCTACCCTCACGGAGCTCACTTGCTTTTTTAATTCTTCCTCTCAGTGGAAAGTAACTTGGTGCATGAAGTGGTCATAAGTGCTATGGAGAGAAATAAAGACAACGTAAGGGGGACTGGGAGTCCCAGGTATGTGTTGTAATGGGGGGTGGGGGAGGCTCTTTTATACTGGACAGACAGGGACTGACTTCTCCCAGCTTAGGTCCAATCCCCACCCCAATACAATCAACCATGGCCAGTGGAATGGGATGAGGTAAATGACAGTCCCCATTGGAACCATGGAATCGGGAGTGGATAGATGGGAAATGCTATTCTCAGTAACCGCCATGCTGGGCAGATTAAACAAGAGATCTTCACCCCGGCTTCTTGCTAATAACAATGACAAACTGGTGATCATGATGGTGAAGAATAGGGAAGCCATATCCCATCATGAAAACCTGTTGAAGGTTCCATACAGTTTTAGCTCAAACAGAAAAACAACTCAGGAGAAACATAACTTTAAATTTTGTGAGCAGCTTCCATAACTTTTCATGCTGATTTGCTGCTGTAACTCTAGGACAGAACTAGGAGTAATAAGTAAATGACACAGGGTTCAGAATTCAACTCAATGTAAGGAAGATATTTCCAAAAGGTCACACTTTTCAGCACTGGAGTTTGCTGCCTTGTAAATGAATAAAAATCCTCCCTAGATCAAACACATGCTATACAGCCTCCTGCTGGGGCACTACAGTGATAATAACCAATAACCATCATCTCCTAGGTCTTCTGAACTCAGAATCTGTGATGCTAAGTGAAAGCACAGGAGCTTTGTAACAAGAATATTCAGCTCAGTGACTTACTTTTACACTTTTTAGGGTTCTCAGATTGCTTCAACAATCTGATAAAGGCTATGAACTCCCTCTCCTAAAAAACACACCAGAATTTACCAGAATATAAAATTCGGGGGGGTCCGTAGACCCCCTAGAGCTAAGTTTAGAATCACTGCTTTAGATCTCTGACCCTTTTCCATTTACTTCCAGGAACAGAGTTGTGTTTCAGAGGTTCAAGATGGCCAAAAATCAGGTAAGTGGGGCACTGTCATGTTGCTTTTGCCAAAATGTTGACCTTCCTTTCAACAAGACAAAAGATGGAACAGGACCTGGAACAATGCCTGTCCTCAAAGAGACAGGCTTTCTTTCCTTCCCTTCTTGTCACTACATCTTAATAATTCCTTGTAATTGTTACTCAAGAAAACAATGACAAAGAATACCTTATCCTTTTCTGCTGTGTTTTTGTCCTGAATTCCTGCCTTTTCAAATCATGTTTTAAACCTTCATATCCTCTCTGGAATATTTTAACATGTCTTTTGTACTACCGTATTCCTCCCTTGTCTCTAACCTACAGCCCCAATCTATCTCTTCTATTATCAGCTTTTGTTTTTGGAGATGGAGTCTCTGTTGCTCAGGCTGGAGTGCAGTGGCGAGATGCCAGCTCACTGCAACCTCCGCCTTCCAGGTTCAAGCGACTCTCCTGCCTGGGCATCCCGAGTAGCTGGGATTACAGGCACGCACCACCGCACCCAGCTCATTTTGTATTTTTAGTAGAGACAGGGTCACACCATGTTAGCCAGGCTGGTGTCGAACTTCTGACCTCTGGTGATCCACCCACCTCGACCTCCCGAAGTGCTAGGATTATAGGCATGAGCCACCACGCCCAGCTGAGCTCTTTTATAAGAACAGCTATGTCAGTTGATAAACAGTATACCTTCTCCTCATAAAAGACTTCCTTCAACCAAACCAGAACATCAGGGCTGCTTTCCCTCTATAAACACCCCTCTGTGGCTGCCTATGATTGATTTTTCCTTGAGCGTACGCTCTATGCTTAAGGGAGTAACAACTTTATAACTTTTGCAAACTATGAACATCTTCATTTCCCTATCTTAACAAGGCTGATATCCCTAATTCCTCATTCCCTTTAACTTGGTTTTTAAAAATTTTACTGGTGACCCATTAGTGGGTTATGAAATCAATGTAGTATGTCATACCAGCACTTTTTAAATAATGAAATAGAATAGAAAGCATCAGAGCACATTCCAGAAAGCAATACTGTTTATGAACAACTTTTTCTTCAGTTGTGTATGTGTGCTATATCTTACTGTGGGTCAAGTCAAAAAAAGCTTAAAACCTATTGTAAAGTTTTCGTCATGCACATGGTCAACAATCATGAAATATTTATCAAATGAGCAAACGAAAATGGGCAGGCCCTTCGGATCCACGTGTACTTGCAAATTAAGTAAAAGATTTTTGTAGAAAACTCTCAGGCAGGTCATACAAGGCCCTTAAGTCACACTCCTAAGGTAGACACCACAAATGGGTATCTTAAGGTACCCAGACATGCTATTGTTAAAATGTTTTAAATCATTCATTTAAAACAACACATAAAATTTTCCCATTCAGATCTGGATATTAGGCTTCTTAAAAAAAAAATTGGGCAACTCTGAACCCATATGATAACAATTAGGTGGACCTGAGTACAACTCCCTATTTTAGAAAGCATATGTAAGCTCTACTGTAGATCTCCACTGTACATACTATCCAGTGTATGCACACTCTGCCACAGTCCCCACCACTCCCTATTACCTCCAGTAAGCAACTTCACTCACTTAGACTGTCTGAAAGACCTCTGTAATCACAGGCTCAGGCCTACAGGATATGTTCATGATTTGAATGTCTAGCCTTATATCAGCTTCCCTGACTTTCACCTTGCATTTCCCACAACCTACTTCATATCTTGAATTTCCTCACTAAAATAAGAGTATTACTGTCATCACAGAGATACTGTGACTGTTTAATAAGATGTGTAAATGAAAGTGACTAACACAAAGCAACGGCCCAATAACTGTGTACTAAAGCTATTCCCATGTCAACTAATGACAACACAATTTACCTAGACCAGTGGTTCCCAAATTTTGATGCATGCTGGAATTCCTTAGAGACTTTAAAAAACACTGATGCCTGGCTCCTAGGCCTCCAAAGTTCTAATTTATTGGTGTGAGGTGCAAGTGCACATCAGGACTTTTCAGAGCTTCCCAAGTGATTCAACTATAAAGCAAAATTAGAGAATCACTAACCTAGACAGTCACCCAGCCCAGAAATCTGAGTTATTACTGACTTCATCTTCTCCCACATCTTCCTCTAAAATGTCTCTCCAACAGGCACCTCCTCTAAGCTCCCAGGTCAGAATTAAGGTTTTTAACATCCCTCCTGGATTTCACTAGTACCTTCTCTAATTTCCTCCTCCATCCACTCTCTACTCCACTGCCAGTGTTATCTTTCTAAAGTAAACCTGATTTGTTCCTGCTTAAAAACACTGAAGTCAGGCCAGGCCCAGTGGCTCACGCCTGTAATCCCAACACTTTGGGAGGCCGAGGTGGGCAGATCACGGGATCAAAAGATTGAGATCATCCTGGCCACCATGCTGAAACTCCATCTCTACTAAAAATACAAAAATTAGCTAGGTGTGGTGGCACACACCTGTAGTCCCAGCTACTCAGGAGGCTGAGGCAGGAGAATCGCTTGAACCTGGGAGGTGGAAGTTCCAGTGAGCCGAGATTGCGCCACTGCACTCCAGCCTGGGCGGCTGAGCCAGACTCCATCTCAAAAAAAAAAAAGAAAGAAAACAAAAAAACAGTGAAGTCTAAACTTTTTAACTTGTCATGAAGACCTTTCACAATGAGGCCCTTACCTACTTTTCTAGCTTCATCTCCTGTCATACCCCAAAATATACCCTAGCACTTAACACTATCACACTGCTCTGTTATTTTGGCTTTCTGGACATTCTAAAGGCACAAATCCCATTCTGCCTTTGTTCATGCTGCACCCTTTGCTTCGAGTTCCATTTCTCTATGAAACAAAACCTTATTCATCCTTTAATGTTCACTCCAAAAATACCACCTTAATGAAGTATTTCTTATCCATACATTCAACTTTCCCTCCCTCTTCCATACTTCCATATAATTATAATAGTAACCTATCTAGTGCCAAGATCCTGTTGTGTGTTATTCTCATTTAAACCTCACAACACTACTTTGGGTAGGGTAGGTATTATACCCAATTTACAGATGGAGTAACTGAGACTTTGAGAATTTAAGTGACTATCAAGTCATCAACTTAGTAAGTGGTAGACATGATGGGCACTGCAGTCTGACTCTAGAGCTCATCTTCTTTACCACCACCTTACTCTGTCTCATTGTAAAATCTCTTCTAGAGGACATCTAACTTTATATTCAATTAAGAGAGAGACAGTAACTTGAGAGCAGAGCCCTGAGCATCTGTATTTGTCTCCTGAACACAGGATTAGGTTTTCAATAAGTGTACCCTCAATGGATGAACTAAATAATGAAATAGAACTCTTAAGAGTAATTCCACGTTCTTTAACCAAAATAGTACCCTGGTCTGATTTCAAACAATTAATTCAGCTCTTTATTATACCTAACACTTTCACCTGTTACTAAAAGCGTGAATAAATTAAAAGTATTCATTACTTAGTAAGTTCCTAGTTTTGGATGCAAATAAAACTCAGGATGGATAATTGGCTGATGACTTGAAATGCTGAACCATAAAACTGTCAAGTGACAGACTACAAATTTTTAAAAAGCATTAAACATATCTCTTGCTTGGGTTTATCTCTCACATCACTTATATGCATGGTCAGAATTTCAGAGAACCACTGAAAAATTAAAAGCTTTGCTTATATTACATTCTTGGTGTCATTTCATTTTTGCTGCAATATACTTTGCACATCCAGACCTGCAGGGGTGCAGGTGGTAGAAAAAAATCAAGCTGGTAGCTGTAATTTAAAAACTTTTGTTTTTTACAAGAAACTGTTTGCAGAGAGGAAGTAATGCATCTAGTACGGTCTGGCATATGCACATTCAGTAAAAACCTGATTAATGAGTAAATATCAAGACAAAACAAGTAAAGCATTTTGTGATTGTGATTCGTGTTAGTCTGTAAGAGAGGAAGTGGCTGGCAGCCAATATGAAGGACTGTTCCCTTTTCTAGTAGACATTCGGAGTGGACAACAATTATCCTAAAAGAAAATAACACACTTTCCCTTTTTTTGAGCATTTATTCTAAGTCTGACAACGCGTTCTGCTTGTCATTTAAGCCCACAGCATAGAAGCTATTGTTCTGCCCACTTTACAGGTAAAGAAGTCATGGCTCAGAGGCATTAAGTGACTCGCCCAAGGTCACCCTACTACAAGGCAGAGACGAAAATTCGAACCCGGACAGTCTGACTCCATAACTTGGGCTTGCAAGCCTCCAGCAGCGAGCAGCATTGTCTGTCGGGCCACAGCGCAACCCCAGGGCGCTAACGAGACACGAGAGGGAGCTTTAGGATTCCCCATCTCGCGGGGTGGGCAGGACAAGCATCAGTAACGAGGAAGACGAGGCCTGAGGAGGCTGGACCACTTTAACAAGGTCACAAAGAGTTTCTGCTCACGCTAGGGGAGCACCCCCAAATCCCTCGGGACCACTGGGGAGCCTGAGCCAGAGCTCCCCCCGCACAGAGGCGGCAGCGCCCAGCTCGCCGAGGTCAGGCCTGCGAGCAGGTCTGCTGGCCCCAGGGCGCCGGCCGCGGCGCCAAGACCGAAGTCAGGCCGCCGCATCTGCCCAGCGTTCCACCAAGGGCCTTACCGGGTCGCCAGAACTTCACCGGTCCCACGGGCGCAGCCATGTTGGGGTAAAAGGTCACGAGGCTAGCTCCACCCCACCGTCGCGCGCTAGGCCCCCAGGGCCCGGAGGGCGTGGCCCCCGAAGAGCCGCTGCCCAGACGGATCGCGCCGTGTGACGGCCACGCCCCCACAGCTACCGCCCCCGTCTGAGCCACGTGACCCACTTCCAGGCTCCGGCGAGCGCACCGGCCCCGCCCCCGAGCCCACGTGACCCTGCTCAGCCATTTTGGAGAAAAGGGCGCGCTCCTCCGCCTACCTCTTGAGCGTGGAGGGTAGATGCTTCAGGTGACCTTTTACGAGCGTGGCGTGTCCTGGATGGCGGCCGCACACTTAGGAAGAACGGGCTTTGGGAGAGGACCGCTGGCCCGAGAGTGGAACCTTGCACGCACTGGGCGTTGAAGCAGTGCTTTCTGGATTAAATACGAAATACTGATGTCACAAGCTACCTCAACTTGTCGACTTCTGTTTTATTCTCAATTTCAAATTGAAGGGTAATAATAGGAACTACCTCGTGGGTTGTATTTGTCAGTAAATATTGCGCGCCTGCTGTGGGCCCAGGTAGTGCGGCACAGTGCCCCAAATAAAACAATGCGAAATGATATGGAAGTCTTCAGGGACCTTGAGGGCAAAACGGAAAAACGGACTGGGGGTGGGGTGGAGCGAATGGGTTGGCAGAAGAGACTGAAAATGGGTAGATCAATTAAGGTAGTCCACCAACTCAGTGCTTCCTCCAATTTGATACCCTTGAGTCAAATGCTTGTTAAAAACACAGATTCTAGGCCTTGATCCAATTCTGAATCGATGTCCTGGAGCATGGCTTGGGAACCTGCATTTTGAGAAGCTCCTGAATTCTTCAGATTAACAAATTTGGGAAAGATTACACTAATCCATCAGACGAAAGGTGAGGTCAAAGAAAAAGAAATTACAGTAATCCAAAGGAGCGCTAAGAAGGGGTGATGAGCTCAAGTGGAGGAAATAACTTTCTAGGTAGGCAACTAATTGGAAGGAAGTGAGAGGCTTCAGAATCTATGCATTTTTAAAGCTGTGAAGAAAATTCTGAATTCTTTGAAAGAAGTGGCATCATTATGGCAAGAGCAGGGGCTTTTGTGGACAACCAGTCCAGACTTGGAATCGTAACTTTGCCATTTCCTAGCTCCTAGCTGTCATTTAATTTTAGTTGTAAAATGAGGTTTAAAGAGGTATTACATGAGATAACATGTAAAGTACCTAACAGTGCAAAACATAGCAGGCACTGAATCAATGTTAGCTCTCATTACCTCAACTCAGAGCAAATCCACCAGGGGGAAAAAAATCTGAATTTACCTGCATAGGTTCATGTAAGAATCTTCTTTGATTTATTTTTATAGTAATTAATGTAGGGACTCAATATCTGTTAGTCCCTCGGCCTAGAATTCTCCATCCATCCTTTAAATTATCTTTATCCCTTAAAGGGCTAGCTCTAAATTATCTATCCAACTTAAACATTCCCCCTTGTAGTCTAGGAACTGTATTCTCACTTTTGTGAGAAAAGTGACCTGTAGTTTAGTTGCCTGTAGTTTACCTGCCGCCACTATTACACAGGGAACTTACTGAGGACGAGGACCATGTCACATTCACATTCGTGGCCCAGTAACAAGTGCCTATTGAGTGTAGATAAACATCATGCTTTAGGCTTAGTTTTAGTTGATCTGTAGTTTACCTGCCGCCACTATTACACAGGGAACTTACTGAGGACGAGGACCATGTCACATTCACATTCGTAGCCCAGTAACAAGTGCCTATTGAGTGTAGATAAACATCATGCTTTAGGCTTAGTTTTAGTTGATCTGTAGTTTACCTGCCGCCACTATTACACAGGGAACTTACTGAAGACAAGGACCATGTCAGCATTCACATTCACATTCACATTCGTAGCCCAATAACAGTGCCTATTGAGTAATGTATAGATAAACATCATGCTTTAGGCTTAGTTTTAGTTGATCTGTGGTTTACCTGCCGCCACTATTACACAGGGAACTTACTGAGGACGAGGACCATGGCACATTCACATTCGTAGCCCAGTAGCAGTGCCTATTGAGTAATATACAGATAAACATCATGCTTTAGGCTTAGTTTTAGTTCTTCATGACATTGATTTTTCCTTGTTTTATTTTTGTCTTATTTTACTAACAGCCCAAATACGGAAACCAAGGTTTATACATGAATATAAGGCAAAATGAAATAAATGCCACTTTTAAGATTATTTCATGGCCTGGCACGGTGGCTCACACCTGTAATCCCAGCACTTTGGGAGACTGAGGCAGGCAGATCAACTGAGGTAAGAGTTCGAGACCAGCCTGGCCAACATGGCGAAATTCTGTCTCTACTAAAAATACAAAAAAATTAGCCGGGTGTGGTAGTAGTCACCTGTAATCCCAGCCAGTTGGGAAGGTGAGGCAGGAGAATCCCTTGAACCCGGAAGGCAGAGGTTGCAATGAGCAGAGATCCGCCACTGCACTCCAGCCTGGGCGACAGAGTGAGACTCTATCTCAAAAAATAGAAAAAAAAATAAATAAAATAACTTATCTATTTTATCTATTACTCATATAATGAAACCTTCCTGTTTATGAAGAGACAGTAAATCGGCCATGCCTGTATTATTGGATCATAATCTTTTTTCTTTTTTAGATGGAGTCTTGCTCTGTCGCCCAGGCTGGCAAGCAATGGCGAGATCTCATCTCACTGCAACCTCCACCCACCGGGCTCAAGCGATTCTCCTGCCTCAGCCTCCCTAGTAGCTGGGACTACAGGCACACGCCACCATGCCCGGCTAATTTTTGTATTTTTAGTAGAGACAGTTTCCCCATGTTGGTCAGGCTGGTCTCATGGATCATAATCTTAAAGCTGGAGGAGACCATACTTAACACCTAGCCTGAATTTCTTGTCTTATAGGAAACTGAGGTACATAGAAGTTAAAAGGACTTGGTCAGAATCAATGAGTTAATTTAGTATCAGAACTAAAACTAGAACTCGGGCTTTCTAATTCCCAGGCCAGTGTTTGCTCAACTACATGGGCCACTTAAAATCATTAGAGCTACACTCTCCTGGAAGAAAATTAGTTCATCTGCCTTAGAAAGTTCTCAAAGTCCAACTCTCCCCAAGGGGTTATTTTGCCTACACAGACTACTGTTAGAGAAAATACCTAAGTAATAACCTGCATGTTGATGTTGTGGTTTTATTTCCACAAACTAGGAATGGTCTCAACAGATTCTTAGTCTTCCTAATTAACTATTTTCAGAAAGAATGGGCTAAAATAACTGCTCTGAAATTAAAACTGATATTTCTTGAGATGGCATCCAGAATTTATTTAGTTGATTGCCAACAATTCCATAAAAGTCTAATCATTTTGTTACATAAAGGTGTATTTTGCAACTTCCAAATGATAAGCTTTCCAGAAAGATAATGTTCCTCAAAATCGTGTTACAATATGGAAGTTTTTCTGTGCCTATGATAAAGGGTATTTTTTGCTTTGAATTTCCAGACTAAACCTATTGACCATGTTCAGGAAGGCATAGAATTTAGGGTTTTCATTTTTGTACCAGTTAAGACTTTTATGGATATAAGTGATAGAAAACCCAACCCAACCTCTCTTAAGCAGAAATGGCTCATATAAACTAAAAAGTCTGGCTGGGCACAGTGGCTCACACCTATAATCCCAGCACTTTGGGAGGCTGAGGGGGGTGGATCACCTGAGGTCAGGAGTTTGAGACCATCCTGGCCAACATGGTGAAAGCCCGTCTCTACTAATAATACCAAAAAAATTTGCCAGGCATGGTGGTGCACACCTGTAATCCCAGCTACTCAGGAGGCTGAGGCTGGAGAATCGCTTGAACCTGGGAGTCAGAAGTTGCAGTAAGCTGAGATCACACCATTGCTCTCCAGCCTGGGTGACAAGAGTGAAACTCTGCCTCCAAAAAAAATAAATAAATAAAAATAAAATGAAAAGTCCAAGAGTAGTTCTGACTTGAGACACAGCTGCATCAGGATACATACCACATAACCAGGATTCTTTCTGATCATATTGATCCACGTTCTGCTGATTCAGGCGTAACGTGGTAACAAAGTGGCCATGCCAGTTTTAGCCACCACATCCTCTTAAGCATTAAACCTCTTTCCAAAATTCCTTGGCAACGTATTCCTGACAGGCCATGTATCCATCCCTAAATCAACCACTAAGCCCAGGAATCTAATGTACTAATGGACTTAGGCCTTGGTCCCATGTTCCACATCCAGGGTCGGGTTAGGTCAGCTTCAGCAGAAACACATGGACTGAAAGCTGGGAACAGAACGGTTCCTCAGAGGGAAATCTGAGCGTGAGATTACCAGAGGATGAATGATTGAATGAATGAAGCAAAAATAATAGATGTCCATTACAACCATCCATGTATCAACCCGCTACAACTGTTAGCTTCCTAAGAGAAACGCTAACTGCCCTTTGGTTGCCACCATCAAGCTAGACAACAGGCAGCCATCCCCAGACTGAAAAGTGGTGGTCCTTTACAGAATTGCTGTACTAAATTGCATTATATCAGGATTTTCCCAAGAGTCTAAGGTGCAGTCTTCCACAACTTGCTGTAACATATGTAAACCTGTCTGGTTTGTTGGTTTGCACACAAATGATCACGTTCACACAGTTATTAGCATAAGCAAAAGTGCTGACGCAGCTTCAAAGATTTGGGTACAGTTGTGGAAAGATCCACTGGAAAGGATTCCGCAGCCAGAGGAGCCTCTGTTTCTTTGGCCTGAGGGACACACAATTCAATGAAGTTGGGTGAACTGGGGACAGCCTCCTTAGGTCTGCGAGGTGCTTTCTATATAGGATGCCTATATACTTTATAGTTCAAACTGGGACACTTTTGAGAATAAAAGGAGGTGTTAACCAGATGGGACTTGGGGATAAGAGGCATCAACTGGAACTCTGCCAGGCAAACTGGGGCATACATCTAGGTGTGTGTGTAAACTTAGCCTAACAATGTAGATCTAAACATATTCAACATAAGGTATGTATTCCATGCTCACAGAATACACCTGAATACATTCACCTCATTTACTGCTTCAGACAACTGCCTCTGCAGAGTTCAGGGTCCGGGCATGCCCCAGAGTATCTGTCATTGTTTATTATCGGAATGTGATTACCAGAATGTCATTTTTATAAGTATCGTTTTTATAAAAAGATCCTTGAAAGAAATTATCTTAGTGCCTGGAATAATTTTGTTGTTTTTGAGATAGGGTCTCACTCTATCACCCAGGCTGGAGGGCAGTGGTGCAATCACAGCTTACTACAGCCTCGTCCTTTCTGGCTCAAGCCACCCTCCCGCCTCAGCCCTCCAAATACCTAGGACAACAGGCATATGCCACCGTGGGGAATAACTGTCCTTTCTGTATCTGGATTTACTTTAATCTTAAGGACACTGCGAATGGTGTATCTGACCAGGCTTCTCTGTATTCACTATTGGAAAGCTTAAACGTGTGGCCTCATGAAGTAGGTGTGTATGTCATGGCGGGCTCTTCAAGCCTCATTCCAGACTCCACTTTTTATCCCTCACCCTTGGGTTTCCTTCATGTAACTTTTCATTTACACGACCTTGTACCCTAGCTTTTCTTGTTAGTCGCTTTAAGTCCCATAAGTAAACGACAGATACTCCCCAGCCCAACTGCCTACAGAGGTGGGGTGGCCGGCCACCTCTTCAGTTGATTCCTTTAATAGGAGAATGTCAAGCCTGCATGGATCAACCTCTAATTCAAACAAACCATCAGGGGGAGAAAAAAATTAGACAACTGAATTTAAACACTGAATATTTATTTGATAAGTTTGTATCAAAGTTGTTTAGGTGTGACAGTGGTAAAGTGGTTTTCTTTTTTGTTGTTGTTTTGAAACAGAGTCTCACTGTCACCCAGGATGGAGTGCAGTGGCGCAATCTTGGCTCACCACAACCTCCACCTCCCGGGTTCACGCCATTCTCCTGCCTCAGCCTCCCGAATAGCTGGGACTACAGGCGCACACCACCATGCCCGGCTAATTTTTGTATTTTTAGTAGAGACGGGGTTTCACTATGTTGGCCAGGCTGGTGTCAAACTCCTGACCTCGTGATCCACCCGCCTTGGCCTCCCAAAGTGCTGGGATTATAGGCATGAGCCACCGCGCCTGGCCATGATTATGTTTTCTAAAACAGTTATCTTTTAGATATATATGCTGAAATATTCACAGCTAAGTCTGCGATGGCCAAATCTGACAGTAGACAGAGGGATATAATTTTCTCCCAGGGAGGAATAACAAATATTTTTGAACTACATAGGCTGCCACACTCATACCCCGCTCCCCTGGGAGTGAAACCAGTAATCAGCATTTTAAATGGAAGCACCCAAGCACCCCAAGACTGATGCAGGTGGTCCTCAGATCTCACTTTGAAAAACTCTGCCATATAAATGATACTTTCTGGACTCAACTCCAGAAAGACTGCTTACTTTGAGAGACTGGGTCATTTTCTTAGGACTCCATGTATCTCTTGCTCTTATTTCTTTTTTTTTTGTCTTTTTTTTTTTTTTTTGAGACGGAGTCTCGCTCTGTCGCCCAGGCTGGAGTGCAGTGGCGGGATCTCGGCTCACTGCAAGCTCCGCCTCCCGGGTTCACGCCATTCTCCTGCCTCAGCCTCCCAAGTAGCTGGGACTACAGGCGCCCGCCACTACGCCCGGCTAATTTTTTGTATTTTTAGTAGAGACGGGGTTTCACCGTTTTAGCCGGGATGGTCTCGATCTCCTGACCTCGTGATCCGCCCGCCTCGGCCTCCCAAAGTGCTGGGATTACAGGCGTGAGCCACCGCGCCCGGCCTTTTTTCTTCTTCTTCTTTTTTTTTTTTTTTTTTTTTTTTTTTGAGACGGAGTCTCACTCTTTCGCCCAAGCTGGACTGCAGTGGCGCTATCCCGGCTCACTGCAAGCTCCGCCTCTTGGGTTCATGCCATTCTCCTGCCTCAGCCTCCCGAGTAGCTGGGACTACAGGCGCCCACCACCACGCCCGGCTAATTTTTTGTATTTTTTTAGTAGAGACGGGGTTTCACCGTGTTAGCCAGGATGGTCTCGATCTCCTGACCTCGTGATCCGCCCGCCTCGGCCTCCCAAAGTGCTGGGATTACAGGCGTGAGCCACCGCGCCCGGCTCTTGCTCTTATTTCTAATTGTTGGCCACACTTTCAGAGAATAATGGTTTTGAGTCCTGCTCCACAAAAAGAGCACTCTGTGGTAGGTAGTTTGTGGTAAGCCATATACCTGCCCTGCTCTGAGAAATTCACTGTGATCATTACTTCAGAGTTCTGAGTAGTCCTGCATTAAAGAACTTTGTTTACATTTCTTTGGCCCAGTTTCTCACACTAAACACAGAACCTTTGTTATGTCATCCTATTAACAGTTCCATAGAACATTCAGTTAAAATTTCAAACTAAATTAAAATACATTATCACAGGCTGAATGCAGTAGCTCATGCCTGTAATCCCGGCACTTTGAGGGGCTGAGGCAAGAGGATCACTTGAGCCCAGGAGTTTAAGAGCAGCCTAGGCACCATAGTGAGACCCTGCCTTTACAAAAAAATAGTGAGCTGTGATTGTGCCACTGCACTCCAGCCTGAGCAATAGAACGAGACTGCTTCAAAAACAAACAAAAAGAAGTATCACAGATTAGGACTTTGTACTTACTTTTTTTTGTTGTACTTTGCTTTTTTTGCTGTTTTGTTTTTGTTTTGTTTTTTTTGAGACAGAGTTTGGCTCTTGTTGCCCAGGCTGGAGTGCAATAGCGTGATCTCGGCTCACCACAACCTCCGCCTCCCAGGTTCAAGCAATTCTCCTGCCTCAGCCTCCCGAGTAGCTAGGATTAGGGGCATGCACCACCACACCCAGCTAATTTTGTATTTTTAATAGAGACAGGGTTTCTCCATGTTGAGGCTGGTCTCAAACTGCTGACCTCAGGTGATCCGCCCACCTCAGCCTCCCAAAGTGCTGGGATTACAGGCGTGAACCACCGCGCCCAGCCTGTACTTAACGTTTGTTAATGAGGCTGTTTTAGTTTTCCATTCACCATTGCAGTAACTGCCATTTCTCAAGGTACACTCTCTCCTGCTTCCATACTCCGTGTAGAGAAATAGTCATGTAACAGAGTACTGCACTTAGAATCTAGAAACCTGTGTTTAAATTCTTGCATCACCATTTACAAGCCATGTCATCTTGAATATGCTACTTAATCAGTGCCTCAGTTTCATCTGAAAATTGGAAATAACAGCTACCTAACCTGCATAGCTCTCTGCTACATTGCTGCAAAGATCAAAGATGGCATATATGAAGTGACTTAAGTCTGTAAGATGATTTCAAATAACAATATGTTTACTCGAGGCTTAGCTCAGAGTTGTTTCTAAGCAGACATGGATCAATTTCCTTCCTTTCCTTTTCTTTATAGCCACAGATTACAGCACTAACCCAGCAAATAGCCTGACCATCATAAGGAAGTCCTGGCACACGCGTGAGTGTAGGGACACTCATGATACAAGTGCATCAGCATTTTATGTGGCAGACACCTTCCCCTGTTATAGATCTTTTTTGCTGTAGCTAAGTCAGGAGAGGGAGGAAGGCATCATTTAACTCTCTTCCCTTTTGTCTGTCCATGAGAATGAGACAAAAACAGGATTCCACAGCCATACCAATCCTGATTAGAAGGATGTAGAAACCATTACACTGCCTGCCACTGGACCAGGAAACTGGGATAATTGTCAGTGTCCTCTTTTGCCCCTACTCTGGGATATTAGATGGCTAAATCACTGTCAATACACCCAGCTGATGAAATGAGGCCCATGGGGCCACCAGAGTTAATATTGGGAATGAATATAGGAACATACACTAACGCCTCCTTTGGTAGACAAGCAGAGTACCAGAGTACCAAGGACCTACTGAAATAGCTCAGGCTTTTTCTTCGAAAAGAGAAAAGGCAGAGCATGTGCAAAGGCCTGCTATTTCTGGCCAGTTTCCTCACTTAAACTATAGAGTAACATCAATATTCATGATGCTGAGGAAGGTTAAGTGGATCTATTTTCTCTTCTATAGTTTGGATCATCTACTTCTTCCTCACCCTGACACTATTTAAAAAACCTTCAGATATAGATATCTATATACCTATATCTATTAGGTGCATTAATTTGTGACATACTCCCAGATTTAAAGAGAAAAGTGTCAGAGGGGGGGAAAAAGTACAGAAGCACAAGTTTATATTTATTTAATGCTAAGAACACAGATATTCTAAAGAGATAAACAGAAAGTAGTTTTATTTTTTCTAAATAGGATTTTGATCACAAAAATGCTGGTGATTCAAACCTTTAAAACAGAAGAGCATACAACCTAAGAAAAATGCAAAACAGGCTACAAACCTGTACATCATGTTACTGCACTGAATACTGTAGGCAACTGTAACATAATGGTATTTGTATCTAAACACAGAAAAGGTATAGTAAAAATACAGTATTATAATCTTATGAGACTGCCAACATATACGTGGTCTGTCATTGACCAAAACATCATTATGTAGTGCATGACTATTAAAATTGTGCAAAACAAACCCCTGTATCCATAGTGTTTAAACCATAAAACCAATACCTGGTATATACATGACAAAACAAAGCATGTAAAATAATATGCAGCCTAAAGAATTCAAAGACAACAAAGGTGACAAAGTCAGGTAAAAGAAAGGCAATTAGGGACATAAGATATTTTTTAAAGCAGGAAGCTGATGATGTCCACTGTAAGCCTGGAAGAAACCAGGAGTCTGAACACGGAGCAGTTACTGATAGGAAGGATAAAGTGCTACATCTCTAACAGCAAGCAAATTAACTCTGCTGAAATTGCCAGAATGAAGGCCAAGGTGGTTTTCAGTAAAGAGTGTTCTCCTTGACAGCATAGCCAGCATGTGGTTGAGCCGGGACCTGATACCAGCGAAGTGGAATTGCCGCTCTTTGTTCAAGTTTCTAAGTGAGTCACTCAAGTACAGTTCCAGGTGGGGGGTGCCCAGGTACTTGGGATAGCCAGGATTGTGGAAGTCAGTGGTTCTGATGGAAGCGGGAGAACCAGTGGAG
Source organism: Homo sapiens (assembly GCF_000001405.40). Taxonomy (NCBI): domain Eukaryota; kingdom Metazoa; phylum Chordata; class Mammalia; order Primates; family Hominidae; genus Homo; species Homo sapiens. Next base: position 38,952,228 of record NC_000020.11, on the reverse strand, counting down.
CTTGCCACAGAGCCTTGGGAAGACACAGAGGAGGAAGACTTCAAACTGGAAGATCTCGATACAGACATTTTTGAGACTGGTGACCCTTCTGTAGATTGAGTTCCTCGAGGAAAGAGAATGTTCTCATCCATGTCAGTCTGAGTAGTGGTCGATCTGGACCAAATCGTGGTTTGAGAGCTTGCTATCCTGGTGATGACTGCAGTCTGGGTACCAGCACATGCTGTGGTGATGCTGGTTTGTGTTCCCACCTCACTCACACTCAGCCCTGGCATCTCCTCTCCTGGCTCTGTTTGAGTGGCAGCGTCAATGGCCTTTCTGCTCTGGAGCTCGTCCCTGTGGCTGCTGAAGTAGTCTTCCTCACTAACAGTAGAGGACTCACAGTCATGGGGCTTGCGCTCTGCCTTGCCCTCTGCGGGCATCTCTGGGTCCAGGTCCGCCTTCCTGGGAGTACTTGACAGCCTAGCCAGCCGCATCCGCAGCAGGTTGCCCAGGGTGAGCTCCTTGGACTGTGGTTTTCGGTTGGTGAGGTGATCAAACTTGTTGCTGCTCTGGAAGTGAGACAGGAGTTTGGGGCTGATGGGCTTGGACTGGGCATACAGGATTCGGAACTCCAGATCAAAGTGTTCAACCACTTGGCCAGACAGAATTACCAAGTTACTGCTGTTTAATTTGCCATCCGTCCATGTAAAACTTAAAGATTAAAAAGAAACAAACAGCAGCTGGTAAGGATGAGCAATTTTGTTTTACTCACTGTCCATCTGAATAATATAGTACAGGTATCTTACCACATAAGGGTCACAAATTTGGTGATATCATACCTACCATTTGCATGTATTTAACTAGCCTTAACACATATATAACATTTATGTGTGTTACCATAAAAGTAAAAAGGCCAACTGTTTAACAAACACACTAAATGCTCAGCCTCAGAGGGTTTTTTTGTTTGTTTGTTTGTTTTGAGACGGGGTCTTGCTATGTTGCTCAGGCTGGTCTTGAACTCCTCGGCTCAGGCAGTCCTCCCACCTCATCCTTCCAAAGTGCTAGGATTACAGGTGTGAGCCACCTCACCTGGTCCTTGCCTCAGAGTTTTTAAAAACTGGAAAGGGGGCCAGGCGCGGTGGCTCATGACTGTAATCCCAGCACTTTGAGAGGATGAAGTGGGCAGATCCTTTGAGGTCAGGAGTTCAAGACCAACCTGGCCAACATGGTGAAACCCTGTCTCCAGTAAAAACACATAAAAAATTAGCCAGGCGTGGTGGTGCATGACTGTAATCCTAGCTACTCGGGAGGCTGAGGTGGGAGGATTGTTTGAACCCCGGAGGCAGAGGTTGCGGTAAGCTGAGGTCACACCACTGCACATTCCATGACTGGGCGAGATTCCATGACTGGGCGAGACTCCATCTCAAAAAATTAATTAAAAATAAAAAATAGGGCTTCTAAATATTTAGGCCAGCATCCCCATTTTAAAGGTAAGAAAACTATTTAGGCCAGCACCCCCATCTTAAAGGTAAGGAAACCAGATAAAGGGATTATCACAGAGGGGAGCTACTGCTGGACTCCAGATCAGACCCTAGGCCCTATGAATTGCTAATGCCCTGCTCCTTGCTACTGTTTGAGTGGCAACATCAGTGGCCTTCCTGCCCTCAAGCTTGTCCTTGTGGCTGCTGAAGTAGTCTTCCTCACTAACAGTGGAGGACCCACAGTCATGGGGCTGTGCTGCCATTTTCACAAAACACCATGGCTCAAAACATTTTAGAGCTGATTAGTGGCCATGTGCCCTTGCCTGTACGGTGTCCCTTCCCCGCCTCCCTCCTCTGCTAGCAGAACTCACACCCACCTGTACCCCAGAAAGCTTTCATTATCATACTCTCTCCAACCACAATAGGGGCAGGCATGTGGTCCACACTGGCCAGAGTATCCTATTCCCTTGGATGCAGGGATTCATTCAGGGTGGGCATGTGATCCCACCAGAGCCAAGTAAGTTTTCAGAGATTTCTTTTTTCTTTATCAAATGGATTCTGACAGAAGGGATTGATAGTAATTCTGAGTGAAAGAGTTTCACCCTTTGGGAGACAGCTACTAAAGGCCATATAAGAAAGCCAGGATCTGGCTGGGCACGGTGGCTCATGCCTATCATCCCAGCACTTTGGGAGGCCAAGGTGGCCGGATCACAAGGTCAGGAGATTGAGACCATCCCGGCTAACATAGTGAAACCCCATCTCTACTAAAAATACAAAAAAAAGTTAGCTGGGCGTGGTGGCGGGCGCCTGTAGTCCCAGCTACTCGGGAGGCTGAGGCAGGAGAATGACGTAAACGCAGGAGGCGGAACTTGGCAGTGAGCCGAGATCGTCCACTGCATTCCGGCCTGGGCAAGACTCTTTGTCTCAAAAACAAAAAATAAACAAAGCCAGGATCGTTGACTTCAAAGGGAGAGCCTGCCTAAGAACAAAAGTCAACTCGAAAACATCAGAACCAGGATATAGTGTTCTGATCAGCGTGTGGCTCCTACGTCAAGATGAACTGAAAACCAACTGTACCTTTCTATGCTTCCTTCCGGGTTCTTCGAGTCAGTACGTTTGAGAGTTAGCTGACACTTGCCATCACCCCACTAATGGTGGTATTTGTACCAGAAGTAGGTTTCAAACAGAGATCATAGAACACAGTCAACTCTGTCTCCTGTAACCAAGATATGGCTAATGCAAAGTCCCCCTGAAAACTGCCTTCAAAGCCTGAGAAGGAAGATTCTTTTGAAAGCCTTCAATGAGGCTGGGCCGGGCGCAGTGGCTCACACCTGTAACCCCAGCACTTTGGTAGGCCGAGGCCAGCGGATCACCTGAGGTCAGGAGTCTGAGACCATCCTGGCCAACGTGGCGAAACACCATCTCTACTAAAAATACAAAAATTAGCCAGTCATGGTGGCATGCCTGTAGTCCCAGCTACTCGGGAGGCTGAGGCACAGGAATCGCTTGAATCTGAGAGGCAGAAGTTGAAATGAGCTAAGATGGCGCCACTGCACTCCAGCCTGAGCAACAGAGCAAGACTCCATCACGAAAAAAAAAAAAAAGAAAGCCTTCAATGAGATAATGTAAATAAAGCACCTATCCAACACCAAGATTATAAAACCTCCTCAACAAATGGAAGCTATCATCGTCATCAATTTCATTTGGAGAGGGTAGTTTTTATATTTTAGAACAGCAAAAGTCCATTTGTAGCTAAGTTTGGTTAATATAGATAAATCCTACTTAGGTTAAAAACAAATTTTTTTAATAAACTTCTTACAAAAGGAAATTCCAAGAAAAAGAGTTCAATTTGTTTTTTCCCACAGCCTCTTTGGTGAAGAAAGTTCAAATTTTGTTCTGAGCAATGAGGGTACTGTTGAAAAAGAAAGGTGTCAAGATTTTCTTGATCTTACTGCCTCATTTTCCACAAGCCTTCACATTTCTACCTTTACCCAGGGCTGACACGTAATTATCACTCAGGGTTGTGTGTTTCTTCAAAAATGGGGTTTTCTTTTTAAAATTCTACAGACACACCTCATGCAAACCATCAGACAATCTACCGCAGAGGCGGCAGAACATACAACCATTGGAGCCACATATGTACAAATGGCACAAATTCTAGAGATTCATGTAAACCGCTCATTATCCCCACCCTCTCTTCAACCTTCCTGCTCTCTACCTTAAGATGCCATTGCCAATGTGACACTTCAAAGGTGGGTCAGAAACATAATCAGTATTTTCTAGACTAAAGCTCTAAATTACAAGGCTTGAAGCAACGTGGAGGATTTGAGTCTAAAGCTGACAGCTCTGGCTCTGCCTTCAACACTAATGGAGATGCCTGCAACTGCCCCTACCTTCAAGTGAGCAGGGCAAGCTGGGTCCAGATCCCTAAGGAACCAGGATTCCAGACTGTGTGTTGCTGTTAACCCCCAGTTCGTCCCCTGCAGACCTGGGCCAAGGCTTGAAATCTAGGACTTGCTGACTGTGTTGTCTCAATACAAGTTCAACTTCTGCATTTTAATCTATGGACTACAGGACAGGGGAAGTGACCCCCACCCAAACTGCCTCTAACAGGAGGCTTTGATAACCAGCTGCTATACACAGATGCACGCATATCAGAATGCATGGCCATACAGGCTCCCATTGAGAGGAAAAGGCTTTTACCTTTACATGACATGCTTCTTCTGAAGAGTTTAGATTAATAAGCCTTGGACGGGTTAGAGACTTACCTGTAGGAGCCTGTTGCCACGCGGATGCCATCAATCAACGTGAACTTTTCGTGAACCTTCCCAATAATCTTAGTTCCTGACCTTGCATAGTAGATATTTCCTGTGATAGTCCGAACTGTCATTAACTGTTGGCAGGGAGTGGGAGAAATATAAATGAACAATTCAGCAATACTCATCTGCTGAGCAAATGGTTAGGACAAAAAGCCTTAGTTTACAATTCCCAGATATAATTATTGGCATATGCGTGGCTTAGGGTCACCATTTAGTGACAGTATACATGGTACACTAGCCAGACAGTTCTCAAGCCTCAAGTGATGTTACTTCTACATTTGGTCCATCTTCTCATCTGTTCTTTTCTTATATTTACTTTTGAGACCCTTAGTTCATGCGTGTATGTGTTCTAAAAGAACACTCAACCTTTTTGGGATACTAAACAACAGAATCCAAGAAATGATTCTGAAGCAAAATGTGTGGGATAAAATCATCAAAGAAAACATGCTAGTAATAAAGAACATTTTAGCAAAGTCTGAAAGAAGGTAAGCTGATCTTCCTCCAACTTGTTTGTTTAATGGCATCACATTAGAGTAACAGTCCATCCTCACTCACCCTCAACACCATAATGGGTATGGAGAATAGGAACACAGGACAGGCCTTCTCTAGTACAGGCCTGCTGAGGCAGAAACACTCATATCACATGTGGCTTAACAAGCAATGTCACATCTCCTACAAATACATAATTACCAAAAACGTACACTGGTAGTGGTATGCTGGGGCAATATACTGCACATGTATGCATAATTATTCCTGTAAAATGACACACATAAATGTATAAACAATGGCATACAAAATACTACAACAATCTGCATTCTCTGGAGCAGACCAGTGGCTCTATATCGTTAGAAATCTTACACATTTAAATTAAACGTGTAAGATTTTTGTTTGACTCATTGATTCCATAAACATAGAGAGCCCCTACTATGTGCCAAGCCGTGAGACAACAGAGATGTAAGGCATGCTCCTTACCTTCAAGGACTAGAATAAGAGAGAGAAAACTAATTGATTTAGAAACTACAGTAACACATAACAGCATCCAGAGAAATGAAAACCTATATCCACACAAAACCTCTACACATGTTCACAGCAACTTTATTCATAACAGACAAAAACTGGAAATATCCAAATGTCCTTCAGTGGCTGAATGGTATAAGATACCATACAATACTCAGCAATGAAAAGGAACAAACTGTTGATACGTGCACATCTTGGATGGATTTCAAAAGCACTGTGATGAGAGAAAAAAAGCAAATCTTGAAAGGTCACATACTGTATAATTCCATTTACAAAATAGACTGTAAACGACAAAATTATAGAAATAGAGAACAAATTAGTGGTTGCTAGGGGTTAAAGTGAGGGGAGTGATGTGACTATATAAAGGAGCAGGAGGAGGGAGATCTTTGTGGTGATGGAAACTTCTGTCTGGATATGCATGCATGACGATAACATGGCACAAAGCTGTATACAATGTCAATTTCCAGGTTTTGACATTGTACCATAAGTTACATAAGATGTAACATTTGGGGAAACTGGGTGAAGGGTACATGAAACTTTTCTGTACAATCTTTGCAACTTCTGTTAATCTATCAATATTCAAAATAAGCTAAAAATAAAACACAAAACTATGGCAAGACATAATGCTACTTCTGTGGTCTTCTTACCAAATGCGTAATCTGAATTTAACTTTGATAAAACATCAGACAAACCCAAATTCTACAAAAAATTGTTTTTTTTTTTTTTTTTTTTTTTGAGGTGGAGTCTCACTCTGGAGTGCAGTAGCACAATCTCGGCTCACTGCAACCTCCATCTCCCAGGTTCAAGCAATTCTCCTGCCTCAGCCTCCCGAGTAGCTAAGACTACAGGCACCTGCCATCATGCCTGGTTAATTGTTTTGTATTTTTAGTAGAGACGGGGTTTCGCCATATTGGCCAAGCTGGTCTCAAACTCCTGACCTCAGGTGATCTGCCCACCTCAACCTCCCAAAGTGCTGGGATTACAGGCGTGAGCCACTGCACCCAGCTAGCTAGTATTCTTTAAAGGTGTCAAGATCCAGCCGGGCGCAGTGCCAAATGTCTGTCGTTCCAGCTACTTGGGAGGCTGGTTGATGCAAGAGGATCAATTGAGTCCAGGAGTTCAAGACCAGCCTAGGCAACATAGCGAGACCTTATCTCTTAAAAAAAAAAACGGGGGGTGGGGTGGTGGGGGGGGGGTGGGGGCAGGTCAAGACCCTAAAAGACAAAGAAAGATGGAGAAACTGTTCCAGATTAAATCACATGAAGGAGACTTGACAACTAAATGTAAGGTGTGATCCTGGACTGGATTGGATCCTGGACCATAAAAAAGGGCATTAGTGGAACGACCGGGAAATGTATAAGTCTGTAAATTAGATAGTATTGATATCAAGTTTATTTCCTGATTTTGTTATTTGTACTGAGGTTTGTAAGATGTTAACATGTGGAGAACTTGGGTGAAGAGTATTCAGGAATTTCTTATATTATTTTTGTAACTTCTTTATAAATCTTAAATTATTTCAAAATAAAAATTAAAAAAAGAAAAACGACTAGGGAATGTCATAGAGGTACACCTGGACTTGGTGGGAGGAGAGCTTCCTGGAGGAGGTGATGACCCCTGAGCCAAGTCTTAAAGGATCAACATATAATAAGCATAAGAATACCATTATGGGCAGATTAGGTGTGGTTTTCTGTATCTTTCCCTTTGACACACATCTGAATGTTGCATATGCCTCTGTGATCGTGGCCAAAGCACTTGTGAGCGCCTGCACATCAATGTGTGACCAAGTTCCTACAGACAGCACAACCCAACATTCTGAACCAGCTACAGAGGCAGAGCATGGGGACATCAGCCCCCATACAGCAAGGGGCACAAATTCACTAGCACAGAGAGGAACAGGAGACACAAGCAACCAGGGAAGACAGTGCTTCCCCAGGAAGGAGGTAAAACTACAAAAACTGGGGAGGCCAGAGAAATAGGCCTTTTTTTTTTTTTTTGAGACAGAGTCTCTCTCTGTTGCCCAGGCTGGAGTGCAGTGGCGCGATCTCGGCTCACTGCAACCTCTGCCTCCCGGGTTCAAGCGATTCTCCTTCCTCAGCCTCCCAAGTAGCTGGGACTACAGGCGTGTGCCACCAGGCCTGGCTAATTTTTTATATTTTTAGTAGAGACGCGGTTTCACCGTGTTAGCCAGGGTGGTCTCGATCTCCTGACCTCGTGATCCACCCGCCTCGGCCTCCCAAAGTGCTGGGATTACAGGCGTAAGCCACCGCGCCCGGCCAGAAATAGGCCTTCTTAAACCCCCCTGCAGAGGATCTGGACACCTATGAAGGCAACAACCAACAGTAGGCAACTGAACCGGTGCCTGCTCATAGATTTCTGTCTAGTAGATAAATAGAGAAAATCACTTGACCAAAGTTGTGGCCAGAACAATTCTGTGATTTCTCTGCTAATGCATAGCCTTAATTATAGAAAGAGTACCTTGAAATTAAACACTGATACCTTCCATTTCTTTACCTGGCTAGCTGATAATGCTCTTTTCCATGCCAAAGTGTATCTTCCTTGGGTCCACCTGGACTCATTTTCTAACCACCTGTTGGGTTACATGGCTGTCTCATCTCAATTGGTCTAGAAACCCCAATCCTGTCTTTATCATGAGGCAACCAACAAGAACTCTGTGGGAGAATCTGAATTCTGTAAACCAAATTGCTTGGTAATAATAAGGTGGTAAGTTAGAGTCTCTTAGGCAGTAACTTATAGTACCAAAGACTAAATTCGTTTTGCTGACTGCTTTATATCTAGTACCCAGTGCATAATAGATACTCATACAGGTGATGAACAAATAAAGTTCTGAAGCTCACAGGTTAAGATGCTTAATTTTTACACTTGATCTTAGCCAAAAGGCTGAGAAGCCATGGGTTGCTTAATTTTTAAAAAACAAATTCTGGGCCGGATATGGTGGCTTATGCCTGTAATCCCAGCAATTTGGGAGGCCGAGGCGGGTGGATCAGTTGAGGTCAGGAGTTTGAGACCAGCCTGACCAACATGGTGAAACCCTGTCTCTATTAAAAATACAAAAAATTAGTCGGGTGTGGTGGTGGGCACCTGTAATCCCAGCTACTCAGGAGGCTGAGGCAGAAGAATCGCTTGAACCCGGGAGGCAGAAGTTGCAGTGAGCTGAGATCGTGCCACTGCACTCCAGCCTGGGCAACAAGAGCAAAATTCCATCTCAAAAAAACACAACAACAACAAAAAAACAAATTCTGTAATAAATATGACAATTTTTCTTTCTTCTTTCCATGAAAGTGACCAAGCTAGCTATGTTGTATAGGCTTCCACTGAAACACTTAGGTCATTTTCAGAATCAGAGAAATAGACATAAAATCTAATTTTACAATAATGAGAAATGAACAGCAGCAGCATGTAATAGTGATTACAGACACTGGGGTTGGAGGCAGACATACAAGGAGGCAGACCCTAGGCCCACTACTTTGAAGTGGTGGACACTTGGATTCTCTGTGTCACTATTTCCTGGTCTAAAACACAGGTGCCACTTACCTGATAGGGGCTGCTTTGAGGATTCAGTTACATAACATTTGTTAAAAGCACAGAGCAGGCTGGGCATGGGGCCTCATGCCTGTAATCCCAGCACTTTGGGAGGCCGAGGCAGGCAGATCATCTGAGGTAGGAGTTCAAGACCAGCCTGGACAACATGGCAAAACCCCATCTGTACTAAAAATACAAAAATTAGCCAGGTGTGGTGGTACGCACCTGTAATCCCAGCTAACTGGGAGGCTGAGGCAGGATAATCTCTTGAACCTGGGAGAGGGATGTTGCAGTGAGCCTAGATTGGGCCACTGTACTCCAGCCTGGGCAACAGAGTGAGACTCTATCTCAGGAAAAAAAAAAAAAAAGCATGGAGCAGTGCCAAAGACAGAGTGGGGGCTCAAAAAATACTGGTTGCTGTGATTAAAAGGGCAGCCTCCTGGAGCTACTGTCAAAAGCAGCAACTTCCAGGGTGGCCTTCAGGCCTTCAACAAGGGAGCTGGTCCAGGCTCTATTAAGAGGCAGGACAGTACAGGGGAGAGGCCAAGGTCTTGAATCCTAACATTTCTTTTAAAGAGCTTAACTGAGATCTAATTCACAGATCATACAATTAACACAAATTCTGTAGTTTTTAGTATATCCACAGATATATGCAACCATCATCACCGTTAGTCAATTTTAGGACATTCTCATCAGTTTAAAAAGAAAGTGCTAAAATAAAGTACCCTTTAGCAATAATCCCGTCCTTCCCCCAACTCCCCAGCCCTAGGCAACCACTAATCAATGTCTCTATAGATTTCCCTATTCTGACTTAATGGAATCATATCATATGTGGTCTTTTGTGACCGGTTTCCTTCACTTAGCACGTTTGCAGGTTCATCCATGCTGTAGCATGTATCAGCACTTCATTCCTTTTTATAGGTGAATAGTATGCTATTGTATGAATAGACAACATATCATTTATCCACTTATCAGTTGATTGGCATTGGATTGTTTCCACTCTTTGGCTTTATGAATAATGCTTCTATAAAACTCACACATAAATTTTTGTGGGGGCCCATATTTTCATTTCTCTTGGGTAGACACCTAGGAGAATTGCCAGGTCACAGGTACTGTTTGTTTTCTGTAAGACCAGGCAAATGACTTTGCTCACAGCCTCAGTCCCTTCCTTGTAAACAGGGATACCGCCACCAGCCAGCTTGTAGATAATGGATGCTTGGTCATATTTGTTGACTATGGTGAAACTGGATATAGTGTACCACAAACCTTTTCCTGTTCAGGATGAACTTTCAGATCCATGCACATATCCAGAAATTGAGAGAGGAGAGCCTGGTCCAGAAGGATATACACAGCAACTCCCTGTTTCCTGCATATTTCTTGCAGGTCTCTGAAGATGTCGATGTCTGTGAACACGTCCATGACCACTGCAATCACCTACAGGTGAAACAGGGAAGAGCACATGATAAGCTTATAGGACACCACCTTACAGCACGCTCTCTGGACTCTGGACTCCACTCAGAACTGGGAAATGATCCCTATCCAACAGTTATCCTTCCCTCCCCCTTCTGCAGTGTTGGTGCCCCCCTCACCATGGACTCTTTTGCATCTCCAAAGACACTTGGGCCCCGTGTCCTAGAAATCTTGACTTGGCCTAGCTAACACTCCCAACTCCATGCTGGGAGGTTTCTCAAAAATACAGATCAATCCACTGCCTTGCTCTCTTATGAACCTGCTCCATTCACCTTCTATTCCTCCACTAAACTCCTGTCTTACAGGCTTATTCAGATCAGCAAGCTGTCTGGTTCTGTGGGTAACACACTGTCATCTTTGGCTTGTTGCTTTCCCCACCAGGCTTCAGTTTGCTGTCCGTTAAACAAGTAAATAAAACCTCAGATTCTCTCTGAGGGCCCTTCTGGAGGGTAGCATTCTCGAAATCTATTTTTTAAATTATTGTCTGGTTTTGAATCATAATCTCTGACTTTTTTAAGGCCTGTCCCATTCACCACCAACTCATGACTCGAAAGCAATCGAAGCAGGCCCATGGATTCTCCCTTCTTCTGCCTCCCTAACACTGCATACCATATTTGTTAACATTCTGTTCTTTCTACCAGCCAGGCCTGATCAGCTGTCTGTTGGGCAGGTTCTAACCAAATGACTTCCACTGCACTGGCCTCTCCTCAGTAAAAGGTTCTCTCTGCAGTTCTTTGGTATCCGTCCATAGTGCAAGCCCACAGCAAAGAACAGGGAAATATTTCCTAAGGATTCTGCCCTTAAGCTCAGAACAGGCCTTTCTTCTCCCCAACAACATGGCTCCATTCATGCCTCCCAAGTGATTTTCCACACCTAGCATCAGACTACAATTAAGAGCTACCTTTTAGCCATGCATTCCTGGGCAAATTACAGCTGTTTCAAATGTCTGTTTCCTTAGCTGCAAAATAGGGTTGTATCGAGAACTAAATGACTATGTTACATAAAGTGCAAGGTACAAAGGATCCCTTAGTATCTGCTCGTTTATTCACTTTACCAGTCCAGAGCTGGAGCCGTCCAGACAGTTCAACACAGGGAGACACCGCCTAGCTTTCCTCGCTCTTTTAAAGACAGGCTGCTCCTGCCACAATGCCTCTAATCACACCTTTTGCAGGCTTAAAACCAAGGTCCTCAGCAAACTCCTGGCAGGGCAGTGGGGGTGTCCAAACCTCCAGGCTTAGAAACAGGTCCTGACAAACTGAGTCAGAAGTTGGGGGTGTTAACTAAGGAAGCCGAGGCTTGGGGGCTCTTCTGTAGTCTGGAGATATAAGGGTTTCTCCTTCCTCCCCATTTCCACAGTAAAAGCCTGTCTCTCAGAATCACATTAACTCTTTTTCTGAAAGTTAGGATTATTCATTTATGGGTTTCACTCCTTCTCCTGCAGCAAAGGCTCTTGAATGGGATTGAGTCATTTCTGTGGTCCCAGAGGACTTAGGACAGTATATGACAGTCATGACTCCTTAAGGATTTGGGGGATTAAAGAAGGAATGAAGAGGCAAAAAGGCAATTTGGCTGTCTTTCTCCAACACTCCAGGGCCTGGTCTACTAGGATGTGAGACCCTGAAACACCAGTTCCTGGGAAGTCATTGCTGTGAGGGGGTTGAGAAGACCAGTTACTCTCCTGCTGCCTTTCCCACCCCACCCCTTTTAATGATGGTCTAAGCTGTGGGCTATTCTTGGTAAAGGGCATGGCTGAAACCCACTGAACACAGTGATTTAAAAAATGAGAAGCGTTCTTTCTGAATTTGTGGCATCCTCTGAAGTTTACATCCTCCACTGGCTTTACACATCCTATTTTGACAGTTCTATTCATCCCACTCATTCGGGTCATACAACAGGAATTAAAGGCAAAAGTTCTGGGCATAGAACCCAGCTCTACCACCTACCAGCTGTGTGACCCTGGGCAAGTGGCTTAATCTCTCTGAGCCTCAGTTTCCTCCTCAGGAAGACAAAATTAATAGCATCTGGGTCAAAGGGCTGCTGTGAGGATTAAGTGAAACAAAGCATGGAAAGGGCTTAGCACAGGGAGGGCAAGGCAGGAAACAGGTGCTATTATGCAGCCAGCACCTCCTCAGAGCACGCTGTGGGCTGCACACTGCACTAGGCAGAAAGATGGCTATGAGGAATTTGACATAGACCCAACTTACCTCAAGGAGAGGACACAGGATGCAGAGAGGCAAAATGATATATACAGCCTAAGCAATTAAACTAAGGGGGCCGGGCATGATGGCTCATGCCTGTAATCCCAGTGCTTTGGGAGGCCGAGGTGGGTGGATTACCTGAGGTCAGGAGTTTGAGAGCAGCCCGGCCAACACGGTAAAACCCCATCTCTACTAAAAATACAAAAAATTAGATGAACATGGTGGCATGCACCTGTCATCCCAGCTACTAGGAAGGCTGAGGTACAAGAATCACTTGACCCTGGGAGGTGAAGGTTGCAGTGAACCGAGATCGCACCACTGCACTCCAGCCTGGGCAACAGAGCAAGACTCCATCTCAAAAAACAAAACAAAACAAAACAAAACAAAAACAAGGTGTCTCCTCCAGTGGTGGACTATGGGCACTATAGGTACTCAAATGCTTACCAGATAAGAGCAGGGAAGGCTTCCTGGAGGAGATGGCATTTGAGCTGAAGCACAAGGACAAAATTTGGACAAGGGCATGGGAGAAGTGAAGGGAGGAGAAGGCATTCCCGCAGGAAGCCACATGATAACAGAGGAAGAGGTAGGGCATGACGGGGTATGTACCAGTCTGGCTGGAACGTACAGCATGCATGAAAGGGAGCCACGGGACATGACTGGAAAAGACGGATGAATGAGCAAGATCACAGAAGGCCCTGAATGCCAACCAAGGAATCAGTTTCAATCTTCCCCACATTGCCTGTATAAGAGTAATGAGTTCGAAGTGAAGAATCCAACAGGATGGAAGAAACTGATGCCAGAAGAGATTGGTATAGGTCAGAGATCTGGGCCCACCTCCTCCAACACAGGACCTGCAACACAGCAGTCACGTGGATATTCTTTAGGTTAAGCAACTTCAATAAATGTTTAGGAGGACTAGAGACCAGATGAAGACAAATCAGTAGCACGGCAGAAGCAATGAGGGTTGCAGAAGAGGGAAGGAGATCATGGGAGAGCCGAGCAGTGGGCGACATGGGCTGAGGATGACAGGGAGAGGGATATTCAGATACAAGGAAACAGGAAACACAAGACAAGAAGCAAGAGTGAGGGGTGAGCTTCGAAACGGATTTTGAGGTGGCAGTAAAACCTTCAAAAAGAGGTTTGGAATATGCAGGTGTACAAATGAGAGTAGAGCTCACAGGAGAAAGCTAAAGAGGAAAATGCACACACCTGCTTGCCTCTCTGATTTCCCACTCTTCTTTCAAATCTTCATTGTGGACCCAATCGAGGCAGGCAGGTGTTGAGCACTGAGGATCTAGTGTCAATCCCTGTCCTCAAGAACGCAGTCTAATGAGACAGGAGACAAGCCAGGGGTAACAGAGTGTGACGGGCCAAAGGACACGTTCCCTCAGTGCTACTGGAACAGAGATCAGAAAAACCCAGCCCAGCTGCTGGATTAGAGACCTGCTGGAGGCAGGGGCATGGGCCTGGGGGCCCACAGCACAAGGCACGGCCAAGCTGAATTTTGATTCACCACTTAACAAAACAATTGTGCAACACCTTTGTTATATGGTGAGTAAATACCTAATTTGCTATTTGTTCCATTGTTTGGTTTTAAAGCCTCACCCTTTCCTGTGCGTTGGATTTGAACACTAGTCCTTAACACCATCAGGGTGCGTAGGGTTGATGGAGGTTTTTTTCTTCCCCTGACTTCCCCTACACCCAGCATCCACTCCTTTCTTACTAAAGCAGGACTCTTAAAAATATTCGTCTATTTTTTTGTTTCTGGAGATGCAGTTTCACCCTGTCGCCCAGGCTGGAGTGCAGTGGTGTGATCTCGGCTCACTGCAACCTCCGCCTCTGAAGCACAAGCAATCCTCCCACCTCAGCCTTCCAAGTAGCTGGGACTACAGGCACACGCCACCACACCTGGCTAATTTTTGTAGACACAGAATCCCACCATGTTGCCCAGGATGGTCTCCAACTTCTGAGCTTAAGTGATCCACCCACCTTGGCCTCCCAAAGTGCAGAGATTACAGGCATGAGCCACCATGCCCAGCCAAAAGTACTTGTCTTTTACAGAGGAAAAGTCCATAGTCCTACTGTAGAAGCAATCAGTAGGGAAGTCTTCCTTCAAATCCCCATCCCCATCCCCCATTCCTGTGTCCCAGCCCTCATGCAACCAATCCCTGCATAGCTGAAGTAGACCTGGGGCTAGACTGAAGGGACACTCTCTTCACTGAGCTGAGCAATGACCTGGACTCATCCACTAACCGGCCGAGTCCTGCTTTCCAAGCCAGGATGCAACTCCTAGGTATCCGGTGCTCTTGCTGCAGCCTGTGGGTCCAGAAATACACCTGATGTGTATTTGGCCACTGCTCCCACTCCTGGAGGCAATAATGTGCGAAGGACAATGGCATGTCTGGAAGGCAGGCAGCCCTTGCACATCAAGTGCCCACAGTCATGGCACTCTCCCAGTCTGTGCTGCATGGAGCCCACCCACTCTCTAAGGACTAGAAAGTCGTGAGAGTGGTGACTTTCAAGAGTCCCTTCCAGGGTCAACACCCATTTGCAATTTGCAACTCAGTGCAAGTCAGTTACAACAGGAGACGTGAGGAGGACGCATCCAGCTGGTCAGGGGCATAATGGCCGGCCTGCTGACCAGGACCCCACTGTTCCTGCACTTCTCCAGCCATATCTGGAGCAGCTGCATGTGTGTCCACTCTCACATCATCATCTCAGGTAACAAATCACAAGCCTACCTCTCTCAGTCCTTCTACCTGTCCCCTCCTGATTTGTACCAAGGGACTTGGGAACCTATGTAGTTGAACAGCAGACGTCATGATGGCCTTCTTGGTCTCTGGGAAGGTCACAGACCCTGTTTATGTTACTTGCCACATAGAACTGAACTCTTTTCTGCTTGCCTTCTTGCACAAAAGCTCAAAAGTGCTATCTAGAAATTTCAAAACCCCATTACCTGTCATCCCCAATTTATAGATGAGAAAGCCAAAGCTTGGAGAGGTTAGGTAGCTTGTTCAAGGTGACAAACTTAAACAAGTACAAGGGCTGGAATTTCAACCCAGGTCTCTGTGACTCCGGAGCCATCTAAAAAAAGTACTATACTCAGTATTTTATATCATTCCAACCAAGTTTAATGGGCAGTTTTTCACATGACTGGAAGCTTAGAACAAACACTAAAGGATCAGTGGCGTAGCCCATGAAGTGCATGGGCTCAAGCTCACCACGGATGATTGACAGTACCTATCTCATAGTGTTTGCTGGCAGTTCCTGGCATATGGAAAGCCCTTAAATGGCAGCTACTCATATTCTTAGTCCCGATTCCGTCACTATCCCTGGACAAGCCATTCCATCTGAGTCTCGGTGTCCTTGAAACAAGGAACCCTTCCAGCTCTGCGAAGTCAGTGATTCATACACACTCAATGGGCAGGTCTAGGCTCTGACCAGGCACATGTGCAGCCCCAACAGGCCCCTCAGGGCCAGTCATTCCAGTTCTCATTCTAGCTCTTCTTCCTCTGTGTGAAGGAGGAAGTTCGTACCGATCACCCCTTCTCACTGCACCTCAGTTTCCCTCCCTTCCCTCCCAGAGTCATAAAGTGAGGTCAGGTGTGCAACATGCTTGGAATTCCACCAAAGATCTGCACCCACTCAATGTCAGCCTGTGCTGTGGTCAATAACATCCTGGCTGCTGCATTCTCCCAGCTGACCACATGGCCTCCATTGACCCTTCACTTCCTCTCCTAACTCTCTCAGGACCCTCTTGCTAAAAAAGCAAAAGATATATTTTCTCTCCATGTATTACATGTTTTAATAGAACAGAAATAATCTCCTTGGGATTTTGTCAAAAACCTTTAAGTAACTATCTTGACATCTTTGGGGTTTAAAAACAAAAAAGAATGTAAATTCCCACAGCGAAACCTAAACTTGCTTGTGTGCACTGTTCTCCCTCTGTTTCAGAGGCTATTATCAAATTAACAATTTAGGCCCGGCACGGTGGCTCACATCTGTAATCCCAATACTTTAGGAGGCTAAGGTGGGAGGATCACTTGAGGCCAGGAGTTTGAGACCACTCTGGGCAACACAGTTGACATCCTGTCTCCAGAAAAAATTTTTTTAATTATCTGGGCGTGGTGGCATGTGCCTTTAAGTCCCAGTTACTCGGGAGTCTGAGGCAGGAGGATTACTTGAGCCTGGGAGGTCGAGGCTGCAGTGAGTCATGATTGCACCACTGCACTCTAGCCTGGGCAACAGAATGAGAACTTGTCTCAAACAAACAAACAAGCAACCAAATAAAACAATTTAAGTATTAGATGAAAGTGCTGGCAGGGCCACCAGAGGGTGGCAGGAGCAAAGTTTTCACTGATCTCTGGAGGGACTGACCACTATTCAGTACTCTGTACTATTCCAGCATGAAGTACACAAGCAGGTGGGCTTTTCAAAGGGGAGGGAAAAGCACCAAGAAGTTAGGGGGTAGGGGGAGGAGGGCTTATCATTTTGAATTGTTTTTATTTTATAAGTATGTAAAACATTTGCCTAGTTCCAAAATCCAATTTACAAAACAAGGTACTTTCAAAGATACTTAGTTTCCATCCTTGTCCCTCCTCCCCATTGAGATAATATTTCCAATAGTTTTTTGTATATTCTTCCATTTTTTCAATATAAACAAGTATACACAGGTGTATATAAACATATTTGTTTTATATAAACATGTGTATTATGTATATAACTATGTATATGTGCTTATATCCCCCTATAGGTAAAAGGTAGCATGGAATACTACACATTGTTCTAGACTAGCGTGGCCCAATAGAACCTTCCAAGATGACAGAACTGAATCTTTATTTAATTTTAATCCATATAAATTTTAATAGCCTCATATGGCTACTACACTGGTCAGTACCATTCTAGATACCGCATATCAGAGCTAGTCCTCATTCCTTCTTAGAGCTACAGGATGTTCCACTGCAGAGACGAATCGGTTCATTCACAATGATGAACTCATCCTCTACTGACGAACACCTGAACTCTTTCCTGTGTTTTGCTATTATAATTAGTGTTGCAACGCATGGCCTATTGTCTACAACTATTCATATTTTTGCCAATATATCAAGATACAGAGAAGTGGAAGTGGTAGATCAATGGGTAAATATAACTGAAATTTTGCTAGATATTGCCAAATTCCCTTCCAGAGGTTATATCATTTGCATCAAGAATTTTTTTTTTTTTTTTTTTTTGAGACGGAGTTTCACTCTTGTTGCCCAGGCCGGAGTGCAATGGCACGATCTTGGCTCATCACAACCTCCACCTCCCAGGTTCAAGCTATTCTCCTGCCTCGGCCTCCCAAGTAGCCAGGATTACAGGCATGTACCACCACAACCAGCTAATTTTGTATTTTTAGTAGAGACCGGGTTCAAGATTTTTTTAAGCCAATATATCCACTACATTTTTGGGTTTTGCTTGCTTTTTTCCTGAAGTAACATACCTTCTATCCATAAAGAAGTCAGAGAAGAATTCTGCAGCTTCATTACTGTCTGCTAGACGCTAAGGGAAAAGAATAAAGAAATGGCAGACAGAGGCCAGGCATGGTAGCTCACGCCTGTAATCTCAGCACTTTGGGAGGCCGAGGAGGGCAGATCACGACGTCAGGAGCTTGAGACCATGCTGGCCGACATGGTGAAACCCTGTTTCTACTAAAATACAAAAAAATTAGCCGGGCGTGGTAGCGGGCACCTGTAGTCCCAGCTACTTGGGAGGCTGAGGCAGGGGAATCGCTTGAACCCGGGAGGCAGAAGTTGCAGTGAGCTGAGATGGTGCCACTGCACTCCAGCCTGGCGACAGAGCGAGACTCTCAAAAAAAAAAAAAGAAAGAAAGAAATGGCAGACAGAAAGTAGAATGGTGGTTGCCGGGGCCAGGAAAGGAGGGTATGAAGAGCTAGTGTTTAATGGGTACAGAGGTTCACTTTGGGAAGCTGAAACAGCTCTGGAGATTCGGCTAGTGACAGCTGCACAACAGTGTGAATGTATTTAATGCCACTGAACTGTACACTTACAAATGGTTAAAATGGTAAATTTTGCTACGTATTTTTTACCACAATATTTTTAAAGAGAAATGGCTAAATTCTAAAATCCTTAACCTGACACATGAAATCAAAAGGAAGGGATAAATAGTAGCAACACTTCAGTCCAGTGGGTAATGTCCCATAATGATGCACTAGTGAGAACTTCTAGGCCAGTGGTTCACAACTGGAGGGCGATTTTGCCCCCACAGGGCATTTAGCAATGTCTGGAGACATTTTTTTATTGTGGTAAAATAGATAAGTTTGCCATCTTAATAATTTTTAAGTGTACAATTCAGTGGCAATAATTACATTCACAACCATCACTACCATCTGTTTCTAAAACTTTTTCATAGCCCCAAACAGAAACTCTGTGCCCATTCATCAGTAACTCACTATTTCCCACTCTGGAGACACTGAATATCATGACTACCTGGTGTGAGGGATGCTATTGGCATCGAGTGAATGGGGGCCATGGATGCTACTCAACGTCCTACAATGTACAAGACAGCCCCTCAGGACAAAGAATTATCCAACCCAAAAGGTCAACAGTGCTGAGGGTGAGAAGCCCTGCTTGGGGCTGACATGAGCATTTGGAACAGAAACTGATCACACCACACAGGCTCTACTGTAATGCAGAGGAAAGTTGTGCAAGAACAGGAAAGCCTTCATTCAGATACATCCAAGTAAATGCCAGGGGCCCCCAACAGATTCCTAAGCTGCTACTCCTCCTGGCAGGGCTCTCTGGGAACGCAATGATCCCCACTACTAACGCTCAGGTTATCAAGAGGATGCCCGAGGGTGAGGTCATAGCAAAAGTGGCCTCTTTGGAACAAAAGAGAATAGGCACTGGTAAGAAACGTGACTCTGAGGAATTGGAACCTCGTGGTGGTACCAGCTTTGCCTCTGAACTCTCATTCAACAAACCAGGAATAGCCGGACAGCCAATTCATAAGCACATTGCCAAAATGAGGCTATGTAGCCCTTCCAGGCAGGCGGCCACAGCCCAGCCAAATCCCAGTTCACACAGCAACAGAGGCAAAAAGCTGAATGCGTCATCAACAGATACAGTGGTGGAGGGGTGGATCTACAGCAAGTATGTAGGGAAAATATCCTGTATAATTCAAGATTATCCAAAAACTTGCTTAGGAAACAAACATATGGGTTCTCAAAAGGTTCAAAACAGTATTTCCTCCAATTTTGGTGAAGCTCGCCTGAGCACCTGGTAAGCAGCCAGCTTGTATTCAAGCCATGCTATACGTAATTGTGTTTTTATTTATTTTTTAGAAACAGGGTCTTGCCCTGTCACCCAAGCTGGAGTGCACTGGCATGATCATAGCTTACTACAGCCTCCAACTCCTGGGCTCAAGTAATCCTCCTGCCTCAGCCTGCTGAGTAGCTGGAACTACAGGCACATGCCACCACACCCGGCTAATTTTTTAACTTTTTGTAGAGATGGGATCTCGCTATGTTGCCCAGGCTGGTCTCAAACTCCTGGCCTCAAGGAATCCTCCAGCCTTGACCTCCCAAAACACTGGGATTACAGGCATGAGCCACCGCGCATGGCCAAACCATTTGTTTTTAAACACTGTACCTCATTCAGTGTGGCAGAATGCCCACACTTTGAAAGGTATATAGAAACAAGAGTCAAGGAAGGGGCTGGCAGATTCACAAACCCCAGGCACAGCCACCCAGGGACAAATACTTGCTGAGTGGAAAGGCAGACAGAATCACCTGAACTACTTTTCTTCCTATCTACCGCTCCCTTCCCCCTGCCCTTTATTTCTCCTCAAAGCATGTAGCTGAATGAGCAAAGGTGCACATAATAGGCCCCTACAGTATTTACTGAGCATCTTTTATGTATCAGACACACTGAGTGATTCTGTGTGGTCAGAGAGCTGCTGGATAAAACCTATCCCAGAACCAGCGCTTCAGGCTGCAAAGCCAGGATTAGGCCCTACCATTTACCAAGTAACCCTGGCTTCCTGTGCCTATACTCTGGTCAAGGAGCCTCGTATCCTGGCTCCTTCCAGAGACATTCCTGAAGATGCAGGGTGGTCCTCAGACCACCTCAGTGAAGGCAGATAAAGCTGCATGGAGCGAACACTGAGGTTCGACCGTGCTCTACTGCAGCCTGGCCCCAACCTCTGGGGTTAAGTGGGACCCTTCATGTGGCATTCAAAGTTCCTTCATTCACCCACCAAAAGATTCTCACAGATCCCTCTGCTCCAGGTACCAGAAACATCTATCTGGCTCTATCTTTCCCAGGGAGAGGAAAACACACTCTAGTTTACAAAACCTAAACTCAGAGACCTATGTTCTCCTGGCATCATGAACCACCTTCCCCACTTGATGGGTTGAGGAGGTTCTCTGCCAGCCTTAATGCCTCCTACTCTAAAAACTGACCACCTCGTTTTCTTCCTGAAAAGGACAGGTCTAGTCATTGTCATTTTCCTGTTTATAGAATACGCAACATGGAAATTAAAAAGTCCCAATCTTCAACTGTTACAAACCTTCAGCCTGTTGAAAACTACCAAAGCTCCAATCCTTCCTCATGGCAGGGAGGCTGTATGCAGCAGGGATTAGGAGTGTGGGCTTCAGTGGCCGGGCACAGCGGCTCACGCCTGTAATCCCAGCACTTTGGGAGGCCAAGGCAGGTGAATCACTTGAGCCCAGGAGTTCAACACCAGCCTGGGCAACATGGCGAAACCCATCTCTACTAAAAACACAAAAATTGGCCGGGCGCAGTGGCTCACGCCTGTAATCCCAGCATTTTGGGAGGCTGAGGCAGGCAGATCGCGAGGTCAGGAGATCAAGACCAGCCTGGCCAACATGGCGAAACCCCATCTCTACTAAAAATACAAAAATTAGTGGAGGGTGCCTGTAATCCCAGCTACTTGGGAGGCTGAGGTAGGAGAATCGCTTGAACCTGGGAGGCAGAGGTTACTGAGAGCTGAGACTGTGCCACTGCACTCCAGCCTGGGCCAAAAGAGCAACTCTGTCTCCAAAAAAAAAAAGAAAAAATTAGCTGGGCATGGTGGTGTGCTCCTGTAATCCCAGCTACTCGGGAGGCTGAGTCAGGAGAGTCACTTGAATCCAGGAGGTGGAGGTTGCAGTGAGCTAAGATCATGCCACTGCACTCCAGCGTGGGTGACAGAGCAAGACTCTGTCTTAAAAAAAATAATAACAAACAACAAAAAAAAAACACTTGAGCTTCAGAGCTGGAACTAGACAGACTTGGGCTTGAGCCCAGCTCTGTCCCATGCTAACTGTGTGATCTCAGGCAAGTTACTTAACTTCTCTGTGCCTGGTCTTTTCTTAATTGTAGCCTCCTCCCAGTGTTGGGAGGGTTAAATGAGGTAATTCAGGTCAAGGGTTTAGCACAGAAACTGACCCATTCAAAGTGCTCAATCATATCACCATTAGGTACCTTTGCTATCAGAACACGGATGCAGAACAGCTTCTCATTTCATCCTGAAAGCAGCCTGAGACCTACACCTTCATGGTCCTCGCTGTCACAGGTACTAGATTTCAAAGGATGTGGTCAAGGTGACACAGCCACTCCCTTGTCCACAATGCATGCCCATAAATAGTAGTAGCTCTTAGCTAGCCACCAGATCTGCTGTCACCTCTCCCCACCTGAGCACAGGCTCCTGAACCCTCCACAGGGAGTGTGGTGGTTAACAGTGGTTCAGACATTCTGTGCCTCAATTTGAGTACAGGCTCCTTCATTCTCTAGCTGCATGACTTCGGGGCCACTTAACTTCTCTATGCCTCAGTTCTATCAGCTGTAAAATGAAGATGATAATCGCACCTTCCTTGGGATCACCTAGAACAGTGCCTGGCAAACAGAAAGCATTACTTTTTTTTTTTTTTTTTTTAAAGAGACAGGGTCTCCCCGTGTTGCCCAGGCTGGAGTGCAGTAGCCATTCACAGCGTAGTCATAGTGTACTACAGCCTCAAACTCCTGGGCTCAAATGATCCTCCTGCCTCAGCCTCCTGAGTAGCTGGGACTACAGGCACATGATACCATGGCCTGGCTTTTTTTTTTTTTTTTAAACAAAAGAGATTGTCTTTGGGACCTCAAATTCAGCACTGTCTCAAACCCAACTCATTTCAGCATCCCTTACCCCAGCTTCCTCTCCTACCACTAACCCGCTGTGGGGAATTTGGCTGCCCCCAAACATTCCAGGTCCTTAAACACTTGTGGGCCAGCCCCCATACCCTAGGTCTGGCAAGCCCCACCCAGCTCTGAGGTCACTGCCACTCCGGAGACTTTCTTTCTTTAGCCCTTTCCGCAGTACCTGCAGCAAACTCCTCACTGTTTCCCATCAGCACACTGTCCACTCTCAAGTGTTGGCAAGGATGATGCCTTCCCCTGTGGCCCCAGCCATGGTAGTGTCTGATACACAGCAGGCAATGAGTAAGCAAATAATTTGGCATCTATCGGACACACTGAAAATACTCATTGGATTTTTTTTTTTTTTTTTTTCCGAGAGGGAGTCTTGCTCTGTCGCCCAGAGCTGGAGTCCAGTGGTGTGATCTCAGCTCACTACAACCTCCACCTCCCAGGTTCAAGCAATTCTCCTGCCTCAGCCTCCCAAGTAGCTGGGATTACAGGCACGCACCACCACGTCCAGCTAATTTTTGTATTTTTAGTAGAGACGGGGTTTCACGATGTTGGCCAGGCTGGTCTCGAACTCCTGACCTCGTGATCTGCCTGCCTCAGCCTCCCAAAGTGCTGGGATTACAGGCTTGAGCCACTGTGCCCAGCCAATACTCATTGGATTTAAAGGTAATGTACCACCTTTCTCAGTTAAAACTGCCCAGGTTCCAAATACAGCATCTCGGAGGGAACTGTGGGTAGCTAGACTAGGGCAGCAGGTTCTATCTGGAAATGTCAGTATTACAAAATGCCCGTGAGATGAGGGAGAGTCTGAGCTCCTGGCTCCATCCCCTCCTCACGCCAGCACGTGAGTTTAATAGTTTCCCTCTGGCCTCTAGTTCCAGTGCCCTTTTGCTATCACTAAAATTTGGGGCTGGGCAAAAGACTAGAACAATCCACAGCTCTCACTATACAGACCAGTTCTTTACATTTTTCAGGTTCCAAGTGCTCAAGTTCTACTGGACATGAGCTTTGGGGATGCATACCTACACAAGTCTGCCTTTTCCATCTTTTTAATCTTTTCACTGAACCCGCAAGGAAAATGTCTGCTGCATCAAAAAACCCTCAGTCCACCCAAAGCACCTCAGGGCTGGTAAGAGCCTAGCTGCAGCCCACAACCACTCCCTCAAAGGCAAGGCACTAGGTCACTGTATCCACTACCACTGAAACCCCACCAGTCAGGGAAAGAACATTAAGAACATTGGTGAGAGTCGGGGCTTGGACATGTCAACCTGACAATGCACTGGTATCTTCACCCACACTCAGACACACTCAGGTACCAGCCCTAACAAGTCTTAACATGGCTGGGGCTTTATCTGCCATGTCCCTGGCACAGGCAGATAGCCAGGGAGCTGGGCACTGCCAGTCAGCAAGCAACCTGACCATGGCTCCAGACCAAGGTGTCTGCCACGACACTCTATGTGCCACACCCACCTGCAGGCTGCCTTCTTCCTCCTTGATCCCCAGCACCCTGCTGCAGCTTTATCGAGGCTGGCAAGCAGACAAGACCTCCATTGCACCCATGACCATGCCATACTAAGAGTCAGACAGTAGGACCAAAACCCACTATGAATACAGAAGCCGATCTAATGCAAATGTATCTGCATTTTAGGAGACCACTGCAATCTGGCACAGACCCAGCCTATGGAAAACAAACCCCTTGCCCCAGTTTCCCCTCCAGTCTCTGGCAGTAGAAAAAGCGGCAGGGGGCCGGGTGCGGTGGCTCACGCCTGTAATCCTAGCACTTTGGGAGGCCGAGGCGGGTGGATCACCTGAGGTCAGGAGTTCGAGACCAGCTTGGCCAACATGGAGAAACCCCGTCTCTACTAAAAATACAAAAATTAGCCGGGCGTGGTGGCGGGCACCGGTAATCCCAGCTACTTGGGAGGCTGAGGCAGGAGAGTCACTTGAACCCGGGGGACGGAGGTTGCAGTGAACTGAGATCCCACCACTTCACTCCAGCCTGGGCAAAAGAGAATCTGTCTCAAAAAAAAAAAAAAAAAAAAAAGACAAGAAAGAAAAAGCGGCAGGGCTCTCACTTTGCCACTCTCGTGTTTATCTGCTTTTTACAGCAAAAGATGCATGAAAGTAATTAGCAATAATAATTGCTTCCTAATGCCCCGTAGTTGTCTCTGGAGACCATCTTTCTGGAACTTTCCCTGCGTAAGTTCTTTGGTAATGAGTCTCCTAAGAAGCTCCTGAAAGTGGGATCTAGCGTTGGCTGACAGACAGGGAAATAGGCAATTTTCCAAGTTTGATTTTAACTGAAATTTGGAACTCAGAGTACTTCTGGTCCCTCCTTCAGGGATATGAACGTTAGGAGATGGAACCCGGGCACAATTCGCATCCTTGGGAACCGAGGCTTTCCCACTATCCCCTGCCACGAGGAGCGGCCCGGGGGATCCGGGGGAGACACGCAGAGTGGGGTGTGAGTCGGAGACCCTGGGACCACCTAGCCCGCGCGCGCTTCCGGTAGGGCGCAGAGGAGGTAGTGGCCCCGGCCCGTACTCCCAGCAGGCCTCAATTTCCCATTCTTGAAGGGGGTCTCCCGTGCGACCCAGGGCCCTGGAGGGCCGCTCACCTCTCGCGCCGAGCGGAGCTGCTGGCGCAGAGCGTCCTTGCAGCCGTAGGGGCCACCTTCGCCAGCGCCGCGGGGCTGGAAGTGCGTCTCGACACGCGTGGCGCCGCGGTAGGCGCCCTGGTAGAAGGCGGGCCAGCCAAGCTCCAACAGCGGTGGCTCCAGGTCCGACTGCTCGGGGAAGTAGGTGCCCGAAGAGCAGTCGTGCGAGGAGCCGAACGAGTCCTCGGCCGCCGCCGCCGCCGCCGCGCCCTCCTCTCCCGGCCTCTCCGCCGCGCGCAGAATGGCGTGCACCTCATCGGGGTTCAGGAAACGAGCCAGGCGCTCGCGTCGCAGGAAGGCCGCGAAGGCTTCGGGGCCGCCCGCCACCAGCTCCTCCAGAGCCAGGCGCCGTGACTCGCTGAACAGCTCGGTCGGGTTGGGCGGCCCGCACGGCGACAGGCAGGCGGCGGGCACCTCGTCCAGGCCCTCGGACAGCAGAGCCATGGCGGCGCTCGGACTCGACAGCCCTCGGACAAAAACCGGCGTGCAGTCCCGCTTTATAGGCAACCTTTGAATCAAACAGGCCCGCGCCATTGGCCGCACCTCCCCGCCTCGGCTCTCCCATTGGCTGCTTTCCTTCCAATAGCGGAGCGAGGCGGGGCGCAAGCCT
The DNA here is from genome assembly GCF_000001405.40 of Homo sapiens. Classification (NCBI taxonomy): domain Eukaryota; kingdom Metazoa; phylum Chordata; class Mammalia; order Primates; family Hominidae; genus Homo; species Homo sapiens. The sequence goes on along the minus strand of NC_000020.11, from coordinate 38,926,276 downwards.
CTACGGCTCCGCCCCCTGATGCGTTATTGGCTGCGATGCTGGGCTTGCTAAGAGGAATTTAAACTTGCAGGGGCGAGGCGGGCCGCAGAGCAGGGACAGAGCGGGGAGAGCCGAGCTCCTGGCCATCCCAGCGCGCCCCCTGCCGGTCGCCCCGCTGCGCGGCCGTGCAAGGCCAGGGACAGTCAGGCCTAGACAACGAGGAGAGGCAGGTGCCGACTCCCGGAGACTCTGGCCACGCTGCTCCTAGGCTCTCAGTGCTTTGGCATGGCCAACCATATCGCCTTTATCACCTGCCTTTAACCATGTATTCATTCATTCAAAGAATACCGGCTCATCGTATTAGGACTGCTCCTTTGATTACACCCTCGGGTAGTCTTCTCTCATTTCATCGATTTTTGCCTTGTAAAACCCCAACCAACCGTGGTTATACCCTACTTTCCACCTGCACCCCGGCAGCCCTACAGGGCTGAAGAAAAAACAAAAAGAGCGTAACCATGCTTACTGACTGGTCATGTTTTAAATTCATAATCCGTAAGACTGCCTGCTAGGAGGCCGGGCGCGGTGGCTCACGCCTGTAATCCCAGCACTTTAGGAGGCCGAGGAGGGCGGATCACCTAAGGTCAGGCGTTTGAGACTAGCCTGACCAACACGGTGAAACCCCGTCTCTACTAAAAATACAAAAATTAGCCAGGTGTCTTGGTGTACGCCTGTAATCCCAGATACTCGGGAGGCTGAGGCAGGAGAATCACTTGAACGCGGGAGGCGGATGTTGCAGTGAGTCGAGATAGCACCACTGCACTCCAGCCTGGGCGACAAGATCGAAACTCCATCTAAAAACAAAACAAAACAAAACAAAAGCAAACAAACAAAAAAACTGCCTGGTAGGCCGCATTTCCCTCATTCTCTCTACCTTTTCCTCTCTGACAGCTTGTCTTCCATGTCAGCAAGAACACAGAAACAGTAAGAAGGGAACGTCCACGTGCGGCCATCTAGTCTACCTTCCTGTCTGCATCTCTGCCCGTATACTGGGCATTGATGAACTGTGCCTGTGCCCATCCAACCCCAACCCCTCTGCCTGGGCATTTCCAGCCCCTCTACTACTCACCAGCATCGCTCCAGCAATCTTCTTCTTTCTCCTGGAACATCAGCTTCCCTCTTTACCGATTCATTTCTATCAGCCTACAAGCATGCTGAAATATTTTTCATCTTAAAACAACCCTCTCTTGACCCTACATTCCTCTAAAGCTCCCCATCTCACTTCTTATTTTTGCAGCATAGAATCTCAGATGTGGCTGGCCATGGTGACTTACACCTGTAATCCCAGCACTGTGGGAGGCCAAGGGAAGAGGATCACTTGAGCCCAGGAGTTTGAGACCAGCCTGGGCAGCATAGTGAGACCCTGTCTTTACAAAAAAATACAAAAGTTAGCTGGGCATGGTGGTGCGCCTAACTTTTAGTGCATGGCAGTGCTCATGATGGTCCCAGCCAGTGGGAAGGCTGAGGCAAGAGATCACTTGAGCCCAGGAGTTTGCAGCTGTAGTGAACTATGATCACACCACTGCACCCCAGCCTGGGTGACAGAGTAAGACCCTGTCTCAGAAAAAGAAAGAAAGAAAAGAAAAGAAAAGAAACCCTCAAACCAGTTGTCTATACTTGCTGTCTCCAGTTCCCTTCCAGCCCTCTTCAATCAGGCTAAAACCCCCACTGCTTTACCAAAACCTCTTGTCAGGTTCATCATGAGTTCCACAGAGCTAAATCCAACAGTCAATTTTCAGTCGTCATCTTTTTTATGTAAATGAAAAGTGGGTCATAAATGTGAGATGTTACCATTATTATTTAGCAACCAATAACCTTTTTAAATGGATGAATGCCTGCCGCTGTTGAGACGCCTCTCCCTCTCTACCTCTCCTCTCCCCATCCCCATCCCTTTGTGAAGTTTCTCAAGAATAAGTGTGGGGACTTCCATGTGTCCCTGCGCTGGTATCCAGGGTCCGGGAGGCTGCAAGAGAGCACCTTCTTTTTTTTTTTTTTTTTTTTTTTTTTGAGACGGAGTCTTGCCCTGTCACCCAGGCTGGAGTGCAATGGCGTGATCTCGGCTCACTGCAACCTCCGCCTCCAGGGTTCAAACGATTATCCTGCCTCAGCCTCCTGAGTAGCTGGGATTACAGGCTCATGCCACCACACCTGGCCAATTTTCTGCATCTTTAGTAGAGATGGGGTTTCATCACGTTGGCCAGGCTGGTCTCGAACTCCTGACCTTGTGATCCGACACCCTTTTCATCCTCTTTCAAGAAAAACACCAACAAAGTTCTGTGTGGGACAAGGACCAAGGACTGTGGTCTGAGGCTGTGCAACCACATAGCTTCTCTATGCCTTTAATGCTCGAGGTAAAAAATGAGAATGGCCGGGGCCTTAGCTGCTGTATTGCTGTCATAAGGTGAAGTACTTTATAGTATCGTACTTCCCCACAATAAGCACACGAGGGGAAAGAGTGGAATGGGGCAGGGGGAAGAGGACAGGACATGTCAGTTCACTCCAAGAATGGGACAGAGGAGAGGGGCACCCTTGTTACATATAAATGTCATGAGAGGCGGGGCGTGGTGGTTCACGCCTATAATCCCAGCACTTCGGGAGCTCAAGGCGGGAGGATCACTTGAGGTCAGGAGTTGGAGACCAGCCTGGCCAACATGGTGAAACTCTATCTCCACTAAAAATACAAAAAATTAGCTGGACATCACGGCGAGCGCCTGTAATCTCAGCTACTTGGGAAGCTGAGGCAGGAGAATTGCTGGAACCCGGGAGGCAGAGGTTGCAGTGAGCTGAGATCACGCCACTGCACTCCAGACTGGGTGAAAGAGTGAGGCTCCATCTTAAAAAAATAAAAATAAATAAATAAATATCAGGAAAAACTTTGAAAATGTATGGAATAAATATATGCTACTATACGGCCTCATGTTAATTTCAAAGAGATTATTTGACAGAATGAAGGTCATTCCCAACCACCCACCTTTTCTTGAATTCATCAGTTTTCACCATCTCCTAGTCTGGGGAGACATCTGCTCCAGGTCTGAGCCCCCAGAGCTCCCTCTATTTCAGGGGTCTCATGGGAAAGCCCTCTGTGGGAAAGGGGTGGGGTAAGGGGGAAGAGACTAGGAGCTCTCACCCACCCTCTATTCCAGGAACCTCCTCTTTGTGAATTCAAGTCAGCACTGTTCAAGTGAGCTCACAGCAATAATCACTCACACTAGCAGGTGTTATTAAAAGGAATTTAATAATTTTAATTAAAAACTCTTAACAGCGAATTCTGTCACAGGCCTTGGCAGCTGGAAGCAACTCCAGGGACATGTGCCCCCTTTGGGATGTGGCTGAGCCACAGTTTTGGACCCAAGGCCCACCGGTGCCGCGTGGCAAGGGGCTACGTGGAAGTTACCTCAGTACGATATCAAAGATCTGCGAAGATTTTTTTTAAAAAAGTTTTAAATATATTAGACTCTCTTGATTGCCATTTTTACACAAAGCTGCTGATACAGTATACAGAGTTTTAATTTTTTTTCACATAAAATACATTTTTTTAAGTGTTCTCTGTACACCAGTGGCTTCTGGTCTGGTGAATTATTGCGGAGGGCTGGGGGTCTGCAGACTTTTCCTGGGTGTGCAGAGCCAGGCCCCGCACGGTGGCACTTGCAATGCCCATGGGAAGCAGGCCCTCTGGCCAACAAGAGAGACCTGTTGGGGAGAGGGCTATAGCTTCTGGCACAGGGGGTCACTTTTGCAGAGTCATCCACTGACCATTGGAGCCTTTGCTCTTATGTGCCCTGGGGCAGGGGAGACCATCCCCAAGTTACAAATAGCAAGAGTTAAATACAGCTTTTCTGGGCATCTTAAAAGGAGCACCCTTCTTAAAAGTACCCCAGTATCCTGCTCTAGGAGAGAGAGCAGGTAGGTGAGAGAGCTCAGGATGGGAAGGTATCTGACACCAACAACCACAATGGTCTTATGTTATTACAAAGCCAGCAAACCGGTGGGGCAGGACAGGGGACACACCCTTGTTAGCTTTTCTAAGCCCCTTGGAAATGGATTAAACAGTGCAGAGCAGTTTTACTTATGCTGTATATTTGATGGAGAATTCTATCCTGAAGTCTTTAGTAGCCCTGGGCCTAGAGTTTATTCAGCTTCCCCAAGCTACTTGCCAGAAACTCACAGTCTGGTGATAACCGCCAACTTTCAGTTGTTTGGGGCATATGATGGTGAGCCATGCAGCACCTGCTTTGGAAGTGGTCTCCTTTAATCTAATGAGGAGCTGCCATAGGACCTGGGTCTCAGCAGGAGCTAGGCATCTGGTTGACTTTGCCTGGTTACTCCCAGCTCCCGAATCCACCCCTGCCATGGAGGGAGGCAGATTCCCAAGGAAAGGCTTTGATGCTGAAGGAAGCAGCAACTTTTCCTCCCATTATCCATTAGTGGGGTGAGGGGACTATGTAATAAATGAGCCACCATGAGCAAGAAACAATGACTTTAAAAACCTGAGATGCATTTGGCAGCAAATTGCAGAACAGTCTTCTAGACACTGATCTCAAGCTGCTATTATAGAGTCCCCCAAAGATGCTGGCTGAAGGCAGCTATCACTGAAAGTTCCAGATGGACCTGGATGATGTCTGCCTGGAACCCAAGATCCAGCATCTATACTTGGTGGCAAATGTTATCCAGGGGTGACCATGACAGCTGTTCCCAGCTAAAGGAATTCAGACTCTAAGGATTCTAGGAGCCGAAAAGCAAAGGGTCGCTGGACGAAGATGCAGACACTTTGCCTCAGGTGACTTGAATGGGACTGCTGATGCCTGTGGTCCCCAAGGGACGGAAACCACAAGGAACAGTTCTCCTGACTCTGTCTTATTCCTCCTTTATCCGCAGAACCTAACGTAGAGGCTGGCATGTTGCAGCTACTCAGTAAATTACGTGAGTGAATTAATGAATGACCGCGGCTCATTCATTGGAGGTTGGTCTCCAACTTGTCTCTCAACACCCAGGAGACCTACAGGGAAAGCTCCCCAGGGACTTAAAGCCCCAAGAAGGGATGGTTTATCCCTGGCTGAAAACATGAGCCAATGCCTGAGAGTCACCTGTGTGTGAAGTCGGCTCCTGTCAGGGAATCAGCTGGGATTCCCAGCCTTCTGGGTGGAGAGGAATAGCCCAGGAGGCAGGAGGCATGCGGAAAAGGAGGGAATGGCCTCAGGCGCTCAGTGGGTTGGGCAGTACGTGCCTTCAGTGTTTGGCCCCTGAGCAAAAAGATCGGAAAACCTAAACAGCTCTCTCCTGAGGAGCACGCGGCTTCCCTCAGAACTCCCTACCTTGTAGCTAAGGTTGGCTCATGAGGGATTTCAGCGTCAGTCTGGGCTCATACTGTTTTACAGCCAATGGTACGTGTGTTTTAGATCATCCTGTCCTGTTCCAGCCACAGCCTGAGATGTTGAAGAGCCCACCCCAAATGGCAAGGTCGTGGGAAGCATCTGTGCACCTGTCTTCAGCCTCCTGGGCCGCCTCCACCCCTACTCTAGAATACATCTATCCTGGCATTGGGGTGGAGGTGGCCTGATGCTGAGAACCTCTCCCCTTCCAGCAGCCACCAAGGGTGCAGTCACTCCCATGGGCCCTCTACTTTCTGGTCCAGCCAGCTGCCCTGCTCCTGGGAAAGCATCACTCAGGCTCCCTGAAGTCCAGCTCCCTCTCTGGGTTATGGGGCTATGGGGGCCACAGTAGGGGGCTAAGAATGACAAAGAGCAGATCCCATGACCAAAGTTGTGGCACAAGGCGGGGATGGTCTTCCAGTCCCAAGCCCCTAGCCCAGGTGCCCCTCAGGGCAAGTTTCTCATAGACTGAGAAAGAAGAGGGTTAAAAAGAACCCAGATCTGTTCCCCAAATTAAAATCTGGAACTAGGAGACCCCTTCAGAGCTCTAAGGAGGTAGTTTAAGGACAAATAAAAGGCGCACAGAGCAAGGGATAACCTGCAGCTTATCGGGTACACCAAGAGGTTCTGGCTGAGCCTGTGGGCAGTGCCCATGCCATGGGCATCTCCAAAGGGGGTCCTGGGAGACTCAGCAGTGAGGGGAGAACAGCCATTCACAGTCCTCCCTCCCCAGCACCAGGAAGGCTGGGACTATGAAACTGCAGGGCTGGGCAAGACCCAACTCTAGCCCTACCATGGCTCTCCTGAATGCAGGAGGGGATATTGACCACGTGCACCCTGGATTCGCAGACTTGGGGCATCACCACTCCTGCAAGTGCAGGCTGGGAGCCCCTGGGTGAGGCGGGAACTCAAAAGGGCTGACTGGCAAATCTGTCTCACCAAGCATCCCCAAAAAGGCAAAAGCTGGGCCCGGGATCCCGAGCACTGACTCTGCACACATGACTGATGGAGGTGGAAGGGGGTGGGAGGTGGAGGCAGGCTGGCCCCTAATTGCTTGCTCTGACAGCTCAGTCTAAGGAGGGTTGGCTGAGATGGGCTGGGCTGAAACAGTCTGGATATTCACAAAGACCCCAGGGTGCTGGGCTCTGTCGCTGTTAACTAGCGACTGTTTTTTTTAAATTAACTGGCCTCTCTCCCTGGAAAAGCATTCCAATGGAAGCTCCTCACTTAGCTTCATTTTCCCAGCACCAGCCAGTAAAACCCAGTGACCTTGATACGATCCACAAAAAGAAGTGAATTCAGTTACCTCCCTCCCTCTAGGAGTTTTACAGACTAAAGGAATTTTTAAAATCAGATACACTTTGGTAAATACTGACCTTGTCCCCCTCCCACACCCTTCTGCCTTTGACACTTCCATCCAAGAGGAAAACATGATTTGGTTGATTCCAGGAACGAAATTGCCTGGTTTTCCCCCTCCACCCCTGGATGGTCACACAGCTGGCTCCTGGCATGGGCAGAAGTGTGGCTCTCAACAAGGCTGCGGGGAGCAGGTCTGTGTCTATCTCATCTACCCATGTAGATTCCTGGCTCCCTCTGAACACAGCGAGGACTTCTCACCCCTGTCAGGTGTGGCTGGTGGCTCAGACTTTGGGATAACTCTGAGCAGGACTATGGGTCTCAGCTTAGCAGGTCCCCTCCCCTGCTAAAACCACATTGGCAGTGGTAATGAGACTCTGAGTCTTAACTTCCATCCTTTTGGGAATACCCCACAAATTCTAAGCCCCCTTGCTTCCCCTGAGCCCAGGTATGTCATTCCTACACACACTGATCGAGCTTGTGTGTGTGTGTATATGTGTGTGTGTGTGTGTGTTAATGTGACATGCATGTACTGATCCGGAGAAGCCTTTATACCAAGAATAGAGCTGGGATCTCAAGCCCACCCTCCCAAGATCAGACAGCAGAGTGAACCAGGAGGCCACGACAGGCCTTGTGTCAGATGGCAGACGATGCAGCAGGAAGCAGAACCACGGGACGTGGGACATGGGATGCTATGGGCAGCCAGCTGAGGGCTGGGGTCTGAGTTCCTCTGAAAAGCAGAGCCCACCTCTCCCCAGCTGCCCTGACACCTCCCCAGCCAGGGCTGTTGGGCTGGCCTGGATTCCAGGAGCCCCTCCCCAGGCATCTCCCTCCTCCATCACACGGAGACTAGGAGATACGGCAACAGCCATGCACCTTCTCCTCCATCTCCTCTATGGGGGCCTTGAACTTTAAGAGTGGGGGATCTCCGCTGGTGACCGTGTAATATACCGAGGTCCCATTGCTGCTGTACGGTGAAGTTCTGCCTCCGATCAAGGGGGCCTTGCCTTCACTGCTACTCTCGCCCGTCCTGGCCATGCTGCTGCCCAGGTGTGTGCTAAGGAAGGGGTGGCTGAGCAGCTTGGCTGCAGCCCGCTGCCGCTTCAGCTCCAGAAGCGTCTGAGGGCTCTGTTCCTTGTAGCTGCTCCAGGGCGGGGTGGCGTCGGCCACGCCAGGGTTGCCATAGGCCATGCTGTAGTCAGGCACCTCATGCACCTTCCAGACATCCCCGTTGGCCAGCGCATACTGGTAGGCACTGACCGGAGCCCGGAGGCCATTCTCAACAGGCATGTCCAGTTCACCTCGTGGGATCTTGGTAGGAAATTCGGAGAGTAGCACGGGCTTCTCCAGCCTGGGGTTCTGCGAGTGAGAAGGACAACATTACCAGCTGGCTGGAAGATCTGAACCTACTATCCACCTGTCTCTCTGCTGAGGGCATTATTGTTTGGACTTTTCCTCTATCTGTTTTCTCTCCCTGGGTATCGGGGCCAGGGTTTTCCTTTGGGGAACCCCCAATCTATGAATTTCCGTACAGTTGACCGACCCCTGGCCTTGCTCCAGGGCCTGGATCATGACCCAAGGCCTAGCTAGTCAACATATTTCACTACAGGGATTGGCCCAGGGATGAGTTCTTAACTGAAATTGCTTCAGTGAAGCAACCCTGGGACTTTTGCTAGAACAACTGGGAAAGAGAAGTTTCTGTAGGAACTGTGGGTAGTAAGAATGACGTAAGCTGAGGGCTGGGGAGATACTATGTTGAAGGGTCTGCTTGCAAGTAAAGTTGGCATGAAGAAAGGCTAAGAGAGACTGCATCCTGATGACCCATTTGAAGTCCAGGATCCTTCCAGGCTCAGACTTTTCAGTTGCACAAGCCAATAAATTCCTTGTGTGTAAGTCCATTTGAGTTGGGTTTTTCAGTCACTTGTAATCCTTCCTCTGTATATGAAGCATATCTCACAAAGATTCTTACCCAGGGATCCTGTACACCTAATAATCCTTGGATAACAAGAGTTTGAAAAGTAGCTGCTTCCTAAAAACTATAAACTAAAAAATAGATACATGCAACAACATTTAAAGCACAGCAAAAATCACCATGAACAGGGAACAAGGTCAAAAGACACATGAAGAAACTAGGAAAATATTTTCAACATATATTACAGAAAAGAGACTAATTTTCTAAAAGTATAAAGAGCTCTTAAAAGTCCTTTTTTTTTTTTTTTTGAGACGGAGTCTTGCTCTGTCTCTCAGGCTGGAGTGCAGTGGCGCAATCTCTGCTCACCGCAACCTCTGCCTCCCGGGTTCAAGCAATTCTCCTGCCTCAGCCTCCCGAGTAGCTGGGATTACAGGCACGTACCACCACACCCAGCAAATTTTTGTATTTTTGTAGAGATGGGGTTTCACCATGCTGGCCAGGCTGATCTTGAACTCCTGGCCTCAAGTGATCCACACTCCTCAGCTTCCCAAAGTGCTGAGATTGCAGGCATGAGCCACCGCACCCAGCCAAAAGTCAATTTTTAAAAGCCTATCTACCCAATAAAAATAGTAGGCAGGGGATACTAATATGTAGCCCACAGCAAAATATATAGATATACATGGCATTGGAATAATATTCATCCCCACTAATCGTTAATACTATAAAAATTAAAACAACAAAATATCACTTTTGGATATCACACTGACAAATACGTTTAAAGTGTGTTATTACTCAGTGTTGGCAGGGGTATGGGGAAATAAGTGAGAATGTAAATTGCTACAGTCTCTTTGATGGACAGTTTTGCATCATCCTTCACTGAAATTTTTTTCTTTTTTTCCTTTCTTCTCTCCCCAGCTCTTCAGTAAAAAATAAAAACAATAATAATGATAAAAATTTTTAGAAAAGATTGTATACTTTGCACCAGCAAGCCCATTTCACAGATTTTCTCTCTCATTAGTGCAAAGCCTGAAAGTCATCATTGGGCAAGCAGGACACTGTGGCCAGTACTTCTATTGGCATGCTCTGTAGCTGGCAAAAAGAATGAAGGAATTCTCCACAAGCTGGCATGGAAAGATGTCCAAGATATATATATATAATCTAGTTTATAATCTAGTTTTCTAACATATATTTATATATAACATACATATATAAATATATATAAAACGTACATATATAACATATATGTACATATAACATATATATGTATTTATATATAACATACATATATAACATATATAACATATATATGTTATATATATATATGGTAATATGTGATAAGGCAAAGAACACTTTCCATAGTAAGTTTCCATTTATGAGTGTGTATTTCTTCGCTTTCTCCTTTTAGAGTCAGGGCCTCACTATGTTGCACAGGCTGGTCTTGAACTCCTGGTCTCAAATGATTCTCCCACCTCAGCCTCCCAAAGCACTGGGATTACAGGCATGAGCCACCGAGTCCAACCTTTTTTTTTTTTTTAATGGCTCCTTCTGAACTATGCAGGCAGACTGATGCCATGTCATGGAGAGACCGTTTCTTGGTGGTCCTAGTCAGTGCTTCTCAAACTTTGATGTGTATGTGAGTTGCCTAGGGATATTGTTAAAATCCATATTCTGATTCAATAGGTCTGGGTTGGGGCCTGCAATTTGGCACTTCTAAGAATTTCCTGCTGATGCTTAGAGTGGCAAAGATCTGAGACACTGATCCCATCTTGGATGCACATTGGCATCATCTAGACAGTTAAAAAAAAACATGTACAGGCCGAGCGTGGTGGCTCACGCTTATAATCCCAGCACTTTGGGAGGCTATGGTGGATGGATCACTTGAGGTCAGGAGTTCGAGACCGGCCTGGCCAACATGGTGAAACCTTGTGTCTACTAAAAGAAAAACACAAAAATTAGACAGGCGCAGTGACGCAGGCCTCTAATCCTAGCTACTCAGGAGGCTGAGGCAGGATAATTGTTTGAACCAGGAGGCAGAGGTTGCAGTGAGCCAAGATTGCACAACTGCACTCCAGCCTGGGCAATAAAGTGAGACTCCGTCTCAAAAAAAAACCATATAGAACACCAATCTGAAAGCATCACATATTATATAATTCCACGTATATAACATTTTGGAAAAGCAAGACTTATGAAAACAGTAGAAGATCAGTGATTGCTAGAGTTTGGGGAGGAAGCGTAAGTAGAATACCAGGGCTGTTTAGTGGGACAGCCCTGGTCTCTTTCACCAGTTGTTCACAATCTCAACTGTCTAATATAACCACCTAAACCAAGTGGCGAGAGCATTCTGTGTGACACTATCATGACGGACACATGACATTATGCATTTGTCAAAACCCACAGGAGTTACGACACAAAGAGCAAACCCGATGTAAACTATGGGCTTTAGTTCATAATAATGTATCAATATTGGCTCATCAGTGATAACATATGTACCACACTAATGCTAGTTGTTAATAACAGGGGAAACCAGGGTGGAGGGGGGTGTATATGGGAAATATCTGTACTTTCCACTCATTTTTCTAGAGTTCTAAAACTGCTCGGAAAAAAAAAATCTATTAGTTTAAAAAGAAAAAAATCCCTGCTGGGTGCAGTGGCTCATGCCTGTAATCCCAGCACTTTGGTAGGCTGAGGTGGGAGGATGGCTTCAGCCTAAGAGTTGGAGACCAGCCTGGGCAACATAGTGAGACCTCATCACTACCCAAATATTTAAAAATTAGCTGGGCATGGTGGTGCGTGCCTGTGGCTCAGCTACATGGGAGGCTGGGCAGGAGGATCACTTGAGCCCAGGAGGGTGAGGCTGCAGTGAGCCATGTTTGTACCATTGCAGTCTAACCTGAGTGACCCTGTCAGAATGAGACCCTGTCTCAACAAAAGAAAACAAAACCCACCTATATCCATCTCCAGTGTCAGAAATCAGAGCATTGAAGGAAGAGGAATTAACTCCAGCCTGAAGGATGTGGGTTAGACGAAAGAGGTTTTCTCATGATGCAGGGAACTTCTAAATGTACTTATCTGCCTAATGCTTAATGAGGTACAAATTATGGGCTGAGTTCTATACAAATAAGAACACAATTGACCCTAGAACACCCTTTGTGGTAGGCACCATCATCTTGGCAATGTTGAACTGAGATACTGGACAACAGGAAGGTTAAACAAAACCCCCACATTTTGTGTTCTGGGGAATGGCTGACTGCACAGAATCACCCTTCCCCATAGGATTTCCAGAACGCTCAGACGACCCCTCCTTTTCCTAGGACAACCCAAACACAGTCCCCCAAATTCTCATTCTTTTCCTCTGAAATGATTAAACTGTCAATTTATCAACCGAAATTAAATGCTTGCTAAATGATTTTTTTTTTTTTTTGAGATAGAGTCTCACTCTGTTGCCCAGGCTGGAGTGCAGTGGTGCAATCTTGGCTCACTCCAACCTCTGCCTCCCAGGTTCAAGTGATTCTCCTGCCTCAGCCTCCCAAGTAGCTGGCATTACAGGCACCTGCCACCACGCCTGGCTATTTTTAGTAGAGACAGGGTTTCGCCATGTTGGCCAGGCTGGTCTCAAACTCCTGACCTCAGATGATCCGCCTGCCTGGGCCTCTCAAAGTGCTGGGATTACAGGCGTGAGCCACTGCGCCCAGCGGTAAATGATTTAACCAAATTTTAGTTAAGCTGCTCCCCTCCCCACAGGATCCTGGACTTTGACTCACCCTGAGGGTAAACAAGCACTGCAATGCAGAAAAACTCTCCTGAAGACCGTTCTGGAAATGGGCTGACCACCAGACACACATTCCTGGTCAACTGTCCAATTACACCACCTGCTCATCCCACCCCCAACCCTCAGTCCTTGCAGCCTCTGTCTTCCTCCCTAGGAAACGAACTCCTTTCTCCTTGACCTCCAAGATCTTGCCAATTCTGTGGTCGATGCATTCTACTTACTGCTGCAATCACTTCAAAAACAGTCTCTCTTTAGCTTTAAAAAACAACGACATGGCCAGGCATGGTGGCTCACGCCCGTAATCCCAGCACTTTGGGAGGTCGAGGCGGGTGGATCACAAGGTCAAGGGATTGAGACCATCCTGGCCAGCATGGTGAAACCCCGTCTCTACTAAAAATACAAAAATTAGCTGGGCATGGTGGCGTGCGCCTGTAGTTCCAGCTACTCAGGAGGCTAAGGCAGGAAAATCACTTGAACCTGGGAGGCGGAGGTTGCAGTGAGCCAAGATTGAGCCACTGCACTCCAGCCTGGCAACAGAGCAAGATTCCATCTAAAAAAAATTAAAAAAAAACACCAATGACAAACATATACAATGCTGAGGTCCCAACTCCTGAGATTCTGATTTAGTTTGTCTGTACTGCTACTTAAACATCAGATTAAAAAACAAGGGGCACAGTGGCTCATGTCTGTAATCCCAGCACTCTGGGAAGCGAAGGCAGGTGGATCACTTAAGGTCAGGAGTTCGAGACCAGCCTGGCCAACATGGGGAAACCCCATCTCTACCAAAAAACACAAAAATTAGCTGGGCATGGTGGCGGGTGCCTGTAGTCCCAGCTAATCAGGAGGCTGAGGTGGGAGAATTGCTTGAATCTGGGAGGCAGAGGCTATAGTGAACGAAGTTTGCGCCACTGCACTCCAGTCTAGCCTGGGCAACAGAGTGAGACCTTGTCTCAGAGGAAAAAAACAAAAACAAAAAACAGTGAACCAAAGTCATCCCTGAAGGCTAACAGGGCACAGCCTTGGAAGAAATGTGATTTGGGGGTCAGGCTGAACAAATTATTCCTCAAATAAGTGGTTCTGAAATTCTTGTGTGCAGCAGTATCGCCACATCTGGAGTGGGTCCTGAGAATCTACATTTATTTATTTTTATTTTTTTTTTAGAGACCACGCCTCACTCTGTCACCCAGGCTGGAGTTCAGTGGTGCTATCATAGCTCACTGCAGCATTGAATTCCTCGACTCAAGCAATCCTCCTGCCTCAGCCTCACAAGACCTAAGACTACAGGTACACACCATCACACCCACCTAATTGTTTTTTTTTTTTTTTTTTTTGGTGGGGGGTAGAGATACGGTCTTGCCATGTTGTCCAGTAACTCCTAGGCTCAGAAGATCCTCCCACCTCAGCCTCCCTCAGTTTTGGGATTACAGGATTTGTGATCCACTGTGCCCAGCCAAAGTCTGCATTTCTAACAAGTTCCCAGGTGATGCTGATGTTGCTGGTACAGGGACCATGCTTTGAGAATTCCCACCTTAACATGGTGAAACCCCATCTCTACTAAAACACAAAAATTAGCTGGGCATGGTGGCAGGTGCCTGTAATCTCAGCTACTCAGGAGGCTGAGACAGGAGAATCACTTGAACCCGGGAGGCGGAGATTGCAGTGAGCCGAGATGGCGCCATTGCACTCCAGGCTAGGCAACAAGAGCGGAACTCTGTATCAAAAAAAAAAAAAAAAAAAAGACTGACTATACCAAGGGTTGGCAAGAAACACTCTGCCATGGGAAAGCAGACAGGTACAAGGCACCTTGGAAAACTGCTTGGTAGTATCCACTAAAGCTAAACATATGCCTACCCGTGACTCCAGCTGCTTTCCTGGGTGTTTTCCCAACACAAAATAGTGCTTATGTCCACCAAAAGACATGTACAAAAATGTTTATAGGAGCTTTATTCACAGGAGCCAGAAACAAGAAACCCAAATGTCCACCAAAAGGAGAATGGAGGCCAGGAGCAGTGGCTGACCCCTGTAATACCAACACTTTGGGAGGCCGAGGAGGGTGGATCGTTTGAGGTCAGGAATTCAAGACCAGCCTGGCCAATATGGCGAAACCCCATCTCTACTAAAAATAGAAAAATTAGCCGGGCGTGGTGGCACGCACCTGTAATCCCAGCTACTCAGGAGGCTGAGGCAGGAGAATCGCTTGATCCTGGGAGGCAGAGGTTGTAGTGAGCCAAGAGCACGCCACTGCACTCTAGCTTGGGTGACAAAGCGAGACTCTGTCTCAATTTAAAAAAAAAAAAAAAGGAGCATGGATATGTAAATTTTAATATTCAAACAATCGAATTCTAGAAAGCAATAAAAAAGAATGAGGCGGCCAGGCGTGGTGGCTCACGCCTGTAATCCCAGCACTTTGGGAGACTGAGGCGGGTGGATCACGAGGTCAGGAGATCGAGACCATCCTGGCTAACACGGTGAAACCCCGTCTCTACTGAAAATACAAAAAATTAGCTGGGCGTGATGGTGGGCACCTATAGTCCCAGCTACTAGGGAGGCTGAGGCAGGAGAACGGCATGAACCCGGGAGATGGAGGTTGCAGTGAGCCGAGATCGCGCCAATGCACTCCAGCCTGGGGGACAGAGCAAGACTCCATCTCAAAAAAAAAAAAAGAAAAAGAAAAAAAAAACAAGAATGAGGCCAGGTACAGTGGCTCGTGCCTATAATCCCAGCACTTTGGGAGACTGAGGCAAGAGGATCATTTGAGCCCAGGAGTTTGAGACCAGCCTGGGCAACATAGCAAGATTCCATCTCTAAAAAATTTTGTTTTGTTTTGTTTTGTTTTGTTTTGAGACGGAGTCTCGCTCTGTCCCCAGGCTGGAGTGCAGTGGCTCGATCTTGGCTTACTGCAACCTCCACCTCCCGGGTTCAAGTGATTTTCCTGCCTCAGCCTCCTGAGTAGCTGGGACTACAGACGCGTGCCACCATGCCCAGCTAATTTTTGTATTTTTAGTAGAGATGGGGTTTCACCATGTGGCTAGGATGGTCTCGATCTCTTGACCTTGTGATCCACCCACCTCGGCCTCCCAAAGTGCTGGGATTACAGGCATGAGCCACGGCACCCAGCCAAAAATTTTTTTTAATTAGCCAGGCATGGTGGTGCATGCCTATAGTCCCAGCTACCCAAGAGGCTGAGGTGGGAGGATCGCTTGATCCCAAGAGGTCAAGGCTGCAGTGAGCTAGGATCACACCACTGCACTCCAGCCCAGGCAACAGAGTGAACTCCTGTCTCAAAAAAAAAAAACAAAAAAAAACTACTGCTATATGCCACAACGTGGGTGACTCTCACAGATGTAAAAAAAGCCAGACACGAAAGAAACTGCAGGGTCATTCATATGCATATACAAAATTAATCTTTAGAACTCAAAGTTAAATAGTGACTACATTTGGAGTGGGGGAAAGGACGGAGAGAGAACATGGATGATGAAAATGCTCTATGAATTCATCTGAGTGTGTACATTTGTAAAAGGTTGTTGAAAATCTCATTTAAGATTTGTCTACTTGGCCAGGCATGGTGGCTCACACCTGTAAGCCCAGCACTTTGGGAGGTCCAAGTGGGTAAGGATTGCTTGAGGTCAGAACTTCAACACCAGCCTGGCCAACATGGTGAAACCCCATCTCTACTAAAAATACAAAAATCCACCAGGCGTCGTGGCGGGCACTAGTAATCCCAACTACTCAGGAGGCTGAGGCAAGAGAATCGCTTGAACCCGGGAGCACAGGTTGCAGTGAGCTGAAATCACACCACTGCACTCCAGCCTGGGTAACAGAGCGAGGCTCCATATCATAAAAAAATAAAAAAATAAAAAAAGATTTGTCTGCTTTACCATACTTAAGTTACACCACAATCACAAAGGAAAAATAAATAAAGCACAGCTGGGAGACATCTGAAATGTGATTTGATACTGATCTACATCTCTTTTCTCACCAATCCTCAGACTAAGGGGCCAGGCAGAACAAATCTTCCCTACGTGCCCTCTCCATCACCAGCTGGTGGCTTTGATGTGGCCTCCCCTTGGGCAGGCACCTTCACACCTCCTGGTGAGACAGGCAGTAGGTGACCCCACTGTTCGTGCTGGGAAGCAGGGTCCCTCTGAGACACGTGGGCATGCTCGGTAGCTAATCAATTTCATCCCACCAAGGCTAAACTCTCTAGGCATGTTTTCATCTGTTCGTGGTGTAGTGGAAGAACGAAAATGGCAGACCACTTCTGGTACAGTTAACTTCTCCCTCATCCTCAGCAATTCCACTCCAGCCCCAAACTTGTTCACTCCACTCAGCAAGAAAGCAGCCATGCTGAGTGAGTGTGTTGGTTCTGGGTTAAGTAGTGTCCCTCAAAAATTCATGTCTACCTGGAATCTCTGAATGTGACTTTATCTAGAAATAGGTATTTGCAGGTGTAATAAATTAAATTAAGATTAGGTCATACTGGATTGGCATGGGCTCCAATCCAATGACTGGTGTCCTCATAAGAGGAAAAAACAGGCTAGGTACAGTGGCTCGAACCTGTAATCTCAGTACTTTGGGAAGCCAAGGTGGGAGGATTGCTTGAGGCTAAGTTTGAGGCCAGCCTGGGCAACACAGCAAGACCTCATCTCTACAAGAAATTTGAAAATTAGCCAGTCGTGATGGCCCCCGCCTATAGTCCCAGCTACTTGGGAGGCTGAGGTGGGAGGATCGCTTAAGCCCATGAGTTGGAGTCTTCAGTGATCTATAATCATGCCACTGCACTCCAGCCTGAGTGACAGAGCAAGACCCTGTCTCAAAAAAAACCAATAAAATAAAAATAAAAAAAGAAAACAGACACACACACACGAAGAAAAAGGTCATGTGGAGATAGAAGCAGAGACTAGAATCATTGCTAGCAAGAGCCAAAGAACGCCTGAGCCACCAGAAGCTCGCAGAGGCGTGGAACAGAATCCCCTTGAGAGCCCCCAGAGGGAACCAATGCTGGTGTTACCTGGATTTTAGACTTCTGGCCTTCAGAACTGAGAGAGAATAAATTTCCACCATGTTAAGCCATCCAGTTTGTGATAATTTCTTAAAGCAGCCATCAGAAATGAAAGCAGCTTAAAGCTTAAAGGACCATTGGCTGCTACAGGAGCAGGCTTCTCAGAGGTCCTACTAGGATCCTACTCCATTTTTCAAAAAACATGTTCTGATAAACACAATTCTCAATATCTTGTTATATTTCCTGAAAAAGAAGTTGTAGCACCCTCAGCTCCTGGGTGACTGCCCTACTGAAGCTCTCTCCTTGGAAGTCCACTGCTAGGTGTGCTGGAGCACAGCTAGGCGCATAGCGGACACTCACCCCCTGTCAATTAGGAGACCTACCTGTGTGCCAAAGCACCCAGCTCAGCCTCTAACACACTCCCCGATCACCTCCTTAACTACAGCAGCCACCACCATCAGACTGAATCTGCTGGTTTAACTACAGTAGCCATCATCATCAGACTGGATATGCTAGTTTAAGGGCAGTGCCTGGCTACTTCCCTCTGAAGGCTCTCAGTTGAAGAGGCAAGGCCAGGCTGGGCCCTGTTCTCCTCCCATTGCAGTGGCTGACACTAGGGCAGGGCGTGAGGCCACTCACAGGGTCCTTATTCTCTTGGTCTGTCCTGGTCTCCCTGATGTCCCCGTTGTAGGTGGAGGTCCGCTGATCCTCAGCTGCACTCCGCTGCCACAGGATGGCCTCTCCCTCATACTCCTTCCTATACAGGTTGGTCCTGTCCGACAGGCTGGCTCGCCGCACCACCTTCCTGAGAGGACAAAGTGGGTCCTAGAGGCTGCACCCAGGCACCACAGGCAGGAGCACACACAGGGACTCCTGGCTGCCCTGCCCCGGACTCACCCACGGCTGCCTGCGCTGGAGGTCCTCCGGCTCAAGGATGACTTGTGCCTCAGCTGTGACTTCATGATCACATCATGCTTGTGTTTTAGCTCCAGCAGCAGGACCTTGAACTCTTCCTCCTCGCACAGGTCTGAAGGGGCAGAGGAGTCTGTTGTGGGGGACGGGGCCAGGACCTGTGGCGCAAGAGGGTGCTCCAGACCAGAGGAGCTGCCACCCCAACCCACTGAAAACTCCAAGCATCTTTCAGGGCATGCAGGGAGGCAAGAAAACAATGCCAGCCAAAGTTGAGTGAGTGTGTTTATAAGAGGATTATAAGAATGGGAAACCCAGGTTCTGGGCACAGTCACAATTCCTAAGCTTCCCAGCTATGACCGAGGGATTCATGTTGCTCTTTGATAGTTTCCAAGAAGAGTCCCCAAGCAGGTACCCCACATAGCCCAAGCAATAAATTATGCAAAGATGCTAATAAAGCTACATACTCCCATCTATTCTACCTAACCCCTTCATCCATCTATCTACCTATTGCTGACTGAGCCATGTATTCATAGATTCATCCTTTACCCACTCATCCACTTATTTTTCTGTCTATCCATCCATCCATCCATCCATCCATCCATCCATCCACCCACCCACCCATCCATTCAACCAGACCTCATAATATCTACCCATCTACCACCTCAACCATCCATTCATCCATTTATCCATCTATCCATTAATCTGTCCATCCGTCCATTCATCTACCATCCATTAATTAATCCATCTATCTATCTAGACACCAATCCATCAATCTATACAACCATATATTTATCTATTTCTCCCTCTACCCATCAAAACATTGATAACTGCCTATTTGTGCACACCAGCTATTGTGCTGGACTTACCTATTGGCATCTCATCCATGGATGTCCTTGCACTGAGACTAGCTCCATGGGACACCAATAGCTCTGCCATCTGCATCTGAAACACAGGAAGAAGCTCATGTGTCCCCCTGCCCAGAGCTCAGAAAGCCTAGGAGGTGGAGAGAGTGCCCAAGGCCTCTTAGGATGTGACCCAAAGAATGGTGGGACAAAGTTGATTTCCAGGGAAGGCCTGCAAACTAGAGCCATGGGGGGAATCCAGACAGATGCAATGAGCTTAGCACCTCCTCCACATGCCTGGGCCACACCAAGAAGAAGGAGAAGAAAGAGTTGGCTGTAACTCTAGAGCTGGCAGGTATCTAAGGAGGGACTAGGTGTAAGTGACAATCAGAGTTTTGTATCTGGAAACAAATGGAGAAACTGCTAGAAGCAAAAATGCTGGTAATTTTCTTATTTGGCAAATTTGATTACCATCCTATTAGAACACAACTTGTCAGCCAGGCATGGTGGCATCCCAGCACTTTGGGAGGCCAAGGCAGGCAGATCACCTGAGATCAGGAGTTTGAGACCAGCCTGACCAACATGGTGAAACCCTGTCTCTACTAAAAATACAAAAAATTAGCTGGGCATGGTGGCACATGCCTGTAATCCCAGCTACTCAGGAGGCTGAGGCAGGAGAATTGTTTGAACCCAGGAGATGGAGGTTGCAGTGAGATGAGATTGCACCACTGCACTCCAGCCTGGGTGACAGATCAAGACTCCATCTCAAAAAAAAAAAAAAAAAAAAAAAAAAAACACAACTTGCTTTGTCCAATGTTTTTTGCAAACTCCCTAGGCCTTTTCATATCCCACATATGAGCTATATTCAACACCTTAAGCCTTAAAGTCTTATGTTCTTTGAAAACAACTGCCAGCCCAAAAAACTTGGTGTCAGCAGGTTAGCCCTGTGCCGGCCTCCCCCACAGCCCTGTGGGTGAGAACTACCTGTCCCCAGAAGGCAGCTGCATGCAGGGGCTCCCAGCCATCCCAGTCCTTCACATCCACACGCACTCCATGGTCCAGGAGGAGCTCAGCTGCCCGCAGGTATCCATTGGCTCCAGCTATGTGCAGCTGGAGGAGAGGAAAGAAGTGAGCATTCCTCAGGGGATCAGCCCCACATTGACGGTAGGCTAGCTCTCACCTTCACCCAACTCCCACAGCATCCTTGGGGCCAGTAGAATGGAATAGAATG
Organism: Homo sapiens; assembly: GCF_000001405.40. Classification (NCBI taxonomy): domain Eukaryota; kingdom Metazoa; phylum Chordata; class Mammalia; order Primates; family Hominidae; genus Homo; species Homo sapiens. The sequence goes on along the minus strand of NC_000020.11, from coordinate 38,905,847 downwards.
AAATGGAAATACCAGTCACATTGCAGAGGATTATTAAGTCTGAAATATGGACTTAAAAGGAAAGGTAGAGAGCTGAATTCTTCTCCCCTGTGGTTGGTCTTAGCATCCATGTGGTTAAAGCGATAGCATTTACTGAGCCCCTACTGTGCATTGAGCCCTGAAGAAGGGGTCTCTGAGGTTCAATATGGTGATTTTTAAATATGTCTACAAATTCTTTGACACATCTTCCTTTAAAAGATGGAGCCTGACTGTTCTCACCTTGAATGTGGGCCAGACTGAGTGACTCACTTCTAACAAGTAGGATATTGTGAATATCCTGTTTGTGATTTCTGAGGCTAGGGCATAAAAGGCATTTCTGCTTCTACTTTATGTTGTCTTGGATCAATTATTCTAGAAGAAGGCAGCCACTATGTTGTGAGGATCCTCAAGAAGCCTCAAGGAGAGGTCCTAAAGAGGTGAGAAACTGAGGCTTCCTGCCAACAGCCAGCACTAACTTGCCAGCCATGTGTGTGAACTGACTTGGAAGTGGATCTTCCAGTACCAGTCAAGCCTTCAGATGAGACTGCAGCCCCAGTAGTCTCAACAATATTGCAACATCTTGGTTGCAATATCATGAGAGCCACCAAGCCAGAGCCACCCAGTTAAGCTGTTCCTAACTCTCTGACCCAAAGAAACCATGTGAGACAATAAATATTTATTATTGTTTTAAGATGCTACATTGTGGGGTAGTTTGTTATGCAGCAATAGATAATACATCCAATGAGGGACTGTGATCCCATTCAAGGCCTTCAGTCATGGCCACTGCCTGGCAGACCTCAGTTGTCATGATTGTTCAATTTGCCCCCAAAATACATAAATAGCTTAGCCCATAATGAACACTCAGTAAGGGATTCACATTCTTAGAGAGTCCTAAATGATGACCATGAGAATGAATGAAGGAGAGAGAAGGAAATAAGGCAAAAAGACATCAACTGCCCAGCCAAGATGAGAGATAGAAGTGAGAGTCCAAGGCGGCTAGCAGAAGACTAGCTGGGAGGAAGCCAGAGAACCTCGGGGGCCTGAGGTCTTGGGCTGGAGAGTCAGTGGGACAAAGAAGGCATGGCCTCAGGAAGTGATCCTTCTGAACACAGCCCTGATGGTCAGATGCCACCTCATCCTGGGAGAAGGTTGCTTGAAGCTTTTTTTTTTTCCAACTTGAAAAAGCAAGGGTATGATGTGAAAATTAGTATAATTATCTGATTTATAAATGTCTGATGCTTGTCAGTTGTAGAGAATGACACCTGCTGGCCAGTCCGACATTACAAACCTCACTACTTGGCTGGAAATGAAAAGGTATGAGTGGAATAGTGGCATTGTTAGTAAAAATAATGGTCATTGCTAACATCTATTGAGAATTTGCAGACTGTGCTAAGCACTTTCACACAGAATCTCATTTAATGCTCCCAGCAACACTGTGAGGAAGACACTATGATCTCCAGTTTACTGGGAAGACCTGAGACCTAGTATATGCCCAGCCCATGGGGGTGGGGCCACCCTGAGGCCAGCCCCAGCCCAGGTAGAGAAGATCCCTGTGTCTAGAGGACCCAATGACAGCCCCATTGGAGCTGCAATGAGGCTGGGTAATGCCCTAGTGCAGCCTGGCCTTGACTTCAGACAGAAATAGTCAGACTTCCTACCTGACCCCATTCTTGAGTGCTAGGCTGAGCAGGTGATCCAAGCAGGCACCCAAGTAATAGAAATGGGCATAAAACAGATGTGAGAGCTCAGGAAGCAGGTGGGAGAAGCCCACTTATCACACCTGGGCTGCCAGGTCAGGCCTGAGGGGCAGTGAGGATATCTGGTACTGCTGAGCCCTATCTAGTGAGCTCGAGATCCCGAGACTGCTGAGTGCTTACGACCAGCGTGGAACCTAAGCCTGGGACAGGGCACCCACCCCCCAGTCAGTGGGGTAGGCTGCCATAGCCATGCTCTGAATTTTGACTTACAGGTTGCAGAAGCAGACCTCCCCAATATTAGGCTGCAGTGTGCTCTGAGAGCCTATGAGGAGTGGCCAGGGAGGTTTTCCTAAGTCAGTGACACTTGAGCTGCAAGGATGAGTGGAGTTAACCAGGCGGATTTGAGAGAGAAGAAGGTCCCATTGTTCTCTGTCTCCAGGGTCTAGTAAAGTATGTGCACAGAGGAGGTGCTCATAACTGTGTGTTGACTGGATGGCTGGATGGATGGATGGAATGATGGATGGATGGATGGATGGATGGATGGATGGATGGACGGACGGACGGACGGATGGATGGATGGATGGATGGATGGATGGATGGTTGGATGGACCAATGGATGAATGGATGACTGGGAGTGGTGGGCAGACTCTGAAGTCAGGGAACCCAAAGGAGAGGCTGTTGCAGTAATATCAGGGGAGCTGATGAGGCAAGGCAGTGGGGTGCTAGGGTAGGAGAGGTGATACTAAGGCAGGGGAATGGACAGTGCAAAGCAAGAAAGCACGAGTGAGTGGGTGAATGGTGACACCAGTCCTTAATGGAGGACATCATTAGAGGAGAGGGAAATAAGGAGCTCAAGATGGACACATGAAGCCTGGGGTGAAGGAATATCTTGGAGACAGAGCAGTTGGTGAACAGGTGGGAGCCAGGTCTCCGACCCAGGCTCCTAACTCCAAGCCCCACTTGAGAGTGGCTGGATTCTTTTTTGTTTGTTTGTTTATTAAAGACAAAGTCTTTCTGTCACCCAGGCTAGAGTGCATTGGTGCAATCACAACTCAAACTCAAACTCCCAGGCTCAAGTGATCCTCCCACCTCAGCCTCCCAGGTAGCTGGGACTACAGGTGTGAGCCACCAAGCCCAGCCCAGAGAGAGGCCAGGTTCTCAAAGAGGCTGAGCCCTGCTCTGCTGACCCTCCCTATCCAGGGGCAATCCTGGCCCAAAAGGATTCTTGCGGAGGTCCAAGGTCACAGACAGGCCCCAAGGGTACAGGGTTGGTCCCCACCAGGTGCTGGCCCACTTCGGACCTAGCTGGTCTTGGTTTTGGTACTGGCCCATCTCCTCACCAGTGTGGCACCCTGGGCATCTATCCAGTCCAGGTCCTGGCCCGCTGCGATCATGCAGTGGATGTCCGCAATCATCTGCTGCTCAGGAGCCACCCGCATCTCGTTGATTTTCTCTTGGGTGATGCCTGCAGTGGGAAAGAGGGGATTTATTTAGCACCCTCAGGCCTACGACCCCAGAGGGCAGGGGAAGGCAGATGAGGGAGGCATGGCTCTTGTTCCCTAGGATATGCCAGTCAAGCGGGCATGCAGACATGCCCATAGATCATTGTCTTCAGGCCTGATGAGACACCATGCATTGGCCCACAGAGCAAGGGCATTCCTGCCTGGCACCCACTAGGCAATGGATTCATATTGGTCACTTTGCATATGCTGTTCTTCTACCTGAAAGTCCTTACCATCCACCTACACACCTCCAACTGCTCAGATGGCTGCCTCTGTCTTATTCTTTAGGTCCTGGACTGGATCATCTCCCAAGCTGGCCTCTGCTGACCACCCTATCTGACCAGGGTCTCTGTTAGTTTCCTTCATCTTAACCATGGTTGTGTCTGTAGCACCTGGCACAACGCTCAATCAATTTTAGTTGCAGAAGGACTGAATGAATGAATGTATTACTTTCAAGTGGAGAGCTGAGTCAATTGAGGTAGGGGCCCAGAGAGACATTGTATAGCCCGAATCCCATTCCTGTCTTAAAAGTGTGTTACTGACAGCTACAAACAGTATTTAAGGAGAGGATGACATGCTCCGTAAAAAGATCCATTAGACCAAGCACTGTTCGATCGAATTCAGGAGAGATCTACAAAAGGAGGAAATAAAATCACACATTTCTTTTGACTAAGCTTTAAACGAAATTGAGTATTCCCTACCATTAGAATGTAAGCAAAACCCACAGTAGTGTTAGCAGTGCCTGTAACTTTGTTACCAACAGATACTATAGCTATTTTCATATCCTGTTATCTTATTGTTTAATGAATTAACGAAGTTTCTATCTAACACATTGAAAAATGTTTTGGTACTTACGCTTTAATATAATTGGCTTCCTTTATAATCCTATACTTTTATAACTGCATTTAAAAACATTATTCTGGCTGGGCGCGGGGGTTCACGCCTGTAATCCCAGAAATTTGGGAGGCTGAGGCAGGCAGATCACCTGAGGTCAGGAGTTCGAGACCAGCCTGGCCAACATGGTGAAATCCTGTCTCTACTAAAAATACAAAAATTAGCTGGGCATGGTGGTGCATGCCTATAATCCCAGCTACTTGGGAGGCTGAAGCAGGAGAATCACTTGAACCTGGGAGGCAGAGGTTGCAGTGAGCCGAGATTGTGCCATTGCACTCTAGCCTGGGGGACACAGCAAGACTCCATCTCAAAAAAATAAAAACATTATTCTGAGAAGGGGTCCATAGAGTCACCAGATTGGCACAAAAATGGTTAAGAACCTCTGCAGGAGATGAATAGGAAGATCTGGGTGCAAGGAACAAGACATTCAATCACGGTTACTGAGGCTCTGTGGGGTACACAAGGGCAGGGCCAGGGCAGGACTGCAGCTGCAGCTGAGGATCTGGGGATGTGACATATTTCCAAGGAGGTGGCGCTTCAGAGGTCTATCTGTGGGGTGCTGGGGCACGCAGGTCTCTCATTGCTGCATCTGTTTCCTTTCTGAACCTCATTTGTGAGTTGAGAACAGCCCACATCTTGTTTATCTGGGCCCCTGGCAGCCAGCGTGGTGCCTGGCACAGAGCAGGCACCCTCCAGTATTCTTGACTTTATTATTGTCCCACATAGGAATATATCTTTATGGTGAACATTTATTGAATCAAATTGTCACAGCTGATGAAGATGAGACAAGGCCAGCTGCGGCCACCTGCGTGTGTGGGTGACACGAATGAGATCAATACCTCCCTTCTGCGCAGCATGTTTTCCAGGGTCCTCTCATGTCCTGCTCTTGATAATCACACAGATAAGGATATGAATGGGGACCCATCCTATTCACTGAGCACAGCGCACGAGGCAGGCCGATGCGTAGCTAATCTGTTCGCCTGCATTGATTTAAGGGACGCTCTCTGCAACTCTGTGCTGTGCTCACTTCATAGCAGGCTGCCCTCCCTTACCCTGGTATGCCATGCAGGTCTCGATGACATCCAGGGTGGGTTCATCCTCGCAGAGGTCATATGGCATGTTCCCATCCGAGTTGACAGCAAGCAAGTCGGCCCCACTGCAGAGAAAGAGGCAGGGTGAGGGCCAAGTAGGTGTGGCTAGGGTTGGTCTAGCTGCCTCTGCCCTCTGGCCTCTCGCCTGCAATCCTACTGTACAACCCGGCACTCAAAACCCCACCAAGGTGTACCCCAGCAAGATGATGCTTGGATCTGCCTGACACACAGCCCAAGAGCACGACAGCTTCAGGATCCCAGGGTCCCAGGTGGGAAGAGACCAAAGTCCCAGGACAGCTATCCCAGAAGACCTCCCTAAGCCTTTCACTCTGTTGAACCAGCAGGCAGGGACTTAGGGACAGATATAAAAGTCCTCCTGGTGACAATAACAAAAATCACATTAATGGCAGCAGCACCACTTACCAGGCACTTGCTTAGAGCCAAACCTGATCTAAGCCCCTTTTGCAGGCATCCTTTTATTTAACCCTTATAATAGCTCAGGTTAATACTGTTGGCCCCATCTCACGCAAGGGGAAACAAAGACTCAGACATGACCGGGCACAGTGGCTCAAGCCTGTAATCCCAGCACTTTGGGAGGGCGAGGCGGGCGGATCACCTGAGGTCAGGAGTTCGAGACCAGCCTAGCCGACATAGAAACCCTGTCTCTACTAAAAATACAAAAATTAGCGGGGCGTGGTGTGGGAGCCTATAATCCCAGCTATTCGGGAGGCTGAGGCATGAGAATTGCTTGAAACTGGGAGGCAGAGGTTGCAGTGAGCCAAGATCACGCCACTGCACTCCAGCCTGGGTGATAGAGCAAGACTAGAGCAAGTTTAAAAAAAAAAAAAGACTCAGACAGGTTCGGTCACTTGTCCAAGGTCACACAGCTTGGATACAGTAGAGTCCAGACTCAAAACCAGGTCTCTCATATTAGTTCTTTTTACTTCTCCATGTTCTATTTCATTTTTTGCCCATATGCAGAAACATCCTCAGTTATATTCCACCTCCTCCAAGTCCCTACTCAAAAGGCTGATAGTACAGAGGTAGAAGAATGGAGACCTGGGACTCCTTGGAAGAATTTACCCTTTGGGCCAGTGGTTCCTAAGAATGGCCCTGGATGCCATGTGGCAGAATTACCTGGGGACCATGGGAATAAAATGCAGCATCTTGGGTGGGCTTCACTCCAGCCCTCCTGAAAGAGTCCTTGGGGTAGGGCATGGGAATCTGTTTTAAACCCATGCCCCAGGTGATTGTAATACCGATCAGCTTTGGGACCCACTGACCCAGGCTGGCACCACTTTCCTTGTCCTCTTAGCACCATCACTGATCAGGCTGTGGCCATCTGATGCTCCTAGCAGAATTAGCCATACTCAGGTTCCCATCAGAGACATAGGCACAGGCCACCATCCAGTCCTTTGGCCTAACAGCCCTCCACTGTGACTTCTCTGAGCTTTCGTACACCCCAGAGCAAGTTTATCCAGCTCTCTGAGCTGGGGCAGCAGTACTGTCATATCCATCCCCCCGGGAGCCAACGATGGGCTCCTGCCGCTCTGCCAAGACCAGTGCAAAAGGTTACCTGCCCTGGGCCACTCTCTCTGACTCCTTGCCCTCAGATGATCAGCCCCCTGGTCTGGCTCTGTCTCAGCTCTGGTACTTAAAACCCCTGGCTTTCTTCCTGGCTCCCCAGGACTTCTGCATCCCTGTGTGCCCAGTGCCCAGCTCTGGGTGATACCAATTATTATTTAGGTTGGTGCAAAAGTAATTGTGGTTCTTGCCATTACTTTTAAGAATCACAATGATTGTTGTTGTTGTTGTTGTTGTTGTTGTTGTTGTTTTGAAACAAGGTCTTGCTCCATCACCCAGGCTGGTGTGCAGTGGCTCAAACTCAGCTCACTGCAACCTCCGCCTCCCAGGTTCAAGCAGTTCTCCTGCCTCAGCCTCCTGAGTAGCTGGGATTACAGGCGTGCACCACCACGCCCAGCTAATTTTTGTATTTTTAGTAGAGACAGGGTCTCACTATGTTGGCCAGACTGGTATCGAACTCCTGACCTCAAGTGGTCCACCCATTTTGGCCTCCCAAAGTGCTGGGATTACAGGTGTCAGCCACCTGTAATCTCCAATGATGTTTTTTGCAGACTAGAATAGCTTACTCTAAAATTCATAGGGAATCTCAAGGAACCTGAATAGCCAACACAACCCTGAAAAAGAAGAACAAAGCTGGCGGATTCACACTTCCTGATTTCAAAACGAACTCCAAAACTCTAGCATCAAACAGTGTGGGGCTGGCATAAAGACAAACATATAGACCAATAAAATAGAATAGAGTCCAGAAACAAACCCTCACATACACGGTTAAATGATTTTAGACAGGGTACCAAGGCCATTCAATGGAGAAAAGACCAACCATCTTTCCAACAGATAGTGTAGGAAAATTGGATATCCGCATGCAAAAGAATGAAGTTAGATCCTTACCCAATACCATATATAAGATTTAATTCAAACTGGACCCATGACCTAAATGAAAGACCTAAAACTATAAAACTCTTAGGAGAAAACATAGAACAAAACCTCCATGATAGTGGATTTGGCAGTGATTTCAAAGACATCCTATAGAATGGGAGAAAATAGTACGTCTATCTGATAAGGGATTCATCTCCAGAATACATAGAGAAATCCTAAAATTCAATGACAAAAACCCAACCCAGTTCAAACATGGACAAAGGACTTGAATAGACATTTCTCCAAAGAAGACATACAGATGGACAACGGGCACATGAAAAGATGCTCAACGTCACTCATCACGAGAAAAATGCAAATCAAAACCACAGTGAGAGACCACCTCACATCTACTAGTATGGCTACTAACAAAAAAGAAAAAGCAGAAAATAGCAAGTGTTGGTGAGGATGTGGAGAAACTAGAATCCTTGTGTACTGTTGGTGGGAATGTAACATGTTGTGGAAAACAGTATAGCAGGTCCTTAAAAAATTTAAAATAGCATTACCATACAATCCAGCAACTCCACTTCTGGGTGTATAACCAAAGGAATTGGAAGCAGGATTTCAAGAGATATTTGTACACTCATGTTCGTCACAGCATGATTCACAATAGCTAAAACATGGAGGCAACCCAAGTGTCCATCAATGAATGGATGCATAAGTGAAACGTGGTATAGACATACAATGGAGTACATTCAGCCTTAAAAAGGAAGGAAACTCTGACACATACTACAACATAGATGAACCTTGAGGACATTATGCTAAGTGAAATATGCCAGTCAAAAAAAGACAAATACTGTATGAATCCACTTCTTGTTTTTTTAAGATGGTGTCTCACTCCGTCGCCCAGGGTGGATTGCAGTGGTACAATCTTGGCTCACTGCAACCTCAGTCTCCTGGGTTCGAGCGATTCTCCTGCCTCCACCACCTGAGTAGCTGGGATTACAGGCGTGAGCCACCACACCCAGCTGAATCCACTTTTCATTTATTTATTTATTTATTTGAGGTGCAGTTTTGCTCTTGTTGCCCAGGCTGGAGTGCAATGGCATGATCTCAGCTCATCGCAAACTCCGCCTCCTGGGTTCAAGCGATTCTCCTGCCTCAGCCTCCCAAGTAGCTGGGATTACAGGCATGCACCACCATGCCCGGCTAATTTTGTATTTTTAGTAGAGATGGGACTTCACCATGTTGGTCAGGCTGGTCTCGAACTCCCGACCTCAGGTGATCCACTTGCCTCAGCCTCCCAAAGTGCTGAGATTACAGGCGTGAGCTACCGTGCCCGGCCTTTCTGAATCCACTTCTATAAAGTGCTTACAGTAGTCAAATTCATAGAGACAGAAAGTAGAATGGTGGTCGCCAGGAGCCAGGGGTAGGCAGGGAATGGGAATTACTGTTTGATGGGTACAGAGTTTCAGTTTTGCGAGATGAAAGTCATTCTGAAGATGGAGAGTGGTAATGGCTGCACAACAATATGAATGTACTTAATACCACTAACCTGCACACTTAAAATGGGTAAGATGGTATTTTATGTTATATGTGTTTTATCACTATAAAAAATTGGGGGGAAAGGGAGAATGAAAGGAGAAGAGAGAAAATAAAAAGAGACTGGAAAATACAGAGACAGACCAAGAGTGAAGGAGAGACAGAGATAGAAGAAGAAAAGAGCAGAACAGGCACACAGAGATGGGGAGAGTAAAGGGGAACTGAGGGGAGGAGAGGGTGAGAGGTAGAAGCAGAGAGAGAGATGAAGAGAGGATGTGGGGAGAAAGAAAGTGACAAGCACCAAGAGAGACTGAGAAAGAGTGACAGAGAGAGAGAAAAAAAGAGAAAAGAGAGGAAGGAAGAAAAGCAGAAAAGGAGGGAAGGAGGAAGGGAAGAAAGAAGAAAGGAAGGGAGGGAGAGAGGGAGGGAGGCAGGTAGGGAAAAGAAAGGGAGGGAGAGAGGGAGGGAAGAAAGAAGGAAGGGAGGGAAGAAAGAAGGAAGGAAGGGAGGGAGGAAGAAAGAAGGAAAGGAGGGAGGAAGGGAAGAAAGAAGGAAGGGAGGGGAGACAGAAGAAAGGCAGAAAGGGAGGAAGGGAGGGAAGAAAGGAAGGGAGGAAGGGAGAAAAGAAAGAAGGAAGAGAGGAAAGAAAGAAGGAAGGGGGGAAGGGAGGAGAGAAAGAAGGAAGGAGGGAGGGAGGGAAGAAAGAAGAAAGGAGGGAGGGAGGGAAGAAAGAAGGAAGGAGGGAGGGAGGGAAGAAAGAAGGAAGGAGGGAGGGAGGGAAGAAAGAAGGAAGGAGGGAGGGAGGGAAGAAAGAAGGAAGGAGGAAGGGAGGAGAGAAAGAAGGAAGGAGGAAGGGAGGAGAGAAAGAAGGAAGGAGGGAGGGAGGAGAGAAAGAAGGAAGTTGGAAAAAGACAAGAGGTGGAGGGAGGCTGCTCTGGGGCAGGGAGGGGCACGTACTACTGAACGAGGATCTTCACCAGGTTGATGTGGCCGCAGGTGGCTGCAGCATGGAGAGGTGTCCACAGCTCGTTGTCCTTGGCGTTCACATTGGCACCATGGGAGAGGAGCAGCTTCACAATTTCCTCAAAGTTGTCGATGCAGCACTGGGAGAGACACACAGGCAGAGTCAGCTCCAGGCAGGGCACTGGGCCCCGGGCCCTGGTCAGGACACACCAGGTTCCCCGCAAGAGGCCATGAGGAAGACTGTGGAAGGCCTGTTTGAATCCAGCTCCATGATGTTCACACTGTAAGCATTGCCCTTGACCTTGAGCAAGCCACTTAACCTCTCTGGGCCTCAGTCTCCTTGTGAGTAAAAATGAAGTTAATAATATGTAAGATAAAAATATACAGGTAAAAAACACTCTGTCAGCTATAAAGTGCTTTGCAAGTATCAGTGAAATGGGACAAAATTTTGAATGAGGTTTTAAAACGTATTTTTTAATCCCAAAAGGCTTTCTCCAAAGAAAATTATATGGAGAACTCTCACTTAGATGACCAGTAAATTCAAACAGGATTGGTTGGGTTGAGGCAGGGGTGTGTGTGTTGGGAGGGTGTCCCCTTTCCTGGCAGTGGCCTCCAAAGCGGTTTCAAGATCATAGCTTGAAACCTCTGACTTAGGAACCTCTGACCAGGTAGCTCAGATCTTGGGGAAGCCTTCAGGTAACCAAGACTCCCCCTGAAATAATCCAGCTCAACGTGAGCATTCTAGGGGTCCTGATAGTCCCTGCGAGGAGACAGCCATGTTTGTGTTCCTGCCTACATGCTGCAGTGATGGCACGTGGGGCAGCCCCAGTAAGGGGGAAGGGCCAGCAGCCTGCAGCCTCCTAGAGAGAACGCAGGCTCCAACACAGGTGGCCCCCAGGCTCCAGGGACAGGGAGGAAAAGATCCCAAGGAGACAGAGGAGCGTCAAGCTAGGCACCAGGATGGGAAAGGCCGGGAGAGAGGAGAAAGACAGGGAGCCACTTTACAGACTGCGGGATGAAACTCTTCCCTAGAGGTGACCTCTGCGAAAGCCAGCAGGGGACACAGCAGGGCTCACAGGCTCAGCCCTGCCCACCCAGATAAGGGCTTGGGGCTTGGTCATCAGTGCAATGGGAGACATTGAGTTACACTACGAAGGGGAGCATGATCAGAATTGCTTTTAAAAACAACTGCTCCTCTGATTACACGTGGAGAACAGATGGTGTGTGTGCGCGTGCACGCCCACGTACATGTGTGCACGTTGGGAGGGGACAGTGAGGAGCTGTGTTGAAGCCACCCAGTTAAGAGATGATGGTGGCCTGGCCTCCAGAAACGACCACAGGGATAGAGAGAAGAGTCCAGACGCCAACAGAAGGAGCAGGAGCGGCCGTGGAAGCCCACGGCCCCAGGTGGCTGTGGGCGTGGGTGTAGGCGTGGGATGGGGCGGCACCACAGCCCCACCCCTATCCCCAGGGAAGCCAGGGCTCAGCGCCAGGACATGTGGGAAAGGAGCAGCCGTTTGCACAGATGGCGCCAGAGACCCAGGTTCTTTCTGCGCCAGCCGGTCTTTGCGGGGCGGGGGTGCGGGGGTGCGGGGGGGACGGTGGCTAGGTCTGAGGACATTCTCTCCGGACAGGCAGGGAAAGGTGTGACCCTGTAAGCGAGTGGGTGCTGCTTCAGACGGGCGGGAGAACCACGCAGCAGCACGGCGCGGCCGGCAGAGGGCGCCAAAGGCAACGAAGCGAGGCTGCGGTGGAAGGTGAGCATCTCCAGGCCTTCACTGGGAGATGCCGCTGAGGAGCCCCTGGGGTCAGGGGCAAGAGGGCCAGAAATCCAACCCCTAGAGACCGCAGGAAACATAGGGGGTGGAGTGGAAGCCTCTGGTTGAAGGGCGAGGGGACTGTGTGCCCAGATGGCAGAGTCTTGTGAGATAGATGTCCAGGGGCTGGACCAGTCTACACCTGGGAGACCCGGCCTGAATAAGGGCTGCGTTGGGGGCTGGGTGCAGGGGCGCACATGGAGTGGGTGGTAGCTGGTGGAGTGGGCGGGCCTCCTCCTCTGCTGCGGCCGAGGTGGGAAATGGCACCTGGCAGTCAGCCGCCTCCTCCCGCCTCCTCCCGCCTCCTCCCACTTCCTCCCTTCCCAGCTTCAATCTATCACCAGGTATGAATTGCACATCTCCTAAATCGCTGTCCCCACCCTCTGCCCTGGATGAAGTTTCATCATCTTTCCCTACCTCCCCGTCATTCCCCTTCCTAACACCCTCGACCAGAGAGAGCTTCTTCATTAATCTAATCATGTTGCTCTCCGTTTACAAACCTCTGAGGGCTCCCTGTTGCCAAGAGAAGAAAATCCACACTCCTTTGCCAGGCATGGGAAGCTCTTCTTAATGTGCCCCCATCTCCTTTGTTGCACTGGAGCTACAGTGACAATAGCAGTGATAACAATAGCAACAGCCCCGGCAGCAACAGTAATAGCATGTCACATCACATTGTCAATAACAATGTCTAATGCTTTCTGAGGACTTACAAGAGTCAAGCAGCTTGCTAAGCTTTGGCCATGCATTGCCTCATTTAATCTTCAAAACAAGCCTATGAGGATTGCTCTTTTTACAGACGGGGAAATGGCCCCTTTTATAGATGGGGAAACTGGCTCAAGGAAGCCTGGTGGTACAAGGTCACATGGAGTAAGATGAATTGAAATCCAAGCAGTCTGACTCCAAAGGCCCTGTTCTCAACCCTCTCAGTCTCACCACCTGCACCTCTCCCTGAGGCTCCCTGCTCTCTAACTGTGCCACATGGAACCCTCCAGACTCCAAACTTGAAATGCTGAGCCCCTTTCTCAAGGCTTTGCACATGCTATTCCCTCGGCTTTGAATGTTCTGCCTTATTCTTTTCTAGCTAGCAAGCTCCTACTCATCCTTCAAGACCCAGCTCAGATATCCCTTCCTCTTAGAAGTCTTTCTCAGTTCCCCTTTGAGTCGAGTCATCGGTTCCCAGTTTTAAGCTGCCACTGAGCCCCTGCCTATCTCCGTGCAAGGGCTGACCACACTGCATTACCTCTATTATTATTTATGTGCCTGTGGCCACAGCACACTCTGAACTCTGAGAGCAGGGACTCTGCCTAACTTACTTCTGGGGCCCTGTTCCCAGAAGACAGCTGGCATGGAGTGGGTACACAATAGGTATTTGTTGAAAAAATAAATGGAAGCTCACAGGCTAATGAGGGTGGATGTCTCCCTGAAAGGCCCCAACATGGGGCCCAAGGCACGTGTGGTGGTTGGGGTGAGGTGCGGGTTTCAGCTGGTCAGCCAGGAGCTTCATGCAGCTAAACTCGGAGCCTGGCGAGTTCCCGCCTCCCTGACCACGCATCCCCAGGGGCCCAGGAACCCACAGGAGAAACTGGTCCTGAGAAAGCAATGTGACCAACAAGGAAGAAGTTGAGGCACTATGTGAGGTGGCGGGAACCCCAAGCTAAAAAAAGGGTGCCACTTGAGAGTTCATTGCAAGCAGGGATGGCAACTCAACAGGGGACCTGGGGCTCAGAGAATTGCAGCTGTGGTGCCCACAGAGCAGTTAAGACTGCCTTGTTTCAAATCCTGACTTAAACACTCAATCACTGCTTGACCTTGGACAAAGAGATTTCACCTCCCCAAGTTGCACGGTATAATAAGACAGCCACTGTTTCTTTAAATCCAGTAAAATTAAATAAACTTCAAAATCCATTTCCTCAGTCACATCAGCCACATTTCGAGTGCTGTGGATCCGCGTGTGGCTGGTGGCTATTGTACTGTGCACTGCAGAAACACAGAACATTTCCATCATTGTAGAAAGTTCTATTGAATAGGCTGCCTCAGTTTCCTGAGCCATAAAACAGGGATGATAATATTTCTTTTTTTTTTTTTTGAGACAGAGTCTCACTCTGTCACCCAGGCTGGAGGGTAGTGGCATGATCTCAGCTCACTACAACCTCTGTCTCCCGGGTTCAAGCAAATCTCCCTACCTCAGCCTCCCTAGTAGCTGGGATTAGAGACACTCACCACCAAATTCCAGCTAATTTTTGTATTTTTAGTAAAGACAGGGTTTTGCCATGTTGGCCAGGCTGGTCTTGAACTCCTGACTTCAGGTGATCCACCTGCCTTGGCCTCCCAAAGAGCCGGGATTACAGGCGTGAGCCACCACGCCTGGCCTGGGGATGATAATATTTCTGAAGTTTGTTGTAAGGATAAAAATGAAATATATAACTGAAGTAATTTGCAGGGAAGTGGTCACATGATACATTTTAATAACTTTTAATAAATAATAATAATATTTATCCAGTATCGAGTGCTGCTTAAAGTTTTACATGTGTTCATTTAATCCTCACAACCACCCAATGAGATGGGTACTTGTTATTCCTCTTTTAGAGATGAGGAAACTGAGGCACAGAGAGCTTAAGTAACTTCCCCACAGTCACATAGCTAGTGGGTGACAGCTCCGGGCCACAAGCCTGACTGTCAGTCCTGACATCCTCACCTTTCTGGCACGCAGTAGGAGGTAGCCCACACATTTGATCCTCATGCCCATGGCTGGTGGGTGCAGCCCAGCCTTGGGAATTGGCATTTGGGTCTCCATTTCAGGGCAAGCTATAGCAGCCACCCGCTCTCTGCTCCCTAGTGGAGTCCCAGGCCCTCTAGGGTTCATGGAGCTGGGAGTCTGGGAGTTTCCAATGGCAGATGGAGTGGGGGTACTGAGGCAGCTGCCTGAGAGATGCCTGAGGCCCTGTGAGAGAGAAGCCAAGAGGACACACAGGGACCTGCCCCTGGGGCTTACGGGCAGGGCGTGGCCATTCTCTGTGCATCCCACCCCTGCCCTTGTACCGAGGTGGAGAGGCCCTCACCAGCCCAGGGTTCTGGTTGCCTGGCCTCTCACTCAAGTCCATCTGCTTAGAAACTCGGGCACAGGGAGGCTTTGGTGTGTTCATGCATTAATTCAACATGCACATATTGAGCACCTACTGTATGCCAGCATGGGGAAAGATGCTAGGACACACTCATAAGCAAGAGGTATGTGCTGTGCCCTCAGGCAGCTCAGCGTCTGAGTAGGGGAGAAGTCAACATCAAGTGATGACATCAATGGCTAAAATGACTAATTACGAAGGAAGAGGGCCTTCAGAAGACAAAGGGTATGTCTATCACAGCACAGCTCCCAGGCTCTTGCTGTGGACAGCAGCTAATGGGTGAAAGCACCAAGTGCTGTGGGAAGTGTGGTGGGGAGGAGCCCACTGGGTACAAGGACCTGAGAAGTTGGGTGGCTGGAGCCCAGAGAGCCAGGAGGCTTAGAAGATTGGTCATGAGCCCAGCCTCGTGCAGCCTTGTGCACTGTGGCAGAGTTTGTTCTTTATCCCCAGATTATGGGAAGACACCAGAGAACTTTGAGTAACAGGAAGAGATTTTTGGCTTAAGCATCCCCATGGCTGCTGCGTGGACAGAGAATTATGGCAGAGCCAGACTGAATGCTGGGGACCAGTTACGAGGCTGTAGCAGCATCCACGTGAAAGGTGACAGCCAGAGAAGCCATCCCCAGCAGGGAGGGCTGGACCCATCACTCTGCCTTGGAAAGGACATGTCATGATAGCACATGGCTCAAGACCATAAATCAAGACCATGTGACCTCAGGCAGGTCACATAAGTCCCGCCAACTGCCTCTGTCGCCAGGGTGGATGGGATGTCCTGATAAGTGTGAATGTGCTTCGTACACTGTCAAGCTCCAAACACACTTGCTTTCATGGGCAGGAGGGATGCAGTGAACAAAGGCTCCCTGTCCTTAGAGCCTGCATGTGCAGTCGCGTCTGCGGGCGCACACAGGGCTCTGTGGGATGGCAGTAACAGACACGCGTATCTCCAAAGTAGACAAGAGCCTTTCAGATGGGCCAGCTGCAGCTCCTCCTCCCTCCCTCATTCCCTCCTCCCTGAGGGTTCTGAGCAGGAAAGTGCCGAGAAACAGGGTACCTGTCCAGGTGAGGGGCAGGGAGCCCTGGAGCCCCAACGAGCCCGGCCTTACCTGGTGTAGGGCTGTGAGTCCGTCCTCATTGCACAAATCAGGGCTGACCTTATTCTTCAGGAAGTAGCGTACTGCAATAGGAGGGTACAGGAGTGAGCTTCCCGTTGCACACTGGGTGTGCAGGCATGCAGGGGCCCGGGTAAGACCCGCTCTCCCCCAGGCCTATGAAGAATGTAGTAACAACTCCCCATTTTACAGATGAGACAACTGACGCCCAGAATTTCCAAGAGGTAGATGCCACTGCCTATCTTATTATGGATAACAATAACAAGAACTAACAATTATTTAGCACTTCCCGGATGCCAGGCACTGAGCTAAGCAAGTTATATTTGTTGTCCAGAGGATGCACATTCTAGTCATTGAAAGCATACACTCTGGAGGTTCAAATTTGGGCACCATTCTCATTGGCTGTGCAACCTTGGTCAAGACACTTCCTTCTCTGTGCCTCAGTTTTCTCATCTGCAAAATGGGGATGATGTTCATCCTCCTCACAGTAGCAGTGTGAGTGGTCATCGAGGTGAGCCATGCCAGGGGCTCAGCACAGTGGCCAGCATGTGGTTTGAAGGTGAACTCCTGCTCTGGCAGATGTGATGATTTTTACTAAAACTGTGGGTCCCCACAGCAGGTGATGGCTCACCTATGGGTGTCAAATGCCCCTTCTTTGGCCCTACTGAGCCCTGGGGAAGGAGGGTAGCAGAGGTTTTAACCATCCCCAATCCCTAGAATTTTGTCTAGGGGTGTGTGTGTGTGTGTGTGTGTGTGTGTGTGTGTGTGTGTGTGTGTGTGTGTTCAGGGATTCTGGGTGGGCAGGGAGGCCAGAGTGAACAGCATTGACAGCCTGGAATCCCTCTTGCTTAGGATAAGCCCCCTCCCCTTATCACTGTGACCCTCCTCCCTCCTCCTCTGCCCACCACCATTCAAGCCCCAATTCTCCCCTGAACCCACGTGCAAAGGGAGAGAAGAGAGGAGCTCACCCACCAGCCCTGCAGGCCCCTTCCCAGGCTTGGCAACTGGGACCCCAGCTCTGGCTTTGGCAGGGTGATCTCAGGCCCTCCAGCTTTGCCTCTCCCCGTGGATGAGGAGTCCAGGGGGCCAGTGGGACGAGTCCACCCAAGCCCCTGGCTCCCCTTCCAGGCCACACCTCTACTGTCCCTGTCCAAATGACTCCGAGCCTGCTTGCAGGGCCTCAATAGGATCTTCCCTGGATCCAGCTTCCCAAAGGTAGACTGTGCAGTTACTGGGCAAGCGGACCTCTAGGCCAGAGTGGTGAACAGAGGGTGGCTGTTTGTGGGGCAAGTGGACGAACTTGAATACACAAGCTGGCTTGTGTGGGTGGCCCTCGTGCCATCGTGCTGATGAAGCCAGGCGTGCAGGCCCAGGCACTGCAGACAGGATACATAGGCTGGCCCTGAGCCCTCTGAGCCTCCTCCCACCCCCAGCCAAGTCTAGCTCCCTGTGAAACAGAAGCCAAAGTCCACATCCCCTAATCCCCACCGTGGACACTATCTCCACGCTACGGTTCATGCCATAGGGCAGGGCTGAGGTGGTTTCCTCGTTGATTTCTGCTGTGGGGAAACAAATTAGAAGTGAGCTGGGCAGGGTGAAGAGAAGACTATCCCTTCTGCAGGACAAAAAAACCCAGTCAGCAACTCCAGGGGGTGCCAGGGGAAAAAGAAGCTGGTAGGCAAGGGAGGAGTCCTCAAGGGCTCAGGAGCAGTGGATGGGGTGGGGGTACAGCCCCTCAGCTCCATCCTCATGAGGCCCAGCTCCCAAACCACAGTCCCAGTTGCACCCTAGGCCTCAGTGTGAACCGAGGCCCTGCGTGAAGGGGAGGTTGAGGTCACCACCCAGTAAGAGGTGGCATCTCCAGTAGACCTGCCCAGTATGCATAGCCAGTATGGGTTAAGCATGACAGGACTTTGTCCAGTACGGTCAGATCCTTTGGCGCTGTCCTGACCAACATGGTGCCACTAGCTACATCTGGCTATTACGGCTGCTTAAACGAATTAACATTCAAAATTTAGTTTCTCAGGCATGCTGTGCTCAGTTTCAAGTGGTTGGTGGCTACCATATTGGAAAGTGTAGAAATAGACCATTTTCATCTTCTTGGAAAGTTCTATTGGACGGTGCTGCTTTGGGGCATTATAAATGAAAATTAGCTCTGTCACAAATTGTTAAAATCCTTCCATGGCTCCCCATTGCTCTGGGAATAAAGTCCACAACTCTTCCTATGGCATACAAGTTCTTGCGTGATGTGAGCCCTGTCTGCAGGTCTCTAGCTTGCACAATTCTAGGTGGCACCATCCACATCATGGTTTATAAGACTGGCATCTTCTGGAGCTGTCCAGTACACAACTTGCTCAGCTGTGCACAATCATCCTACCTGCTAACCTCACCACTCTCATTTCTTAAACTCCAAACACTTTCCACAATAGTCTTTTGTCAGTTACAGAGTCACATCACTTCTTGTGGCCTCTGAGATTTTGCATAGTCTGTTCCCATTGCCTGGGAGACTCAATCATTCATCCATCCATCCACCAGCATCCATTCATCCATCCAACCACCATCATCCATGCATCTGCCTCTAACACTAACACACACACACACACACACCTTTGCCCCACTCCTCGTCCTTTAGGTCTCAGCTTAAACTCCCCAGGCTCCTGTTATATATACCCATAGCTCCTATACATCTCATTTACAGCCTTGTCACAACTACAATTATATAACTAATTATGGGCTTTGAGTGTATCTGCCCATTGGACACTAAGCCCCACAAGGGCAGAACCATGACCTGGTACTTATGGCTCTATCCCTAAAGCCTGGTACACAGTGAGTCCTCAAGAACTCCTCTAGGACCTTGACCCAATTGGCAGCCCTCTAGTTCAGTCCAAGGACAAAGCCTCTCCATCACTGAGCAAAGCAGATCACCCTCAAGGGCTGACTCCAGAAGACTCATGTCTGTAGCAGGCAGTCCTCTGCTCGCAGGCATCTCCTACAGACCCAGTGCCTGGTGTTAGCCTCAGGACCATGTAGGAGATTATGGCAAAGCCACTGATCACCAAGGCCCAACCTGCCCACGGGTGAGTGGGGGTGCCCTGAGCATTACAGATGGCTTTTGGGAGAGGAGCAGTGGCCACTATATCCCTGACTAGGATGGGTTTCTGGATGGTTCTGCTCACATTAGCTAGGGGTTCAAATCCCATGGGGTGGGTAGCAGAATAAGCTTCCTGTCCAGGAGATACTCCTGGAGGCAGAAAATAAGCATCAGCTGCCAAAAGCAGTGTTTGTGCACAGTAATTATTGGGGTGTTCTCCATGCGGTGGAGGAATCCAAGTCATGTAATTACCCTGATGTTGGGCAGTTATTTTCAGCCCAAGAGGTGGGACAAATGATTCCCATCTCTAGGAAGCCCTTAGTACTCATGAGCCAAGGCTGCCTCAGCAGTGCTACTTCCAATGTACCTAGGAGCCCAAGGCCTGGCTCTGCACCTACTCACAGGAGCAAAGTCCTCGGCGCCCAGTGCACAACCGGGCTCCCTGCCTCTAGAGTTCAGTAAGAAAATTATTATTATATTAATAATGTTTTCTGGCCAGGCACGGTGGCTCATGCCTGTAATTCCAGCACTTTGGGATGCCAAGGCATGTGGATCACTTGGGGTCAGGAGTTCAAGACCAGCCTGGCCAACATGGCGAAACCCTGTCTCTACTAAAAATACAAAAATCAGCTGGGCGTGGTGGCGCACGCCTGTAATCCTAGCTACTCAGGAGGCTGAGGCAGGAGAATCACTTGAATTTAGGAGGCAGAGGTTGCAGTGAGCCGAGACTGCACCATTGCACTCCAGCCTGGGCGACGGAGCAAGACTCTGTCTCAAAAAATATATATAAATAAATAAAAATAATGTTTTCTTACTAAGCCTTTTATTTGCACCTCGGTCAATTCAGAACCACTTTATTTTATGAGTTCACACCTATAATTATTCCTCTTATGCAGAAGAAGAGACAGAGGGCCAGGAAGATGTAGCTTAGTCACATGTGGCCAAATTAAGGAGCAGGGATTTGGCACCGGGCCTCTCTGATTTCAAAGCCCAGGCTGGTGGCCAGTGGACCATTCTACTCTGCCCTAAGGCCAGGAATAGGAACAGCATTTCTGGATTTCTGCCACGTCGAGACCTGTGCTGACAGCTGATTTGGGGACGAGGGTAATGGGAAATGGACAGCAGTGACCTTTGCTTCTGGAACTCTCTATGTATCAGACGCCCTGCAATCCCAGGCCAAGCCTCTACTTGAAGATAGAAGAGTTCAAGGATGCACAAATGGGACAGAAGAAATGGTGTTGCCCTGCTGAGGGATTAGCTCTTTCAGGGCCATTTAAAATGTAAACCTGGCTCCCTGACTCCCTGCTTAAAACCTTCTCGTGGCTCCATTCTGCTCTTTTCTTCTTCTTCTTCTTTTATTATTATTATTTTTTTAATATAGGGATGGGGGTCTCACTATGTTGACCAGGCTGGTCTCAAACTCTTGGCCTCAAGCAATCCTCCCATCTCAGCCTCTCAAAGTGCTGGGATTTAAGGCATGAGTCACCACGCCCAGTCTTCTTCTTCTTCTTTTTTTTTTTTTTTTTTTTTTTGAGACAGAGTTTAGCTCTGTTGCCCAGGCTGTAGTGCAGTGGTGCGATCTCGGCTCTTCTGCCTCAGCCTCCCAAGTACCTGGGACTACAGTCATGTGCCACCATGCTCAGCTAATTTTTTGTATTTTTAGTAGAGACGGGGTTTCACCATGTTAGCCAGGATGGTCTTAATCTCCTGACCTCGTGATCTGCCTGCCTCAGCCCCCCAAAATCCTGGGATTACAGGTGTGAGCCGCTGTGCCTGTCCGCCGCCTTCTTTTTTTAAGAGACAGGGCCTCACTATGTTGCCCAGGCTGGACTCAAACTCTTGCACTCAAGCAATCCTCCCACCTCAGCCTTCTGAGTAGTTGAGACTCCAGGCGCACGCACAACCACGTCCAGCCCCAACAGTGCCCTTGGGATGAAGTTCAAAATCCTTCCATGACCTTCATTGGGACTGACAAACTATGGCCTGTGAGCCAAATCTGGCAGGCAGCCTGTTTCTGCAAATAAAGTTTTATTGGAACACATCCACACTCATTCATTTACATATCACCTATGACTGCTTTCACCCTCCAACAGCAGAATTGAGTAGGTACAACAGAGACTGTATGGCTCACGTGGCCTACGATATTTACTATCTGGCCCTTTGCAGAAAAGGTTTGCAGACCCCTGGTCTTCAAAGTCCTGTATGGTGTGGTTCCGCCTACAGAGCTACTGCCTTGCATAATTCCAAGGCAATATGCAAATACGCTTGCATAACAGTACCTTGCACTGTTCTCATCATAGTCTGTGTGAATACAGTGCCCTGGAATTACGCAGTGTGCAGCCTGCTCAGCCACGCCAGGGGTCCTGTCTCCCTACCTCTCCCGGCTCATCTCTTGCTCTCTGGAGCACCTGGAGCAATGGAGGAAGCTGGCTTGGGTCTAAGGTGTTGCCTGGAGCTCAGGGAGCACAAAGACGAGAAAGGCACGCTTATTCCCTTCGGCCAGGAGTGTCCACACCTTCTCTCAGTTGCCCACACTCAGGGCAGCTTCTTGCCCACAAAGCCCCAAGTCCCAGGCTCTGCCATCAGTTTGTCAGAGTGACCCATTTATTCTCATGCATTTGCTTAGCTGCGGCTCTAGGCAAGTTATTCCCCTTCTCTGCTTCCATGTCCTCATCTGCAAAATGGGGATCACAACAGTGCTCCCTCATGGCATTGCTGTGGGGTTAAGGAAGACAAGGCCCTGGCTACTGTTAGCATTTATTTTAAAAATAAAAACAAAAATCAACCAGTGAGCTCTTGCTTGTGTGCCACCCTGTGCTGGATGCTGGGAATACAACCATCAACATCTTGCACCTCTCAAGAGCTTTAGAGCTGGTGGTAAAAGACAGAGGCAGTCTCCCTCCAGGGAGCTCTGAGCATATGCTGGTTCACAGACCACTGTAAGGCCACAGTCGGTGCCCCGCCACCCCCTACACAGGCAGGGCCCTACTGAGATGGCAAAGAGGTGGCTCCCGCCCTCCTCACTCACGTATCCCTGCTCCTGGCGCCGACCCCGCTGCTCCGCCTACACCTCCCTGGCA
The DNA here is from genome assembly GCF_000001405.40 of Homo sapiens. Taxonomy (NCBI): domain Eukaryota; kingdom Metazoa; phylum Chordata; class Mammalia; order Primates; family Hominidae; genus Homo; species Homo sapiens. Next base: position 38,883,488 of record NC_000020.11, on the reverse strand, counting down.
ATCTGGCTGGAATCTGGGCCAAACAGGGCCATCTGGTCCTCTCCATCTCCAGCTGTAGCAAGTGAGGCTGAGCCGGCCCATCTCGGCAGGAAGCTGGTGGCGGCTGCCTTTGCAGGGAGACATCACCGCTGACAAGCTTGTGTTTTCTTTGGCATCTGACCCACTCCGTCTCACAGAGCATCTTCCTGACCTCGAGATGGTTAGCAACATGCGACCATAGGCGTGGCTCCTGCTCCTCCTCTGGGGAAACGGAGACAGCCAGGCAGAGGTGTCTGCCCAGTGGAGGTGGACCTTGGGCAAGCTGCATCTCCCCGGGGGGTGCCCTGGGGCTGAGCTGCTGCCACCTCGCCATGTGACTTGCAGGGTCAGGTTCACTCACAAGGCCTGCCCTCCTATCTCTCTTCCTTCCTTTCCTGCCCAGTGCCCAGCAATGAGGCCTCATCCTCCCACTGCCTCCAAGGCATTGCATGATCTAGTCCCTGCCTGCTCCACACCTGCCTTACCTGGAAATCCCTCCCTGAATCCCTCACTGGTTCAGCCACACTGGCCTCTCATTTCCTAAAACAAAACAAAACAAAAACCGAGCTCTGATCCTCCAGGCCTTTGCACACACTGTTTCCTATGCCCGGAGCCTTCTTTCTTCCCATTCTTGGGCTGGCAAACTCTTCTTCATCCTTTAGGTTTTAGCCAAAATGTCACCTCCTCTGGGAGGCCTTCCCTGATTGCCCTAATCTCCATTGAGCTTCCCCATCTATTCTCTCCACACTACCCTGCATTTCTGCTTTTGTCCTTTACAGCAGCACTTACTTTGTTACCCATGGAGCTACTTGTTCCTGAGGGCATGAAACTATTTGTCAGTGTAGTCCCACAGACATGGGGCACAACAGGAGTATGACTCAGGAATAAAAAGCAATGATTGTGACTTTTGTACAAAATCGAGTGAGGCCAGATGTAGTGGCTCACACCCGTAATCCCAATGCTTTGGGAGGCTGAGGCCGTAGGATCACTTAAGGCCAGGAGTTCGAGGCTGCAGTGAGCTGTGATTGTATCACTGCACTCCAGCCTGGATGACAGAGCAGGATGCTGTCTCTTAAAACAAGAACAAGAACAACAACAACAACAACAAACTTAAAAAAAAATGAGTGAGCAGACACCCTTCCTTGAGCCTCCCTCATCAACACCACCTGACCTGGAGGCTGACCACAGCAGTCCTTCAGCCCCACCCAACACTGTCCCCCTCTGCAGGCTGGATACAGGGGACTCAACATGTCCCTCTGTCCAGGATCCCACTCCTCATTCTCTCTGCCCTGTGCCCTTGCTCTTTCTACAGCCCAGCACTAACTGTGTGCCAGGCATTGTGTTAAGCCCTTCATATCCATCAAGTCAATTAGTCCTCATAATCCAGTTACGAGGATAAGTAACCTGCTGTTATTAAATAGCTCCCTGCGATTATTGCTCCAGTTTACAGATGGGAAAACTGAGGCTCAGATTTGCATACATGAAATGATTTGCCCAAAGACACCTGGCTGGGAATGGTAGAGCTGGGATTTTCACCCAGGCCCAGCCAGCTCCGAAGAGTGAACCCTTAACCACTTTGCTAAAATGGTACCAAACAAGGACCCAGGGAAGGAAGCATATACAGCGGAGAGAAGAACAGGATGGACACAGATGTTATCATGAAGAGAGCCCACAGGGATGGCAAAAAGCTAAGAGAAAGGTCAAGAACATTGCCAATAAAGGTCAGTGTTCCAGAACATCATGTGATAGAGAAGACAGTTGCCAACAGGCATTGCTGCAGCCTTTGTGGTTACTATATTTGCAAATGAAGTCACTGAGGCACAGAAGTGAACACTGAGCCTGAGGTCCAGCGCCACCTCTGTCGGTCTCCCTGCTGCATCTCCATTGTAGGTAGACCCCAGCCTGCCCCTGCTTCCAAGCACCCTGGTGGCCTGCCTGATGTCGCCACATCCCGCCCACTGGGTTGCACCTCCTGCATGAACAGCCCAGTCCGCACTGACTTATTTCCCCCTCTTCAAGGTGCTGTCAGGACTGCTGTGTGCCCAGCCCTCTGCTCTGATAACGCCAAAGGGCCAGCACTCTCAGAGCAGCCCCTCTGCTCTCCTCCCAAGTCAAAGCTGTCCTGTGCCCCCAAGGCACTGCGCTTCCAAAAATCACCCCACTGAGCAATTGAAACCTTTCCACCCACCACTGCTCCTCCCTGGAGCAGAAATAGCCAGAAATAGCTGCTCCCAGGGAAGCCCGGCTGCCTGGAGCTGAGGGTGGAGACTCAGTCAAGTTGCATGGTGGTTTCTGCAGTGGCTGGTGCAGCCCGCCCCTCTGCCAGGCAGCTCCCCCGGGATCCTGGGTGATGACTCACCCTGGTGGACCAGAAAGACACGGGCTTCCCTCAAAGTCACATCCCCAGGACCAAGCCTCAGGTCCCAGGAGCCAGCCCCTTGCTCTTCCCCAGATAGAAAGTATCACTCTTGGCCCATTCAAGAAGAGGAGGGGTTGGACAACCGTGTGAAGACGCGTGGAAATCAGAGCCCTCGGGCCCTGCTGGTGGGAACGTAAGATGGCACAGCACTGTGGAAAACAGACTGACAGGTCCTTAAAAAGTTAAACAGCATTACCATCTGACCCAGCAATTCTACTCCTAGGTATATATTTAAGAGGAATGAACATATATGTCCACACAGAACTTTGCATATGAATGTTTTTATAGCATTAGTCGCGATATCTCTAAAGTAATACCCAAATTTCCATCAACTAATGAATAGATAAACAAAATTCCATACAATGGAATAGTATTTTTTTCTTTTTGAGACAAGGTCCCTCTCTCACCCAGGCTGGAGTACAGTGGTGTGATCAAGCTCACTGCAGCCTCAACCTCCAGGGCTCAAGCAATCCTCCCACCTCAGCCTCCTAAGTAGCTGGGAGTACAGGTGCGCACCACCATGCCCAGCTAATTTTTTTTGTATTTTTGTAGAGATGGCATTTTGCCATGTTGTCCAGGCTGGTCTCGAACTCCTCAGCTCAAGTGATCCTCCTGCCTCAGCCTCCCAAAGGGCTGGGATTACAAGCGTGAGCCACCACACCCAGCCCTGCCTGTCTTTCTCTGTCTTCACTTCACCTGGTTAATTCTTACTTAGATTCCAAGTCCCAGCTTCAATGTCATTTATTCTGCAAAGCCTCTTGCAGGTCTCCCAGGCTGGGCCAGGCACCCTTCTCATATGACTGCTGTGCCTCCCAAACTCCAAAAAGACTTAACACTATTTTATAGTTATGTATGGATTTGTCTGTGTCTTTACGACACTAAAGTTCTGGAGGGATAGGGTGAGTAGGACCATCTTTTGGCTACCGTGCTGCTCCTGTGATGTAGTTCAGGCCCCCAGTCAATTTCTGATGACCGCAGAAGTGAATGGAGCTTACCTGGCCTCTACCCAAGCCTCAGAACCAGCCAGAACATCTGTTCTTGAGCTACTCTATGCTTCTTCCTTTGGACAAGAGCATTCCCAGGCTGGGCCACAGACTTTTCCTTGTCAGAGAGAATCTTCACCCTTTGGCTTGAACAAAGAGGCCAGTTCCTCTCCTAGCATCTCTGACACCCTTAGCACCACCAGGACAAGATGGCCAAGGGGACCCCAGACACGTAGCTATAAACCTGCTCCCTTCTAGAACCTCTGTGCCCAGGACATATGTCTCTGCTAGACAGAAGGGGTTGACAGAGATTCACATCAGCTACCCAGATGCCTCTGCACATGTAACTTACATCTGGCATTGGGTGTATGCAGGAAAAGTGACAGCACACCCTTTAGGATATAAGCTCTATGCGGGCAACTCGTGTCTGTCTTCTTATGTGGGGCATGCAGCTCCTAGAGAAAGCACTCAACAAATATTTGTTGACTGAATGAACAAATTAAAAATATTTTTTTAAATTCTAAGAATAAAAAACTAAAGATACCCAGAAAACTGATGTACAAAGTAGGCCTGCAGTTAATCTTTTTCAATATGTATAGTCTTTCTGACACATGGAGGTTGGGGTGAGGTGGGGAATCACTTCCTAATGTGTGAGGGGACATTTGTGTATTCGATTTCCTCAAAGGGAGGGAGAACTGCATTTAACTCAGCTACCGTGAAGATGATATGGGCCTGTAAGATTTCTCCACCAAAGCTGCAAAGACTGTGTGCCTTGGACCCTTCCCTCTCTCTTCTTCTCCCTTCCTTCCCCTTCTCTTACCCCTCACTGTACTTAATCTCAGAGACTGAAGGCAAGGGTCCCCCTTATCCAGAAACACGAACTTGGAACTTCCTCATTCTATTCATAAATACATCAGACCCCCGCTGCACCAGGCCCCTGTTCTTTACTGATTCTACCTCCAGAATTCTCCCAGCACCTCTCCTTACAGCTTCACTGCAGACCTAGGGACCTGATCTCCCTTCCGCTCCGCAGAGCCTGGCCCGCCTAAACACGCACTGGCCGTCCGGGAGCTCTCCAAGGTATCTGCTCTTATCCCAATTCCCCTCTCCCCAGATGCCCTGAATGCCTCTTTCTGACTCGCTCTTGCTCTCTAAAACCCATCTCTCACCTCACTTCTCCTTCCAGCTATCAATCCTGAATTTTTAAAAATAGTCCATTTACTTTATATCTCCAGGCAAGTAATAGATAAAAATATTTCCAGCCCTGCAGGTAGGAGATACATGCATATAAACACTGTAATAGCTTCACAGCCATCATAATAGCATCTAACATTCATTGACTATTTTCCAAGTATAAGGCACTGTACCAGGATGTTACATGTATTATCCCAGATCCCTGGGATGCCTCAATCCCCACAACAACCACATGACTTAGGTGCTATTATTAGACCATTTGACAGATAACTTATATGATTTTCCCAAGATTATTTAGCTAGTAAGCACTGAGACTCAAATTCTAGTCTGGTTGATTCCATACATAACTGGTATTTCAGGCATGACTAATTACAAGGGACCCTCACTCAAATATAGCCAAGAATAAAATCCATTCCTATCAATGTTTAGGAAAAGGCAACAAGCTGTGTATGAAGGGGGAAGTTCCTTCAGCTCACACCTGTCCACTCTGAAGCTTCCCTCTGATTTCCCTGGTCCTGTTCTGCTGTCCCAAAACTACCTCCCCTGTCTCTGCCTTGGCTTTCAATTTTGGTCTTTCCTAAAGATGCTACTCTGCCTCAGCCCTGTATTACATAGGACATGAACAAGTGTCTGCCTGGGGAAATAAAACAAGATTTCTGAAAATTTTAAAGGTAACCACATAAGAAATTGAAGTCACTACTTGTATCTTCCATATTATCGATGGAAAAGATAAATGCAAATCAACACAGTATTCATTAAAGTCACAAAATGAAAGAAATAATAAAAGAAATAAATGCCACAAATCACGAAGCAAGATGACCGACATCCAAACATGTACCAGATGAGTAAATTGAATCATTTATCCTTCCCATAAAGCAGCAATGATTTGGTTGCCAAAAAAAAAAAAAAAAAAAAAAAAAAACAACTGTGTGCTGCTTACAAGAGATATATTCCAAACAAAATAACGGAGACTAAAATTAAAGGAATGTTCAAATATAAAACAGGCAAACACAAACACAAAGAAAGTGGAGGTGGCAGCATTACTATTATGAAGAATGGAATTCTGAGCAAATAAGGAGGTAATCAACTTTAGGCTGATCAAAAATGAGATACTTCAAAATGAAATTATAAACAGAAAGCAGATCAGTGGTCGCCTGGGGCTAGCGGTGCAGGAGGGGAGAATGAAGTCATTATCAGTGAGGAAACCTTATGAACTGCATAATCAGCAAAGTCAAATTCAGTAAAGCAAAAATGGTTAGTATAGGCTGGGTGTGGTGACTCACACCTGTAATCCCAGCACTTTGGGAGCCCGAGGCGGATGGATCACCTGACGTCAGGATTTCGAGATCAGCCTGGCCAACATGGTGAAACCCCATCTCTACTAAAAATACAAAAAAAATTAGCCGGGCGTGGTGGTGGGTGCCTGTAATCCCAGCTACTCAGGAGGCTGAGGTGGAGAATTGCTTGAACCTGGGAGGTGGAGGTTGCAGTGGGCCGAGGTCGCACCATTGCACTCCAGCGTGGGCAACAAGAGCGAGACTCCAACTCAAAAAAAAAAAAAAGTTAGTATATAAGTCAGAAGCACAGTTTTCCTAGGAATTTTCAGCACACATTCTCCCTAAAGAAAAGATCAGAGGGCAGACAAAGATTTACGAACAAGGATGTTCACAGCAGCATTGTTTATATGCATATTGTTTATAAGTGAGAAATCCTGGAAGCAACCCAAATGCCTAAACAATTGGAGGTTGATTTGGTAAATTATGAAACATCCATATAATGGAATATTCTGCAGCTGGTATCTTTGAGGAATTTCTAATGACATGGGAAAATGCTTGATATATAACATAGAATGGAAAAACAAAGAGTCAAAACTTTACATTCAATGGAATCTCAACTGGAAAGGAAAAAAATGCTTTCCATACATCCACACACTTTTCATTGGAAAAAAAATACAGTAGCTATGATTTATCAGGGATTTTTATTTTGTGTTTGCCAGTATTTCCCAAGCATTTTAAAATCCATATGTACTACCTTTATAATCAGAACTTCTCAATTTCACTAAAAAACAAAAACCTTCCGCAGAATGATAGCCAAGTGGTAAGAACTCTATTTCTGCTCAAAGTAGCTAGTGCAGAAACAAAGTCTCAACCTGGCTGACCCCATGAAGGAAGTGCTAAAGCTGGGATTCCTGTATTGAGTAGGAAGTTAAATAGCAACAATAATACAAACCATTTTGTTTGGAGAGTGCAGGGGTTGGCACACTGTGGTCTACAAACCAAATCTGGCTTAATTTTATACTGCTTGCAAGCTGAGAATGGCTTCTATTTTTTTTTTAATGGTTGAAAAAAATCAAAGAAGAGTAATATTTGGCAATACATGAACATTACATGAAAGTGGCATATCAGTGTCCAAAAACTAATTGGAACACACGCTCCCTTGTTATGCATTGCCTATGGCTGTTTTGAGGCTCCAGCAGCACAGCTGAGGAGTTAGACAGAGACCATATGGCCACACAGCCGAAAATATTTCTTATCTAGCCCTTTGCAGAAAAACTTTGCTGATCCTCAGGGTAATGCTTTTCAGCTAACAAAATATGTTCAATGGCTGAGAGTGGTGGCTCATGCTTGTAATCCAAGCACTTTGGGAGGCCAAGGCGGGCAGATCACCTGAGGTCAGGAGTTCGAGACCAGCCTGGCCAACATGGTGAAACCTGTCTCTACCAAAAATACAAAAATTTAGCTGGGCATGGTGGTAGGCACCTGTAATCCCAGCTACTTGGGAGGCTGAAGCAGGAGAATCGCCCGAACCCGGGAGGCGGAGTTGCAGTGAGTTAAGATCCCACCATTGCACTCCAGCCTGGGCAACAAGAGCGAAACTCCATCTCAAAAAAAAAAAAAAAAAAAAGTTCAAAACCACAGTCTCATTTCACCCTCACAATAAAAGTCTCCTGGTCCCTGGTAGGAGAGGAAGAAACAAATATAAGTCCAAGGTGAACCCTGGGATCGTGGCCAGGAAGGGAACAGACAGATCGGGCCCAGTTCCTTCACCTGTCAAGAAGTGAAAGGTGCACGAACCTCCCCCGAGAGCCTGCTGTTGCTTCTGGCTGTCCCCACTGTCTCTACCCCCGGCCCCAACTCAGCCACCTCTCCCCTCTGAAAGCAGCCACATTTCCTGTCAAGAGCGTGACCTTCTGAAACCTGCATGGTGGAGGCTGCAGCTGCAAAAAGGATGGTATTTTTATCCAGACCCTGCTTCCTGTTTGCTTCGCTGGGGGGTTTTGTTTGCGGGTGTTTGATTTTGTCATTTCTGATACAGACTCGGTTCCCATGTCAAAACAAAACAGAGAAGTCTGGCTCCTGCAAGGTATGCTGACTGCCTTGCAGCCCCACCTGCCTGGGGGGCCCTGTCCTGCTACTCTCCCTGCATGCTGCACAATCTCCTGTGACTTCCAGATACCCATCTTCTGCCCGTGCAGCAGCAGAAACCAGGGCAGCTGGGTGGGCAGAGAGGAAACAGGAGCATTTCTGCTGCAGGAAATGGAAAAATCCACTCTCTTATCAGACAGGAACAGCTAGAGAGTAGCTGGCTGGGCCCGGAGGGGAGCAAGCTGCAAGTTTTCCAGGGCTTCTGGAACCCTCTGTTCCTGGCTCAGAGAGGACCAGGACAGGATGTAGGTAGAGTGATGTATGGGACTTGGGAGCCATTTGCTGAAAATGTCCTGAGCTCTCGGACCTGCAGGATGGATCATTTGCTGATGCTCCCAGCAATAGACAAAAATGCCATGGTCTTCAACCCTCGTATCCTCACAGCTCAGCCAGATGTGGGAACAGACAGCAGATGCATATCAGCATCTAACAAGCCTGCGATAAGAAGAGCTCATGTTTACTGAGCACTTGCTGTTGCCCAGCCCTGAGTCTAGCATGTGTAGGAAATGATCTCATTTAATGCTTACAACAGCCCAAGGCAAATGTGAGGCAGGCTCTAATGAGCTCCTATTTTACAGTTGGGGATACTGAGGCACAGTGAGTTTAATTAACTTGCCCCAATCTACTCAGCTGGTAAGAGGCTCCAATACCCCCACACTTGACCCATGCTTGCTCCACCATGAGAATGTATGAGAGAGCCAAACTTGACCCCAGGTTTTAAGAGTTGGGGATCTGCATGCAGCCCAAAGCCTTCCTGTTTCCTCTTCTGCCAGCAAGCCTAGTGCCAGGCTCTGAGCCCAAGGGATGAAAGGGCCAGTCTGACCTTTGCTCCAACCACTTCCACCCTGGAGAGAAGCCATCAAAGCACACTGTTGGGGAATATGCAGTCTACCTAAGCATTGCACCTGGTATGAAGACACACGTGTAGTGGTTCAGAATTCAGACCCCACCATTTCCCAGTGGTTTGATCTCAGATGTGTCATCTCCTCTATCTGAGCCTCAGTTTCCCCATCTGTAGAATGGGGACTATAATCTCATAAGGTTGTCTGAGAATTAGATTATAAAGTGCTGACCATAGTGTCTGGAATGAGTAAAGTGTTTAGCTACTAGCTGGCTCTCCCCTACCCCACCTCCTGGCTCCAGCAGGCACCCCTCAGGAATGTAGGGCCCAGTCTTCAAGCTCCAAGACAACAAATAGCAGCACCAGATACAGTTATCTTTGGAGATCTGTGGACTGACTACAAGATAAGGCCAAAGGGCAGTTTGGGCATTGTGGTCAGTCTCCAAGATGCCACCCAAGTACCCCAGCCTCCTAGGATTCACCTTCTTGTCCAGTTCCCTCCCCCAGTGAACAGGGCTAATGTGTCACCAATAGGATGGAGTGTGCCTTGTGAGTCTGGGTCATAAAAGATGTTTCAGCTGGCCAGGCACGGTGGCTCATGCCTGTAATCCCAGAACTTTGGGAGGCCGAGGCGGGCAGATAACCTGAGGTTAGGAGTTTGAGACCATCCTGGCCAACATGGTGAAACCCTGTCTCTACTAAAAATACAAAAATTAGCCGAGTGTGGTGGCACATGCCTGTAATCCCAGCTACCTGGGAGGCTGAGGTAGGAGAATCGGTTGAACCCAGGAGGCAGAGGTTGCAGTGAGCTGAGATCACGCCAGCCTGGGCAACAGAGTGAGACTCCATCTCAAAAAAAAAAAAACAAAAAAAAGATGTTTCAGCTTCTGTCTTGCCCCTTGGATCACCTGTTCTGGGAAAGCCAGCTGTCATAGTGTGGACTTAGCAGTCCTGTGAAAAGACCACCAGTGAGGGAGTGAGGCCTCCTGCCAACAGCGTGTGAGCGCCATCTTAGAATCAGATCCCCTAACCCAGTCAGGCCTTGGCCCACATATTGACGACAGCCTCCTGAGAGACCCTGAGCCCAAACCACCCAGCGACCCCGGGTTCCTGACTCACAGAAACTGTGAGAACACAGACATCTGTTGTTACTTTCACTTAACACCTTTTGGGGTGATTTGTTACGCAGCATACATAATGAGTGCCCCCAGAGAAGAGGCTCAACAGGAGGAAGTGGTCTCAAACCTGAAGGCATCACGCTGAGCTGGGCACCACGAGAACCGAAGAGCCCAGGCCTCCCAGACGTCTCAGAACCCAACCTCCCCCTCACCCACAGCCAGTCAAGTTTCCGTTAACCAGGGAAATTCTTTGCTGAACCCCACAGCTGACTAAGGGTTTCTATTTCCACCCACAGTGCAGAGAACCGTCCACATTTGTCACTCATCACCCAGGTCTGTTTCTTGTTCTGGGAGCACAGCCCAGGCTTCCCCACCGTGTGAGGATGGAACTGGGTCCTGACGCACCCTCCTGAGCTAAGGGTGCCACTGCCCTGGCAGGAGAGGTGGGACGGAGGTGGAAACCCCTGTCCTCAGCAGCCATGCACAGTTTTCTGATCAGCAGGGGAGTTTTGACCTGCTCTGTTTCCGACCTGGGCCACTTCATCCCTCCTTAGGCACCCTGATGGTCCTCCGCTCCCGGGAGGTCACCATATTAATGCCAAACTTAGTGCCGACACCCGATCAGCATAGCGCACTACAGCCCAGATCTCCCAGACCCAAGTGATCCTCCTGCTTCAGCCTACCGAGTAGCTGGGACTACGGGCATGCGCCACCGTGCCGCACACCCACAGTTTTCTAAATCACAAACCTAAGTGCTCCCCTCTCTCCTTCTCAGAAACCTCTCCTGGCTCCTCTCTGCCTTCACAGGGTTCGTGGTCTAGCCCAGTGGTTCTCAGTGATCCCTGGACCAGCAGCAGCAGCAGCACCTGGGAATTTGCTGGCAATGCAAATCCGGTGGCCCTACCCCAGCCCTGCTGGATCAGGAACCCTGCAGGAGGGGGGTGTCTAACAATCTACGCTTTAACAAACCCTGCCAGTGATTCCAGTGCACTGTCAAGTTTGAGAATGGTGTCTCCAGCTTCCTCTCTAACCAGTCTTCTCTGCCTCCTGCGCTCTAGAAATGCCCAACTCCTCTCTCCCTCCTTTCCCGCTCCGCAAATGTTCGCCAGGCACCAACTCTGCACCAGGTGCAGGGCTACAGCAGTGAACCAGACAGACGCCAGTCTGCCCTCTCAGAGCTTGCAATCTGCTTCCCTAGTCTGGAATGCCCTTCCCTCCTTCCTCCAAGCAGAGTCTCTGCCCAGCCGTCACACCCAGTGCAGGAGGCATTCAATAAACATTAGGTGAACAGTAAGTGAGCAAATGATTAAATGACTGAAGGCACCACCCGGTGAAGTCTTCCTTGACTCTGACTTAAGTGCCCTCAGCAGGCTCTGTGCACCTCAGTCAGAGTGCCTGCCACCCTCCACGGTGTCCAGGGCTGGGGAGCACTTGAAATGTGCATAATCCAGATTGAGACGTGCTAGGGGTGACCTTGAAGATTTAGTGTGAAAAAGATATGTAACATACCCATTAATATTTTTATACTAAATACATATTGAAATAATGTTGAGTTAAATAATTATTCAAATTAATTTCACCTGTTCCTTGCCTGCTTTACTGGAACTATTAGAACATTTAAAATTACATATGTGGCTTACATTATTTTTCCATTGATCAGAGCTGAGCTAGATTGTAAATACTTAGTTACATTACCATGGGCACACCTGCACCCACAGTCACATGACGATGAGCTCTGTGAGGGTATCTCTGCCCATTTATCTTCCCTCCGTCCCTCCCTCTGTTCCTTCCCCTTTCTTTCCCTCCCTCCCTCCTTCCTTCCCTCCCTCCCTCCCTTCCCCTTTCTTTGCCTCCCTCCTTCCTTCCTTCCCTCCCTCCTTCCTTCCCTCCCTCCCTCCCTCCCTTCGTTCCTCTCTTCCTTACTCTCTACCTCCCTACACTCCTCCTTCTCAATCCTTCCCTTTCATCCCCCTTCTCTCTCCTTCTTCCCACAGACATTGATTGAACATCTGTTCTTGTATCCCTCCATGAAGCTTGGCACAAAGCAGGTGTCCACAATGTTTGCTGAATGAATAAACCAATCCTCAGAATGCATACTGGCCCAGAGGTGACCCTGAGGGCATTTGCCTCCTATTGAATTCCCCATACCTGCTTGTTTGAGTGCAGGTTTCCCATTTCATTTCAAAAGGAGCCAAATTCCAAAGATGTTCTTATGTAACATGGGGCTGGGGTCAGTTTTCTTCTTGCATACGGGGTTCATGTGCGCTCAGGTACTGGGGCCAGGACTCTGTGTACAGGACACCTTGTTCTCAAAGCTCCAGGAGGTTGGCCAGGGCGTGGGCTTGAGCTTGCGGCTTTAGGGTCAAGCTCTCTAGTGAGAGGAGGGCACCAGGCTGAGCTATGTGCTGCCTCACCCACACCTCCGAGGTCCTGGGATGATGAGGGTACACACGGGTCAGGGAGATGCAGGCATCCGAGCCCTGTTTAAAGGTGCAGCTGCGGTAAACTGGGGCCCAGGTGTGAATCACTGCAGGACTGCAGTAAACTGGGGACTGGGTGTGAATCACTGCAGGAATTACATGCCTGCTTCCTGATAAGTCTCCGTCACAGCTGCCACTAACCACGCCCCAACCCTCCAGCCCTCCAGTTTGAGAGGCTGCAAGACACTAGAATGAGCCACAATATCCCAGCCGAGCTGCCTCTTGGAGCTGAGAACGCAGCAAGGAAATTGGCCCAGAGTCTGGCCCTTCATGTCTCCGGTCCTGCTTGCAGCTAAGACAAAGTTGTGGCCCCTACAGTATGGGCCATCAGCCAGCAGGAGCATCCCTGTCCCTTCCCTTCCCACTGTTTCACACCTTCCTAACTTTGCACTGAACCACCAGAGGCTTTCACTGCCCCAGGGCCCCTGCTTGTGCTATTTTGTTCTGCCTAGAACACTCTCCTCTAGCCCAGCCTCCCCATCCTTCTGCATGGCTGGCTCAGTTCTCATCCTTCAGGTCTCTTAAGTGTCACCTCCTCAGAGGGACCCACCTGACTGGCCTTCCTATACACACACTGTCCCTCTGTTCCCTATCAAAGCACCTTGCTTACTCCTTCACAGCATTTAGTCAGACTTTTAAATGGTAGGTTATGTGTATGTGGACTTGTAGTTTCCCCCTATAGTTTATAAACCCTACAAGGACAGGGACCTTTTCTATTTACTTATAAATGAGTCCTGGCACACCACAGGTGCTCAATAAATTTTTGCTCTGCAGGCCGGGCGTGGTTGCTCACACCTGTAATCCCAGCACTTTGGGAGGCCAAGGCGGGTGGATCACTTGAGGTGAATCACTTGAGGTCAGGAATTCAAGACCAGCCTGGCCAACATGGTGAGACCCCATCTCTACTAAAAATACAAAAATTAGTCAGGCATGTTGGTGGGCACCTGTAATCCCAGCTACTCAGGAGGCTGAGGAAGGAGAATTGCTTGAACCCAGGAGGTGGAGGTTGCAGTGAGCTGGGATCGCGTCACTGTGTTCCAGCCTGGGCGACAGAGAGAGACCGTGTCTTAAAAAAAAAAAAAAATAAATAAATAAAATTTTTGCTCTGCAGTGAAGGCAGGCAGACAGGTCCATCTTTATGTGGCAGCGGGATGGGGGTGGGGCAGGGATTTGCAGGGGAGGGGGTTAATGAACTGCCACTTTTGCCTTAAGGAATCCTATCTTCCCCTTTAATATATTCCATAGGCCAGGACATGACTTTCCAGGCCCTCAAACCACACATCTAAAAAATCTTCGCATATAAGTTGAGCAAATGAAGGCTCACACAGGGTCCATACTATGTGATTCCACTTGCATGACTTTCCAGAAAAAGCAAACTAACAATATACTTCACACCCACTAAAATGACTATAATTTCTTTAAAAACAGACAATAACAAGTGTTGATAAGCATGTGGAGAAACTGGAACCCTTGTACACTGCTGGTGAGGATATAAAATGGTGCGTAGCTACTGTGGAAAACAGTTTGGCAGTTCTCCAAAAAGTTAAAAATAGGCCAGGCGCGGTGGCTCACGCCTGTAATCCCAACACTTTGGGAGGCTGAGGTGGGTGGATCACCTGAGGTCAGGAGTTCGAGACCAGTTTGACCAACATGGTGAGATTCCATCTCTACTAAAAATACAAAAATTAGCTGGGCATGGTGGTGCACGCCTGTAATTCCAGCTACTCGGGAGGCTGAGGCACGAGAATCACTTGAACCCAGGAGGTGGAGGTTGCAGTGAGCCAAGATCGTGCCACCCGCATTCAGCCTGGGTGACACGTCAAGACTGTCTCAAAAATAAATAAATAAAAAAAAATAAAATGGCTAATTTTTTATGTGCATATCACCTCAAAAAAAAGACAAAAAGGAAAAAAATAGCCTTTAGTGGGGAAAAAAACCATCAGAACAATAGCTGCCTGGAAGAGCGTAGGGGATTGACTGGGAAGGGACACAGGGGAACTTTTTGGACTGATGGCAGTGTCCTAGAGAAATATAACATAGGCCACATATGTGATTTGAAATGTTTTGTTAACAACATTTAAAAAATAAAAACAGGTGATATTTTAATGATATATTTTACCTAATCCATATGTCCAAAATATTATAATTTTATCATGTAACCAGTATTTCATAATTCTGCCTCTTGACTGCAGTGCTGGTCACACAAATCTGCTCCTGCCATCAAAGATTTCACAGAGCCAAACACACACATCCATACACAAATGAATGCATATAAAACTGGCAAAATCTGGATCCAATTGGTGAACCGTATCAATGTCAATTTACTGGTTGTGATAACATATATTAGTTTTGCAAAATGTTACCATTTGGGAGGCTGAGGCGGGAGGATCACTTGAGGCCAGGAGTTCAAGACCAGCCTGACCAACATAGTGAAACCCCGTCTGTACTAAAAACAAAAACTAGCCAGGCGAGGTGGCATGTGCCTGTAATCCCAGCTACTCAGGAGGCTGAGGCAGAAGAATCACTTGAACCCAGGAGACAGAGATTGCAGTGAGCTGAGATCACGCCACTGCACTCCAGCCTGGGTGACAGAGTGAGACCCTGTCTCCAAAAAAAAAAAAAACTTACCATTTGGGTAAACTGGGTGTAGAACAGAAGGGATCTCTCTGTATTTTTTTTAACTGCATGTAAATCTATAATTATCTCAAAGTAAAAAGGCATGAGCTTAGCTCACAGGGGTGGGCCATGGGGTCCTGAGGTGAAACGCAGGAGTGGTGTGGGCATGCAGTTGTTCAGAGGGACTGTGCCCGGCGTGTACACTGTGCTGAGCAAACCAGAGTGAGCCTTTGCTCTGTGGAGCTCACAGTGATGCACAGTAACAAGAAAGCCCTGAAATAGATGGAAAACAGCCCAGGGGAGGAGCAGTAAGAAAAGGCAACCCATGCTATGAGGGTGCATAGTGCCCAGGCACGGCCTCAGCACACTCACAGGACTGCAATTTTAGGGGGAAACACCAACTGATAGAATCAAAGAATCACGGCCAGGTGTGGTGGCTCACACCTGTAATCCTGGCACTTAGGGAGGCCAAGATGGGCGGATCACCTGAGGTCGGGAGTTTGAGGCCAGCCTGGCCAACATGATGAAACCCCGTCTCTACTAAAAATACAAAAATTAGCTGGGCGTGGTGGCGGGCGCCTGTAATCCCAGCTACTCGGGAGGCTGAGGTAGGAGAATTGCTTGAACCCAGGAGGCGGAGGTTGCAGTGAGCCAAGTTCACACCATGGCACTCCAGCCTGGGCAACAGAGCAAGACTCCATCTCGGGGGGAAAAAAAAGAATCAAAGAATCACAAGAGCTGACAGCTAACACATTTTGGAAATGCTAACACATTTTGGACAACTAACATATTTTGGAAATATTCCTCTGTGCCAGGCACTGTGCTAAAGCAAGGCTTCATTTAGCTCTGGTACAACCCTTTTAAGTAGGTAGTGTATTATTATTCTATTTAACCAAAAGAAAAACTGAGGCACAGAGAGATTGAATGGTTTGCCCAAGTTCACCCAATAGGCAACAGAGCTAGGATTTGAGCCCAGATGGTCTCGCTCCAGATCCCAGCATCTGAACCATGGACCCTGGTGACTCCTGAGTTGGACCACACAGGAAGCTCATCTGTCCCTGGTGGATCTTTAACTATCCCCATCCCCCAGAATCACTCCCCACCTCGTCCCCATCAGCACCAGGCTGATGTTTGGACATGAATGGCTGGTGAGATCAAGGAGCCAAGACCACAGTGCCCTTTGGGGACATCGCTTTAACCATCACTGCAGAGGTGGACCTTAGGGTGACTCCAGCCTGGGTGTGTGTGGTTGGCGGGGGACAGGGGGTCTATCCACACAATGTAACATGATCCAGATGTAAAAGGAATAATGTACTGACACATGCTACAGCGTGGATGAACCCGAAAAACATTACGCCAAGTGAAAGAAGCCAGACACGAAAAGTCACATATTATATGAAATATCCAGAACAGATAAATCCATAGAGACAGAAAGTAGATTAGCGGCTGCCAGGGGCTAGGGGGAAGAGGAAACTGGGGAGTGACTGCTAATGAGTCCAGGGTTTCCTTTTGGGACAATGAAAATGTTCTGGAACTAAGCAGAGGTGATGACTGTACAGCTTTGTGAAGGTACTTAAATGCCACTAAATTGTACACTTTTAAATGGTTAATTTTGTGTTTTGTGAGTTTTACCTCAATTTAAAAGAAAACACCAGTACTTTGCACACTGCAGGGTGCCTCTGCTCCACAGTGCAGATTCCTGACATCACCAGACAGAGGCTGAGCTCCAGGCCCAGGAGACCCACCCTCCATCCCAGGCCATCTCCTGCATGGCGGGCTGTATCCCCTCCATGGGAAAAAGATGTGCCTTGCCTCACACCCCAGACATCCATGGTGTGAGAAAAAGCAAGCAGGCCTTCTTTGGGTTCGTTTCTGAAGGGCTAGCCACAAGAGTGCTGGCGAGATAACAGGCAGCTGCTACGGGACGCTGACCATGTGTCAACGCACCTTCCGGGGCATTCTGTGTCATCCACATTGCAAAGGAGGCTGTTACTGTGCCCCATTCTACAGATGAGGGAAAGAGACTCAGAGAAATCAAGTCAGTTGCTGAAGGTCATGCAGCAAGTCTGGGGTAGAACCCAGAGGTGCCCCTTCTTCCCGCTGCACAGACACTCAGCCCACAGAGGACAGCACACCCGGGATTTAGGAGCTATTCTGTTCCCCAGGGGCCCATTGCCTAAGTGATTTTCCTTCCTCTGAAACCAGAAGCAGAAATCAAACCTCTCGAATTTTTATTATTTATTTATTTATTTTTAATTTTTTTTTTCTCCGAGACAAGAGTCTCACTCTGTCGCCCAGGCTGGAGTGCAGGGGCATGATCTCACCTTACTGCAACCTCTCCTTCCAGGGTTCAAGCAATTCTCCTGCCCCAGCCTCCTGAGTAGCTGGGATTACTGGCACACGCCACCATGTCTGGCTAATTTTTGTATTTTTAGTAGAGACAGGGTTTCACCATGTTGGCCAGGCTGGTCTCGAACTCCTGACCTCATGATCCGCCCAACTCGGCCTCTCAAAGTGCTGGAATTACAGGTGTGAGGCATCGCCCCTGGCCACTTTTCAACTTTTTAAAGCCAAGGTGATGAGTGGTGCCCTCAAAACAGAGGCAGGCTCTGCAGGGGCCGCTGGGATTACACCAGAAGCAGGAGACCCGGAGATAGGAATCCGGCCCTGCCACCTACTGCCATGGGAACATTCAGTAAGTGACAACCCCTCGGCACCTCTGTCTCCTCATCTGTGAAGTGGAGCCCACCTGTGCAGGACGTGAGTGGAAGGTGTACCAGGTGACGCATCTAAAGAATGCAGCAGGCCGGGCGCGGCGGCTCACGCCTGTAATCCCAGTGCTTTAGGAGGCCGAGGCAGGCGGATCACAAAGGTCAGGAGATCGAGACCATCCTGGCTAACACGGTGAAACCCCATTTCTACTAAAAATACAAAAAAATTAGCCGGCCGTGGTGGCGGGCACCTGTAGTCCCAGCTACTCGGAAGGCTGAGGCAGGAGAATGGCGTGAACCTGGGAGGCGGAGCTCGCAGTGAGCCGAGATCGCGCCACTGCACTCCAGCCTGGGCGACAGAGTGAGACTCCGTCTCAAAAAAAAAAAAGAAAAAAAAAGAATGCAGCAGTGTACATGGCACAGGGTAGGTGCCCTGTGCAAGTCAGAGGTCTGTGTGCCAGGACACTGACCAATGGGCCCAAGGAGGCAGAGTATGAAGAGTGAAGCCTCTATTTCTCCTTCCAGTTCCCTCAACCGGGGCCCCAGGATCATCTAACACTTGGGCCTGGACGTGGGTAGAATTTGCCTCATACTCCAAACCAGAAACTCGGGCCATTCTGAATTCCAGCCTGGCTAAGGGGACAGAGCCCAAGAGACAGATAGCCCCAGAGAACCAGGGCCGAGGCCACCGGCATGATTCCAGGCCAACCCAGCCCATTTAATGGTGTTTTCCCAGCCAGAAGGAGGCCATGCTAATTAAGTGGAAACCGGCAGTCTGCAAATCGATTTCTGCAGCTCCAGCTCCAGGAGGGGCCAGGCACTCTCAAACTGGGTCAGAGACATGTTAGTCCCACAGTGTCACCCAGAAACACCCACTTCTTGTCTGCCTCTCAGAGCCTGGCTCTCTGCTGGTACCTAGGCCCTACACCCTGTGCACCCAAGTCCTGGCAGATCCCTCTGTGAGAGGTGGGGGACTCCGGTGGTCTTTCTGGGTGAATGAGGTCCTGTGACTCCCTCTGTTATACATGAAGTCCGACCTCTGGTTGCAGTGGGGGGCAGCTTACGGTGGCGGTTCAGTTCTAAACCACCACTGCTTGAGTTCAAATTCCAGGTCTGCTAACTAGCTGTGTGACTGGCCATGTTACTTCACCTTTTCTGTGCTTCTGTTTCCACAACTGCAAAAATGGGGTGATAAAAGGACCTCCCAAAAGGTTGTTGTGAGAATGAAATGGGTGAATATTTAGGAAGCAATTTAAGCCAGTGGCACTAGCAAGTGCTAGTAAGTTTCTCTTCCTCTCCCTGACTTTTCATTTTTAAACGGCTTTATTGAGACATAATTCACATGCCATACAATTCTCCTATTAAAAATGTACATTTCAGTTTTTTAAAATTGTATTCAAAGTTGTACAATCATCACCACAATCAGTTTTAGAACATCTGAACACCCCAAAAAGAAACCCCATACCCATTAGCAGTCACTCCTCATTCCCCACCACACCCCGAGCCATAGGTAACTCCTAATCTACTTTCTGTCTCTATAGATTTGTCTATTCTGGACATTTCATACCAGTGGAGTTCTAGAACACGTGGCCTTTTGTGTCTGGCTTCTTTCACTTAACATAGTGTTTTCAAAGTTCATCCATGGTATAGCACGTGTCAGTCCTTCATTTCTTTTTATGGCAGAATGATATTCCATTGTATGGCTAGACTGCATTCCATGTATCCCCTCATCAGTTGATGGACATTTGGGTTGTTTCCACTTTGGGGTGATTGTGAGAAATGTGGCTATGAACATTTGTAGACAAGTGTTTATGTAGACTTATGTCATTTCTCTTGGGGGAATATATCTAGGAATAGCGCTGCTGGGCTTTTGTGCACGTTTTCATTAAACAGAAAACCTTCATCTCATCTGGGCCCCCCAGCAGAAAAGATGGGAATTAACCTCTATTGAGCACCTACTATATACCAGTCACTGTTCTAGGATGACATCCACAGGTTCATTTAATTCTCGCAATTCCCTTGAGGTGGGTGTTACTGTGACCGTCACTGTTCAGATGAAAAACCTGGGGTGCAGATAGGCAAAGCGACTGGCCCAGGATCACACAGCTGCTGTACAGAGGAGCCAGAACAGGAACCTGGAAAGGGCCTGGTCCTTCCCATCATCCATGCCAGAGTAAAAGGAGGCAGATGGTGTGGGCTCAGGCTACGGGGAGACAGACACGGAAACGTGGAAAGTTTTCATTTCCATTACCCCTCACTTTGGCCTAGTGGAGTGGTCCTGGGCTCTGCAGGGGCTCAGCCATGCAGGGAGTTAAACCTGTCAGCAGGGATCTTTGAGTCACAGAGGCATGACACCAGCCAAGTTCATGCTTCACAGACAGGAGGGGAAGTACGAGGTGCATCAGGTCTCTGCGGTCAGACCAGGGTTATCTGAGCCCCAGGAAGTTGCCTTCTGGGAACGTCCCCATTTCCACATTTTTTGTGTTTTGTGCTGTGGTTTGTAAGCACCAGAGGCAACTTGCATCCAGGGAGGCAGGCTGACTCCTGGGTGGTGGGCTTCCTAGAGTCACCATGGTTCAGAAGCTTCAGTTCTGGGCTGGGAGAGCCCACAAATGTTCTCTCTGCTTCATGACCCAGCACCACGATGGTCTCCAAGCACCAGGGAACTAAGTAGGGGGACCATTGTATCTACTGACCCTGAAGCCCACTCCTTCATATAGACCAGGATGTTCTCGTCCACCATTCACACACCCTCTTTCGAACATCAGAACACCCAGGAAGCTGAATTGGTGACAAGCAGTGGCTGGGTGAGCCAGGAAGCAGGGCAGAGATCAGACAGCCTCCAAAGGCCATAACTGATGGAATCTGGAGTGGGCAGGAGAGCAGGGAAGGAACCCAAGAGCTCCAAGATCTTGCTTTTGCACTCCCCACCCTAGGGCAGGCCACAGTCAACCTTGTGGCCATGCTCTCCCTCCTGAACATTCTTCTTCATCCCATTCCTCATTTCCTCAAGGACCTGCTTATTCCTGACTCTGACTCTGGGTTTCTCGGGATGATGAGGCCCATCCATTACGTCAGGAATTTTCTGGACAAAGGGTCAGACAGTGATTTTATTTCTGAGTCTTTGGGACTCTTCACTTTACCTCTGGCTACTAGCTATATTCTCTCTACATTTGCTTTCATATCTTCCTTTTAGTTTTTAGGTGGTAGGGTTGTGTCGGGGGCATTCATGTGATATTGAGTCAAAATTCAACTTGAGCACTCGGAGCTGTGAGACCTGAGCAAGTCTCTGAACCTCTCTGCACCTCAGCTTCCTCTTCCATAAAATGGGTGTATAATAGTATCCTCCGCCTTATAGTTTCTGCCTTATATCATTTTCACGGCACCCAGCCCAGTTCAACATTCACTATGCTAACATTGCCTTTGTCTCTTCTGAACATAGCAATGAGGACTGGCTCAGGGTCACTGGTCACCTGGCATTAACTGTCCCCTCCTCATAACTTTTCTGGGTGCTTCAGGAAGACAGCCCAGCATGCCCTGCCCCTAGAGAGAGGGCAAGAAGCCAGGCATGGGAGGCAACAAGGCTGGGGGGCCCTACACAGTTGTGGGCTGGACTTGGGCCTCTCCTCCAAGGAGACTGGGCTTGGTCAGGGCTGGTGTCAGCCTCACAAGAGTCCAGTAAGAGACCAGAAGCAAAAGAAGAACTGTAGGCCAGGCACGGTGGCTCACGCCTGTAATCCCAGCACTTTGGGAGGCCGAGGTGGGTGGATCATAAGCTGAGGAGTTCGAGACGAGCCTGGCCGAGATGGTGAAACCCTGTCTCTACTAAAAATACAAAAATTAGCCGGGCACGGTGGCAGGCTCCTGTAATCCCAGCTACTCGGGAGGCCGAGGCAAGAGAATCGCTTGAACCCGGGAGGCAGAGGTTGCAGTGAGCCAAGATTGCACCACTGCACTCTAGTCTGGGCGACAGAGCAAGACTTCGTCTCAAAAAAAAAAAAAAAAAAAAAGAAGAACTGCAGCAGGCCAGGGCCCACCATCCAGATCCTCAAGTGGCAACAGCAGATTGATGCAGGCTGGCTGAAGGGTGGGGGGGAAGAAGATGTCCCATCCCAGGGTGAAAACGGACAGGTCAGGGTCCTATGGTAACCATGCTGAGATTCTTCTAGACAAAGGTTTTAAAAGTTGGATGGTGACCCTGAGGCAGAGCCTAGCCCCCCAGGTGGAGCCATCACTTTGGAGGGACACAGGAGTCTTGGCTCTCCCAGGCAACTCATAGACAAGGACATCTCATCACAAGATCAAATCTACCTCCCTCAGTGGGAAGGGGTCTCATCCTCTTCTAGGGCCTGCCCAGGTCAGAACCAGCTCAAATACCAAGTTGGGCTTTGGCCTGCAGCTGTGCAGCACTGGGACAGGTGGGGGCCAACATCCCACCAGGTAGCTCTGGTTATTTCCGTTTTACAGAGGGGACAGATGAGACTCAGAGAGGTTGAGTGACTTTCCTCAGGGTCACACAGCAGGTGTGTCATAGAACTGGGGCTGGAATCCAGGCCCAGCTGCTTCTGAACTGCATGTTTCTCCACTCATGCTGCCTGTATGTCTGTATATGGTGAAGGGCATAAAAGGGGAGCATAAGAGACTGAAGAGGACCCAGGGAATGGGGAGAATCAGGGAAGATGGGCACTACTGGAGGAGAACACGGATACTCCCAGTGGGAGGAAGAGCATGAGTAACAGTGTGCAAATTGGGACCTGCAGGGGGCCCCTGGGAGCACTGGGAAGCAAGTTAGCATGGAAGACCCTGGAAGCCACTTTAAGGAGTATGAACTATGAGCTAAGGGAAACCAGTATATAAAGCAAAATTTCTTCCACCTTACTCAAAACCTAGATACAGCCTGCCAACCAGGCTGACTAGCTCATAGTAGATGCACAGAAAATTGCTGGCTGCTGGGAGAGACTCTGCTGAGTGTTCGCTAGACCTTGCTTCCTTATCCTCCTGGGCACAAAGCTAGATGCTGTTCCAGTCTCCCTTGCAAAGGTGCGACCACAGTCTGGGTTCTGGTCAGTGGAATGCGGGCTGAACTTGCCACTTCCAGATCTGGCCTGCAGATCCCTCCCCTGCAATCTCCACCTCCAACCTGAATGAGGGAACTCTGAGGATCCAGGGCTATACCGCCCCATGTGGTGACTACGAGCCATGTGTGGCCATGACACTTGAAATATGGCTAATCTGAATCAACATATGGTGCATCAATTTCAGATTTCAAAAACATACAAAAAGGCCAGGCACAGTGGCTCACACCTGTAATCCCAGCACTTTGGGAGGCTGAGGCGGGAGGATCACCTGAGGTCAGAAGTTTGAGACCAGCCTGACCAACATGGTGAAACCCTGTCTCTACTAAAAATACAAAATTAGCCGGGCATGGTGGCGCATGCCTTTAATCCCAGCACTATGGGAGGCCAAGGCGGGAGGATCACCTGAGGTCAGAAGTTTGAGACCAGCCTGACCAACACGGTGAAACCCCATGTCTACTAAAAATACAAAATTAGCTGGGCATGGTGGCACTGTAATCACAGCTACTTGGGAGACTGAGGCAGGAGAGTCACTTGAACTCGGAAGGTGGAGGTTGCAGTGAGCCTAGATTGCATCATTGCACTCCAGCCTGGGTGACAAGGGTGAAACTCCATCTCCAAATAAATAAATAAATAAATGTAAAAGATATGAAAAAAACAGAATGTAAAATCTCTCATTAATAAGTTTTATATTGATTGCATGCTGAAATGACATTTTGGATATATTGGATTAAATAAAATATATTATTAAAATTAATTTCAACTGTTTATTTTTTTACCTTTTAAAAATGTAGCTACTAGTGCATTTAAGAATTACTAGCCAGGCACAGTGGCTCATGCCTATAACCCCAACACCTTGGGAGGCTGAGGTGGTAGGACTGCTTGAGGCCAGGAGTTCAAACCAGCCTGGGCAACATATCAAGACCCTGTCTCTACAAAAAATTTAAAAATCAGCCAGGTGTGGTGGCATGTGCCTGTAGTCCTAGCTACTTGGGAGGTTGAGGTGGGAAGACAGCTTGAGGCCAGGAGTCTGAGGCTGCAATGAGCCATGATTTTGCCACTGCACCCCAGTCTGGGCAACAGAGCAAGAACCTGGCTCTAAATAAATAAATACAGTTACATATGTGGCTTGAATTCTTTTTCTATTGGACAGCTCTGATCTAGCGGGCAGAGCCATAGGATGGAAGAAGCCTAGGCATGGGGTCATTGTGTTGAAGAGAGCTGCCCTCTTTGATGGTTGCACAGAGTTGCAACCACCACCACAATCGATTTCAGAACATTTCACACACCCTCCCCCACCCCGCCAAAAAAAAAAGGAACCCGCACTAGCAGTCACTCCCCGTTCCCCACCCACAGGCTGAAGTAAGCATGAATACCCGTGCTGGGCTGTCACATGAGCAAGAGATAAACTTCAAAATGCCGCAGCAGGTAGCCTCCCATGGCAGTTTAAAGACAGCCCCAGTGGAGACCATCAAACTCCTGCCATCAGAAGGTGGGGTCTTGGTCCCTTCCACTGAAGTCGGGGTCGGCTTGGTAGCTGTTCCAAGGTCTCAAGAAACTGGCGGCTTCCTGGATCCTGGGACATTTGCTCTTGGAGCTCTGAGACATCATCCAAGAAGTCTGACTCTGCCAAGGCCACCATCGTAGAGAGGCTACATGGGGAGGCCCTGGGACTACAGGATGACTGTTTCAGTCATCCTAGCTCAGGCTCTGGACGTTGTGGAGCAGAGACAAATTTTCCCCTCTGGGCTCCATCTGAACCCCTGACCCATGTGAGATAATTTAAGCAGCTAAATTTTAGAATAGCTTTTCTATGTGACAATAGAGAACCAGGACACCTCCCTAATAATACAGGTTCCTTCTACATCCCTACTTGCTTCAAGTTCCTGGGCACCTCTCTGGGTAGCATCAGGGATTTGGTAAACAAGCCCACTGCCCTCTCCAGAGTTTTATGGGTCTGAATCATATCCCCTTCCTCCAATCTCATTGCCAGAAGAGCATGGCAGCCACTAGGTACATTCATTTATTAATATTTACCCAATAAATCAGGTTTGGTCCTTTCCTCTGCCTCCTTTCCTTTGCTTTCCACCAGGAAGTTTTCCAAGACTAGGGCTCTCCCCTACAAAATGATATGCCCTGTGTTCTGGCAGGGTCTGAAGACCCCATAGCTCTTCCAATCAGCAGTAAAGTTTCCTTCAATGCAGCCAGGCCACGGGAATGGGCTTCGAGCTTTTGAGGCCTTTGTGTCCACCCAGGACACAAATTCCAGAGAATTCCCCCATCAGTTTCTCCAGCACCACAGAGAACCCCAGGGACATCAGAGAAGACAGCTGTCTTGCCCAGCCACAGAAAGTGCCTGCTATAGACTACACTGTGTTCCCCGCAAATTCATACATCGAAGCCCTATCCCCAGTGCGATGGAATTTGGAGATGGGACTTTTGGGAGATAGTTTTAGATGAGGTCATGATGATGGGGCCCCCATGATGGGATTAGTGTCCTTAAAAGAGACACCAGAGAGTCTCCTTTCCCCCAAACCACCACCAGGTGAGGAAACAGTGAGGAGGTGGAAAGCCAGGAAGAGAGCCCTCACGAGAAACCAGCCATTCTGGCACCTTGATCTTGGATTTCTGGCTTCCAGAACTGTAAGGAAATACGTTTCTATCGTTTACGCCACCCAGTCTATAATTTTTTTTCTGGCCGCCTCAGATAAGATAGTGTCCTAGTGCCCAACTGAAGTTCTCAAGCCATGTCCACCGAGAAAGACTGGTGGGCTCAAACCACCTGGGGGATTTTGACCACATCAGTTGCGTCCTGAGAGATACTTGGGTCAATGCAACCATCAGTCACTGAGTGCCCTGAGTCAGAAGCTGCTTATTAACCAGAGCACACCAAGACTGGAATATACTTGCCAAAAATGGAGCTTTAAGAAATCTACGGAGTTGTGTGGGCTTTAAATATATATTTTCAGCTGCAGAGACAAAGATGGTGTATTTGACATGTCCCCAAACCTACCTACCGATCTATCTATATAAAATCCAACCCCCTTCCATTAATTAGTGCTTAACCTTAAGCTCCTTTTAGTGCAAAACAATTTTACCAATCAAGAACCTCCTGGAATGGATGGCTTATCTTGGAGCCAGCAGCTTATTAAATGAGGGACCATGTCACCAGTGACAATGCGATTGCATTGCTTTCATTAAATAAGGAATACAGTTAGGCTCTTCAGGATCCAAACATAATTTTTTTAATTAAAAAATTATAAAGCCTGGAATTATACAATATTTTCCAAGTATCTAGATGATCCTTGACATGGCATCTGTCCCAAGACATGCTGGAAAGGATGGCTGTCAGACAGAAGAGAGAAGAAGAAACTTCCTAAAGCCAGGAGCCTTCTGTTTCTTTGTCTCATTCTATATAGATAATGGAAATTCACTGTGGACTATAAATGTCTCAGTGCAAATGAGGTCTGATTGCCAGTGGTGGGTGCACCCTGGGGAAGACTGATTCTAAACTGTGACTTTATCCAACAGACCTCACGGGCAATGGGTTTGGAAAAGGGCAGCCAGGTGGCTGTGCCCACCGTAGGTGGGGACCATGAGCATTTGAATTGTTTCTGAGGCTCCTTACCCAACCAGGACACCCTACCTGAGCTTTCACTCCCAAACCAGACCTTGTTAAGTGCTGTTAAATAGTGAATGGGTAGGGGTGAGCTTTTGAAGGAGAAATGCTCCATGTAGAAGTAACCATGACTGTGGCATAAGGCTTAGAGGACAGATTCTGAAGTCAGACAGTCCTGGCTACGCCTCTTATGTGGGCAAGTTGTTAGACTTTTTAAGCCTCAGTTTATCCACCTGTAAGATGGGGTTACTAACGGTTCCTATTTTATAGAGTTGTTGAGAGGATGCAATGAGTTGATGCATAGAAAGATTTTTAGCACAATGCCTGGTGCTTAAGTTATCCAATAAAAATCTGGTTGAGAGAAGGATGAAGGTGATGATGGGGAAATTGGGGGCTCAGATGTGAGTTGTGCCAGGACCTCTGGCAGGCAACCTCACCCATCCTTTGAGGGGCTGAGAGAAGAGAGAGCCCCTCCCTCAAGGAAATAAACTCACCACACCTACCTGCTACTGCTACAACCTCAGCCTCACTCCCAGGGAGCTTCACCACAACAGTTTACAACAGCCCAGATTCCAGCTAACTGGTACAGACTTAGGCTGAGTTTACTTCTCAGCAGCAAGACCTAAGGAAGTGGCAAAATGAAGGCAACTGGAACAGGTCAGGGTAGCCTCTACCCCAGGTCTGGGGCTGTCTTCTGTTGCCCCACTGCAGTAACTCCCACTTTGTGCCTGGCCTTCATCATCAAGTTACTCTCCCATTCTCCAGCTACTTTGCCTTATTGCCTGGCTACTCCCTCTTGCCCCAGCTACTTCCCATCACCTTACCTGCTTCTTCATTATCCAATTCTCTGTCACCTACTCAGATGCTCCCTGATTACCCACCTACTTTGCCACCCCCAGCTTGTTATCATATCTGGAGTTATCCTCTAATTTAACATCAGTTTGGAACCATCAAGGGAATCCTGGTTTCAGCCAGGGCAAGTCTGTCCTGGTCTCTCTCCTCCTCCTTCTCTCTCTCTCTCTCTCTCTCTCTCTCTCTCTCTCTCTATATATATATATATATATATATATATATATATATATGTAGGAAACTGTCTCTTCCTGGACCAAGCAGCTGGTATTTACAGATGCGATGTCCTGCCTATTATCTTTGAGGCCTTTAGTCTGGGCTGCAGGGAGTGGGAAGGCACAGCTTACATGGTACACACCTTGGAGCACTGCCAGGAGTCTCAGCCACAATGGGGGCACCCCACTGGGTGGGTGGCATGGCCCTGTTGCAGCTCTCCTGGCTCCAAATGTGCTGCTCAGGCAGGGGGCTCCTCCTCTTCACCAGGGCCCTGCCCTTAACCAGCCCTGCAGTTCAGGATGTTTTCTCCTGAAAGCTGGGAGAGCTTCATTATGGATCTGATTAAATCATAAGGAATCTCATCCCAAGCTTGCCAGAAAACAAGTTATTTTCGGCGTCCGTGGGCAGCAAATGGAGAAGAAAGTCATGAGCCGGAAGGAATGACTATATAGAAACCAATCCCATTCAGGGGAAGGTTGGCCACCATGCCTCCTTGACAAAATGTTAGCTGCCAAGTAACTTGGGGGAAGTTTTGCGAAGTATCCTAGGGTTTTGTTTTTTTTTTTTAATAACAAGGGAACAGATTGTATTAATTCCAAAAGTTTAGAGAAAGCAATTTAAAGAAGTTAATTAGGGTCCCTCCAAAGAGCTTTTGTTATTAAGATGGGTTTTAGACATTCAAATGGCTCAAGTCAACCAAAACAGATATTCATGGCTGTCTTTAGAGATGACACATGGCAACCAGGAAAAGCTGGGCACCATGAGGTCTATGGTCTCAGAAGTTCTTCAGGGGGCAGGTCCTTTTCTTTTAGAGACTCTGCAAGGGCTCTCTATTGCAAGCAGGCTTTAAGTCATATATTATGAGGGGTGGCCAAAGCCTTTCACTTCCCACTGGCTTCCAATGAAAATTGCTGCAAAAAAGTGCTGACTCATTCATACTAAAGTGTAAATGACTGCAATAAGAATACTTTTATGTGACTGACTGATAGAAGGCCGCCATTGAGTAAACAGAGATAGAGAAAATGGGAGTAGTTATGGCAATGTGGGGAGCAGAAGAATTAGAAAGAAAAAGGAAGAGATGTTAATCTTGCCTCTGGCTTATTGTAACTGAGGCTACTGGCAGATGATAGTAACAGCCAAACTGACCGTGTCCACTGTCTATCCTTTATTTCCATGAATCTGCACGGTGACCCACTCCCCTCCCTTCCCTGCATCATTCTCTCCACTTTACAGATGAGGAATCTGAGTCCAAAAGAGGTTAAGTTACTTGCCCAAGGTCACAAAATAGAGATTAAAATTTAGTTTTGTCTGACTCCATATTCTTAACCTTCAAGGTCCACTGCATCTCTGCAGAGCTTCCCAAGCTTTCCACTGAAGGCCTCTTTATATTCTATTGCACCTATGTCATCCACATTTTGAAAGATTTTATTACTGAGCACACTGCATTTGTGAACTAATAATTTCTTCCATCTGGCTGATGATTATTTTTCTACTCCTGTTTCTGTTACAACATCAATCCAGACTTTAATCCCAATTATTGAAGGTTCAACATAATATTATAAAATCACATAAATCACTGTTGTGTCTATGCAGCTAATAGGCTAATAAAATTAAATCAGCATATGCGCCATTGCCCAGTGCTGAATTCTGAATGCCACATGGTTTTAGAGTCAATGCCACCTAAACACTAGGCATTCTCAACCCAAAGTCCGGGGTTCCCAGAGAGAGGCAGTGTTTGGTCCACCCCATACATCTCAGACATTCCAGGGACATCAATAGCCAATTACAGTGTTCGAGCAACATGATGTGCCCAGGGTTATCACATCGAGTTGCTAGAATTCGGATCTAAAGCAAAGCAAAGTCTAGAATGTGTGGTAGATTATAACAATGGCCCCCAATGAATCATGCCTTTCAGTACCCAAGCGCTTGTATAGACTCTTCCCACACTGACTCTGAGCTTGGCCACGTGATCCGTTTTAGCCAATGAGACATGAGCAAGCGCGATGCAGGCAAAGGCTGGATAAATACTTGTGCATTGGGGCTTACTTGCTTGGAACCCTGAGACCATCATGCTGGATAAAGGACCACAGGCAGAGAGAGGCCAGGTCATCCCAGCTGAGCCCCAGACACTGGCTGACCCAGCAGCTACCTGTAGCCTCATGAGTGAGCCCAGGCAGAACCAGCAGAAGAACTGCCCAGGGAAGACCAGCAGAAAGAGTGCCCAGTCAAGCCAAAGAATCATTGAGAAATAAGAAGTTGTTGTTTCAATCCACTAAGTGTTTCAAGAGTGGCTTGTAATGCAACAAAAGGCAAGTGATTACAGTCTAGCTCTTGACACTGATTCACCTGGAGGACTGCCGTTACTACTTTTGTGGTGCCCAGGAAATTTGGGGTCCTTAAGCCAAAAAGCCTGTGTCCTGAGCTTCTCTTGAAAGACTGAAAACCCTAACACCTCCATCAAGATTTGGGTTTCATTTAGCTTTTCCAGCATAACTGGCAGAGGTACCATTTCCCTCTCCCCTACTCAGCAGGTTTCTTGTATCTTCTTCTCTTAGTCTTCACCTCTGCTCTGCATGCAACTTCCTCAGCCTAACATGGTAGACAAAGGATGAGGGCAGTGGGACCAGCTCTGTTTGTTGGTACAAATATGGGATGGACATGTTGGAAAATGTAATACTCTGAGAAGATTCTGGAACATTCCTGTTTTTCAAACCCCAGTGTTCCTCCATGTGATGCTCCAGCTTTGGCGATTGTTGAGAGAAAGGCCTGAAGTCTGTGCGTACAAAGAGCCTCATGAATTTTGTTGACAGAAATACTGACCATTTTCTCACTCGATTAGAAAGGAAACAGTGGGGCCGGGCGCAATGGGTCATGCCTGTAATTCCAGCACTTTGGGAGACCGAGGGGAATGGATCACCTGAGGTCAGGAGTTTGAGACCAGCCTGGCCAACATGGTGAAACCGTCTCTACTAAAACTACAAAAATTAGCTGGGCGTGGTGGTTGGCACCTGTAATCCCAGCTACTCAGGAGACGGAGACAGGAAAATCACTTGAACCTGGGAGGCGGAGGTTGCAGTGAGCCGAGATCATGCCACTGCACTCCAGCCTGGGCAACAGAGCAAGACTTTATCCCCCCATGCTACCCCCACCCCCCGCAAAAAAAAAAAAAAAAAAAAAGGAAACAGTGGTCCCTAGAAGCCAAGCAAGAATCAATCATGCTAGCAATGCCTCATCTATCTTCTCAATGGGTTCACTACACTGAGAAATGTCAAAGATAGAAAATGTCTAGACTCCATTGAGCACCTGACAAGCCTCTCATACACCTCCTTATTAGCACCCTGGGGAAATGCTGGTTGAGTGTCATTGTGGTTTGATTTGGGGGAGGTTCCAAGGGAGTTCCAATTGGTTAAATATCCCCAAGATCCCTAGGATGGTATCACCTTGGTGATCGACCATGGTTGACCAGCCTACCAACAGCAGTTTCTTCTCCCAAGAGCAGTCTCATACTATCCAAGTTTATGAGGCTGCTGCATAAAAACACAATGCCAGGATCACAGGAGAATAATTGCCTTGCATGTCTGAAATTCAGTTAAGCACGGTCAACTCATTCTGTGCTTGTAGGCAGACCTGGCTGGGACGCCAAATTATAATCAGAAGGTTGTACATAATCATCATGTTTAATGATTACGCCAAGATCACCAAGATGGGTTGAAGTCCCCTTTTTCCATAATCAGATTGTCCTTAGCAATGGGATGGTAATCACCAAAGTTGTTGCTCACAGTGTCCTCTCCCTTGAACGATATTTAAATAGAATTGTTCATAAATGATCTCCTAGCCCCCTTTTTCTGGCATCTGTTCTTGACAAGGCCTTCCCCCCCCGCCGTCCCCGCGAGATACAGGGCCTTGCTCTGTCACCCAGGCTGGAGTGCAGTGGCACAATTGTGACTTACTGCAGCCTTGCCCACATGGGCTTAAGCAATTCTCCGGCCTCAGCCTCCCAAGCAGCTAGGACTACAGGCCCACACCACCATGCCTGGCTTTTGTTTTTGTTTTTGTTTTTGTTTTTGGTAGAGATACAGTCTCAATATGTTGCCCAGACTGGTTTCAAACTCTTGGTCTCAAGTGATCCTCCTGTCTTGGCCTCCCAAAGTGCTGGGATTACAGGTATGAGCCACCATGCCCAGCAAGGCCTTCTTTATAATAACACCATCCATTGTTAAGCATGTTAATACTATGCTCTCTTCACAATGACTTTGCTAGACTCTGAGCTCCAAGGTGGTCTGGCCCATTTTGTTTTGTTCACCACTGAACAACCAATGCCAGCCTGATGATGTCCAGACTATGTTCCATAAATGTCTGTGCATGAATTGCTACTCTGATCCATCACATTTTGTTGTAATTTAACCCTCAGAGAGAAATCGTCTTCTAAGTTTTGTAGGAAAGATGGTTTTTTTTTTTTTAAGATGGAGTCTCACTCTGTCACCCAGGCTGGAGTGCAATGGTGCAATCTCAACTCACTGCAACCTCCACCTCCTGTATTCAAGCAATTCTCCTGCCTCAGCCTCCTGAGTAGCTGGGATTACAGGCATGCACCACCATGCCCAGCTAATTTTTGTATTTTTAGTAGAGACTAGGTTTCACCATGTTGGCCAGGCTGGTCTCGAACTCCTGACCTCTGGTGATCCACCCACCTTGGCCTCCCAAAGTGCTGGGATTACAGGCGTGAGCCACTATGCCCAGCCAGCTTTTTTTTTTTTTAATTGTTTTTTAATTGTCGAGACTCCTGCTACTGTTCCCACATACCAACTGCAAATAACAATGTAGTTAAGTTCATTTCAGTTGCACAACTATTCCCAGTAGTTGACTTTGATACATTAATCTGGAAAAGGTCTCCGGGGGTGTGGCCCCAGGCAGCATCTCTGCCCATGACCTATTCAACAATTTTTTTTTTTTTTTTGAGATGGAGTCTTGTTCTATTGCCCAGGCTGGAGTGCAGTGGCATGATCTCGGCTCACTGCAACCTCCACCTCCCGTGTTCAAGCAATTCTTTTGCCTCAGCCTCCCGAGTACCTGGGACTACAGGTGCCCACCACCACACCTGGTTATTTTTTGTATTTTTTAGTAGAGACAGGGTTTCACCATGTTGGCCAGGCTGGTCTCGAACTCCTGACCTCAGGTGATCTGCCCACCTCGGCCTCCCAAAGTGCTGCGATTAACAGGCGTGAGCACCACGCTGGGCCCTATTCAACATTTTTATCAGGGATTTGGATAATGGCCTATGACTGTGTTTCTAAGTCAGCAGCCTCTAGCTTAGCCACAGTTGACTACATTATTTCTAACTAAATACAATAAAAAATTTAGCAGCTATTGTATTGGACAGCACATTTCCATCATCAGAAAAAAATTCTATTGCACAATTCTGGTCTAGAAGGCAAATCCTTATTGCAATTATGAATGATATGGAGTAGAAACTGCCGGTGAATATTTCATTTGAGGTGAATATATTTAATTATGGCCTGACAAGCATCCATTCTCCCTCCTTCTGGAAATATCATCCCAATATTTTTGGGGGAGTGGGTAGGTACAACATAATACCAAGTGTCAGTCCATGTGTTTGGGAGAAGCAGACTCCAGGAGTGGGCATATGGCTCCAACCAGACCAATCATAGCATTGCTTCCCTTATCTAGCCATTACAATTGACTCAGGAATCGACCTCATAGCCAATGAGGTTCCATTCTGGGACTTGTTGAGCCTGGGACACTTCTGGGAAAATAAATTATTCTTACTGAGGTTGCCAAAAGGATTTAGGATATATATTTCAAGCTGCTGATAGTCGTCTTCTCAGAGACATTTCTTGGTAGTCTCATGCATCCACAAGTGCCTGAAGCTGTGCTATCTTTGAACTCTCCACTACGTGAACACTGTTTTGTTAACCTTGTTAGCTTGAGTTTTTGTCACTGGTGACACAAAAGTCCTAACGTATCATTCAAGAATCCAAAACTAGCTGAACAGGTAGATAATTGGGCTCAAAACTCAACAAGATAAATGCAGCGCTTGACCTCAATGTTAAAAATCAACCGTGTGTCCAGGAAGACTTTTGGGGTGCTGGTAATGTTCTGTTTCATGATCTGAGTGCTGATTAGTTACATGGGTATGCTCAGCACATGAAAATACAACTAGTTTTACCCTTTTCTGTCTGATGATTATGCTTCAACAAACAGTTTTTTGTTTTTTTTTTGTTGTTGTTGTTGTTGTTGTTTTTAAATCAGGATGGGGAAAATGTAGCTTCATTAATGGGAAGCTGACTTGGGGGTTTTGTTTTCTTATAAATTCAATATGAGTCAACAGCAGCTACCCAAAAAGCTAATGGAAACTTAAGTCATACTAACAGGCAAAAGCAACCAGAACGAGGAAAGTGACAGTTCCATTCACTCCAGAGTGAGCCAGATCAGACTTTGGGAAGAACGTAGACAGAGTAGAGCATGGTCACAAATCTCAAAGCCACATGTCATAAAAGAATATGAAAAGGAACGGAAGTAGTTAGCCTGGAGAGAAGGGGAGAGAGGATAGAATCTGGATAGGACTCAGATCTCCAGGCTTACTGAAACACTGGAATGATCAGACAACCTTATCATCTGCAAATAATGTTCTTTTCTAAATAGAAACCCCCAAGATAACTCACTGAAAAACCAAGACTAAGGTGAATTCAGTAAATTCGCTTGGTATAACATTAATGTACAAAACCCAAAGCCCTCCTTTTAAGACATTAAACAGGACTTATACGAAAACAGTAACAACAACAAAAACAAACAAACAAACAAAAAACCCTACAGCTTTCCTAAAAGACAAGAAAGAATACATGCTTAACAGAGACATGTGCTATTTGCCCGCTTAGAAAAACTCAGTATGATAAACATATCACTTTGGTCCAAATTAATTAATTATTTTAATTTTTTAAAAACTTTTAAGTTCAGGGGTACAAGTGCAGGTGTGTTACATAGGTCAACTTGTGTCATGGGAGTTTGCTGTACAGATTATTTCATCCCCCAGGTATTAAGCCTAGTACCCATTAGTTATTTTTCCTGATCTCCTCCCTCCTCCCACAATCCACCCTCCAATAGGGACCCAGTGTGTGTTGTTCCCCTCTATGTGTCCATGTGTTTTCAGCATTTAGCTCCCACTTGTAAGTGAGAACATGCTGTATTTGGTTTTCTGTCCTTGTGTTAGTTTGCTAAGGACAATGGCCTCCAGCTCCATCCATGTCCCTGCAAAGCTTTGGAGAAATCTATTTTTGAGGTTTGGAGGGAAAACTTGACCAAACAGTCCTAAATATTATGTGAACAGCTGAAAATAACCAGGAACATTTTGAAAAAAAAGAGTAATCTGAGGAAAAACTTGTTTTATCACATATTAAGCCACAATATAAACCTACAAGGATGAAAGCAGTATGTAACTGGCACCAAAATAGGTTGCTGGAACAGAATAGACAGGTTGGAGAGTTACCCTTCATTACAGATGAGGCTCTAGAGTACAAGGGTGGCCTCACAAACTTGTAGGGAAGGAAGGGATGTTGGGACAATTGCTGATGCTTTGGAAACAAAATATAGACAGATTTTCATTTAGTACTCTATACTAAAATGAAGTCCAGAAATACTACCTATTTATTTAAATAAGGCCAAAAAACCCTAGAAGAAAACATAGGTTTAATATACATCACTAGATGAGGAAACATTTTAGTGCAAGAGCCCATAAAGTATTTCTATAAAGGGCCAGAAAGTAAATATTTTAACCTTTGCAGGCTACATGGTCGCTGTTACAACTCAACTCTGCCATTGTAATGTGAAAGCAGCCATAGATAATATGTAAATGAATGGGCATGGCTGTGTTCCAATAAAACTTTATTTACAAAAACAGACAGTGGGAAGATTTGGACTTCAGGCCACAGTTTTCTGGTCCCTGCTTTAAAGGGATAAAAAAAATAAAATGATTTTAAAAAAAGAAATCAAGTATCATTAGGTTTGACAATATAAAAAATAAGAACTCCAAAGCATAAAAAATTACTATAAACAAAACATTAAAGCAAACACATACACGCACTGCAGAAAATATATGAACCATACATGACAACAAAGAGTTGGCATCTCTCCCTCCAATGTCATTCTCCCCCTTTCTCACCTTCTCCCTGTCTCCTCTCACACACACAAACATAAACGTACACAATCATTGAAACCAATAAGAAGCACACTAGTAAAAAAAATGAACAAATAGTCCGGGTGCAGTGGCTCATGCATGTAATCCCAGCACTTTGGGAGGCTGAGGCAGGCAGATCACCTGAGGTCAGGAGTTTGAGACCAGCCTGGCCAACATGGTGAAACCCCATCTCTACTAAAAATACAAAAATTACCCGGGTGTGGTGGTGGGTACCTGTAATCTTAGCTACTCGGGAGGCTGAGACAGGAGAATTGCTTGAATCCAGGAGGCGGAGGTTGCAGTGAGCCAAGATTGTGCCACTGCACTCCAGCCTGGGGACAGAGTGAGACTCCGTCTCAAAACAACAACAACAAAAAAACAAACTAGACAACTCAAAGAAGGAGAGAGATGACCAGTAAGCTTATGAATAGGTATTCAACCTTAACTGTCTCGATTTTATGCAAATTAAGACAACAGGACTATTTTCCATATATCAAATATATCAGCAAAGGTGTGTTTTCAATGTCATCATCCAGCATTGATGTGGCAGGTAGTGATGAGGTGGGGAGATAGCAGGGATGGATACACACAGCTGATACAACCTCTCTGGTAGTCAAATGAGTGGTTTATATCGAGACCTCAAAGCCAATGAACATCTAGGAATCTACCTAGTAAATAATCAAAGCTATGGCCAAATACTTTTTATTTTTATTTTATTTATTTAGTTTTTTGGAGACAGGGTCTCACTCTGTTACCTGGGCTGGAGTGCAGTGGCACAATCACAGCTTACAACCTTGACCTCCTGGGCTCAAAAGTTCCTCCCACCTCCACCCCGCAAGTTGCTAAGACCACAGGTACACGTCACCACACCTGGATAATTTTTTAAATTTCGTGTAGATATGGGGTCTCACTATGTTGCCTAGGCTGGTCTTGGACTCCTGGGCTCAAGTGATCTTCCCGCCTTGGCCTCTCAAAGTGCTAGGATTTACAGGCATGAGCCACAGCGCCCGGCCAACCAAATACTTTTATACATTGATATTCACCACGGCATAATTTATAGTAGCAAAAATTGGGAATGGCCTCAAAATGCAATAATAAGGGAGTAGCTGCATAAATTATGGAACATCCATGATAGGATATATGAGGTCATCATTAGAAATCTCTTTTTCCAAAGAGTATATAAAGATAAGACAAAATATTCAACCCCTCAACAGCATTTGACTGAGCTGACAGTCCTTTCTTCCAGGCTTCTGAGATGCCACACTATTCCTGGTTTTCTTTCTACCTTCTGAGTAGATGATTCTGGTCTCCTTTGTTCTCTTCTTCTTGGGTCAACATGCAGCTATTGAGGTGTCCCAGAGCTTTCTCTAGTGATCCCTTCTCTGCGATCCCTTCTCTGCTCCAACTACCCTTGCTTCCTAGATGACCTCCTACAGTCCTGCATTTTTGAAAATACTGCACTTGTATCATGCTGATGACTTCCCAAGTATTATAACCATCCCTGATATCTCCCCTGAGCTCCAGACTCACATATTCATCTGCCTCTTCAAGATCTCCATGTGGATGTTAAAAGGACATGTCAACTTGGACAGTCCTATAGAACTCAATTCTCTCCAAATCCCCTCCTCCCTCCTACTCCGATCTTCCCAGTCTCAAAATGTGGCACTGTCATCCACCTAGATGTTCAAGCCAAAAACCCAAAAGCCATCACTGAGTCCCTCCTCTGTCACTTGACACAGAAGCCCTGTGGGCTCCACCTCCTGATTTCTGCATCGCCCAGTGACCACCATAGGCTCTCACCTACGCTACTGTGAGGGCTTCTCATGAGCCTCCCTGCTCCCCTCACAGCCCTGCGAAAATAGATTGCTACAGTCAATTCTGCACTCAGCAACCAGGAAAATCCATCCCGAATTCAAAATCTGTATCTCATCACATGATTCCCCTTTCAAAACCACCAGTGGCTTTTCATCGAAATCAAATGTACAGTTCCTACTCTAGTCTTCTACGGTCAGTATGCTCTCCCTCAACCACCTCCTCCCCCTACTCTTCCACCTCCCATCTTTCTCCTGTCTTCAAACACGCCAACCCTGTTCCCATCACACATCCTTTGTACATTTCCTCCAGACTCCTCCACATTCAGGTCTGAGCCCAAATCACCTCCTCAGACAGGCTCTCCCTGATACCACAGCTCTAGCAGATGACTAATTTTGCTGAATTCACAAGTGAATGTTAGGGTTAAAGTTGTTTTTACTTTTACATTTTTATTTATTTGTTTATTTATTTTTTAGGGACAGAGTCTTCCTCTGTCACTTAGGCTGGAGTATAGTGGCACCATCACAGCTCATTGCAGTCTTGAACTCCTGAGCTCAAGCCATCCTCCCACCTCAGCCTCCCAATGCTCTAGGATTACAGGCATGAGCCACCACATTTGGCCCTAAAAGTTGTTTTTTAAATGTACACAAACTCACTCCTTGTTTGTGTGTAGATCCGAAGGGCTGAAGACAGCTGGGCTCACTCTCTGCCCCATCTGTCCCTCTAGATCTTCCCCTCTCCGTGCCTGAGGAAGCCAGTTGACTTGCACTACATCAAAGGCTTCCTTGCATTCTGCTTTCTGGTTAGGTTTGTCACCGAAAGCACCAGAATGGCAGGGGCATGGAGTGGCAGCCACTGCTCCTTTAGGTAGCCCTCTCCATACGGTGCCTTCCTTAGGTTCCAGTAGGTTCATTTCCTTGTCTCCTTCAGGCCCAGGGGGTGGGGTGGGGTGGGTAAGATCTCCCAACTTTTGCTATCCCAGGGTATTGTCCCATTCCTTGTTGACCCCCATAAACCAGTGGTTCTCAAAGTGGTCTCTAGACTCTTTCAGGGTATTAAAACATCAAAATAATTTTCACAGTAACACTAAGAAATTACTTGCATTTTCCACTGTGTTGACATTTGCACTGATGGTGTAAAAGCAATGGTGGGTAAAACTACTGTTGTTTTAACAGAATTAACTTAGTGGCACCAAGCTGTACTAGCAATCACCATCTTCATTGTTTTGTATGTGCAATCAAAAGAAAAAAATCAATACCAGTTTCCCTTAAAAATGTCCTTGATAAAGCAATAAAATGTATTAATTTTATGAAACCTTAATCCTTGAGTACATGTCCTTTTAATATTCCATGTGACAAAATGGGAAGTTCAAAAAAAGAATAATCATTGTCTCCAACTGCATTACTTGAGCCATTTTTTAAGCTGTGTGCTAAGCTAGTCTCTTCTCTCATGGAGCACTAGTTTTACTTAAAGGATGTCTAGCAAACAATGGTTATTCAGACTTGAGTATTTAACAGGCAGTGTTTTTTTTCCTAAAAAGGGCAAATGGATCTTCTCACAACTGACAGCATTTGTTACCAATGATAGAATTTGAACTTTTAAGCAAAAATCCAAATTTTAGAAAACTTTTATAGCTACCACGAACTTACAGTTTCCCAGTACCTGAATAATTGTATGGCAAGATTGTTATTGAAACTATACATTTTCTTATATTGTATAAAGCAATGTGTCAACATTTGGAAGATCTGTGTAACTCAGTGAACCAATATTTTCTAACAGATCCAATATATTACATTAAAAAAAAGTACACATGGGTAAAAGAACCATTCAAAATGCCAGACAGACCAATGGATTTTGATGTAAATTGATATGGCTTCAGATTCAGCACTGCAACTAACCTTTAAGAAACTACTACTTGTTGAGTTTAGATGTAGTATCAAAGAATATCCACAATATCTGAAAAAGCAATTAAAATATTTCCTCCCTTTTCCAACTACATAAGATTTTCTTTATTTACTTCAACCAAAATAACATATCACAACAGATTGAAGGCAGAAGCAGATAAGATACTCCAACTGTCTTCCATTAAGCCAGATCTTAAAAAGATTTGCAAAAATATAAAACAAGGCTACTCTCCTCATTGCTTTTTTTTTTGTTTTGAAAAATATAATTTTTCATAAAAATATTTATGTTAACATGTGGTGGTTTTAAAACATGTCCACAAATTCTCTCTTCAAAAGATGAAGCTTAATTCCCCACCCCTTGAGTGTGGGCTGGACCTAGTGAGTCATTTCTCATGAATAGAAGATGGTAGAAGTGATGGTACATGATTTCCAACACAAGGTCATAAAGGCATTGCGGATTCCTCTATCTCTTGGATCACTCACTCTGAAAAAAGCCACCTGCCATGCTGAGAGAACACTCGAGCTGTCCTATAGAGAGGGCCACATGGCAGGGAACTGAGGCCTCCTGCCAAGAGCCATGCCAGTGAGCCATCTTGGAAGTGGATTCTCCAGCCCCAGGTAAATCCTGAAGTGACTGCAACCTTATGAGATATCCTGAACGAGAACCACCCAGCTGAGCTGCTCTGGATCCCTGAGCCACAGAAATTGTGTGAGGCAGTATATGTTTATTGTTTTAAGCTGCTAAATTTTGAGTTCATCTGCTACGCAGAAGCAGATAGCCAACAGATAATGTGTTTATCATTCTGACTTAATGAATGAATAAATATTTAATGCCTCCGTTTAAATTTCGAATACAGTAAATATGGGTAGATAGAACCCAGCTAAACCAAAGCTTTTAGGAGTTCTCAGGTTTTAAGAATATAAAGGGCCTCTGAGACCAAAAAGTTTGAGGACCACTTCCCTAAACCCTTTACAAACTGCCCCTTTATCAAACTTTCCACAAATCACCCCATATAAAATCACCATTTGTTTCCTCCCAGGACGCTGCCTGACACAACAATACCAAAATATTATCAATGGTTGTTGCTGTTCAGGGGGAATATGGGTGATTTTATCTTCTTCTTAATGCTTCTTTTTTTCTGTACTTCTAAAAGTTTCTGTAACAATAACAGGGTTTTTTTTTTTTTAATAATTAGAAGAAAAGAAACTTCCCTTTTTAAAAGGACCAAAAGTGAAAGTCTGAGCTAGTTCCTGTAGATGAGCTGCTGGTTTAAGATGGTGGTGGCAAGGCCCAGGTGTCCAGCACTGTGCCTGGGGGTGGGGGAGGGGGTTGCAGGTGGCAGGGATGACTGAGCACCCCACCCACCTGACCCCAGTCAGAACAGCTCCTTCCTTTGTTTTACATATTGGGTTTCTGCATAATATCTCATTTAAAGAAAAGTTTCCACTGCTTAAAAAAGAGTTTGAAAACTTTTACAGTGAGAAAAATCATTAAATTTAATAAGAGTTAAATTTAGAGTACAGAAGAATCACTCAAACATTTTTTGAATGAGAATTTCCATAAAGAAAACCCTACACATTCTGAGAGAAAAACAGAAGTCTCTAACAACTTAACATACATTCAATGGTTTCAAGGGAGGCTGGGCTATTGTGGCCCTAGAAAGAAGTTATATCTGGGGCTAAAGAGTTTATCTTGGGGGCCCCAAATCAAAGGGCCCAAGATGCCAGCAGAAACACCAGGATGCCTAAGGCCAAAACAAACACAGATCAGTACAGCAACTGAGGGTT
Source organism: Homo sapiens (assembly GCF_000001405.40). Taxonomy (NCBI): domain Eukaryota; kingdom Metazoa; phylum Chordata; class Mammalia; order Primates; family Hominidae; genus Homo; species Homo sapiens. The sequence continues at coordinate 38,842,229 of NC_000020.11, read as the reverse complement.
CTCTAGTTTTCTAGTGAAAACAAAAGCAGGAAGTACAGGACTGCCTGGTGGTTAAATACATGGGCTTCGGAGAAACTGATCTGGGTTTGAATCCTGGGATTGAGTCTGACACTTAAAACCTGTGAGACCTTGGCAGGTGACTTAGTCTCTCTGAGCTTCAAATTTCTCATCTGTAAAATGGGGGATGAGAATTCACACAGTGAAGCCATTTTCCAAGACAGTACAGCAGTTTCTTAAAAAGTTAAACATAATTTACCATATGACCCAACAATTCTATTCCTAGGTAATGACCCAAGAGAAATGAAAACATATATCCACACAAAGACTTGTACCCAAATTTGCCTTCCAGCATTCTTCATCCTACCCCAAAATAGAAATAATCCAAACGTTCACCTACTGGTGAATGGATAAACAAAATGCGGAATATCTATACAATGGAATACTACAGGGCAATGAAAAGGAATGAAGCCCTGATATATGATGTCACACCAAGGATGAACCTTGAAAGCAGTATTCTGAATGAAAGAAGCCAATCACAAAGATCATATACTGTATGATTCCATGTAAATAATATGTCCAGAAAAGGCAAATCTATACAGACAGAAAGTAGATTATAGTTGCCTGGGTCTGGGAACCAGGAGTCACTGCAAATGGGCATGAGGCTTCTTTTTGGGATGATGAAAAGGCTTTCTGTTTGTTTTTGAGATGGGGTCTTGCTCTGTCACCCAGGCTAGAGTGCAGTGGTTCAATCATGGCTCACTGCAGATTTAACCTCCCGGATTCAAGCGATCCTCCTGCCTAAGCCTTCCAAGTAGCTGGGACCACAGGCAAGTGCCACCACGGCTGGCTTTTTTTTTTTTTTTTTTTTTTTTTTTTCAGTACAGACAGGCTCTCCAGGCTGGTCTAGAACTCCTGGGCTTAAGCGATCCTCTACCTTGGCCTCCCAAAGTGCTGGGATAACAAGTGTTAGCCACACCACTCAGCGATGGCAATGTTTTACAACTGGATTGTGGCTGATGGATGCACAATTCTGTAAATTTACTGAAAATCATTGAATAGTACACTTAAAGTGGGCAAATTTTATAATATGTAAACTGAACCCCAAGCTATTTTTTAAAAATGGGGTTTGACTCTCTAACCTCAGAGAGTTGCTGTGAAGATTAACCGAGATAACATATGTAAGGCAAGCTGCCTGGTACAAAGCACCTGATAAATAATAACAATGATGACAATCAGAATATGCTGTAATAATAGATTACGTAAATGTAGAATAGTGTAGAATAACAACAATTTATACCACTTACGTAGCTCTGACCATACCACTTCAACATTTATCAACTTAATTTAACCCCCCAACAACGTTATGAAGCGGGTACATCATCATCCTCATTTTTACCGATGGGGAGATGGAGGCACTGAGAAGTAAAGTAACTTTCCCAAGGATGCACAGCTAGTAAACGGTAGAGCTAGGATTTGAATCCTGGAGGACAAACTGCAGGGTCTGTGCTCCTAGCCATGACACTACACTGTCTCTCAGTAAACATCAGCTACGTATTGAGTTGCTACTTTAACCAGGGCCGGGAAAAGGCTCACAGATGGCTCCCCAGAGATCACGCTGGACTCAAAGCTGAGGGTTACAGGAGTTAGTCACAGGAAGAGTGTCCCAGACAGAGGGAATTGCATATACAAAGGTGTGGAGGTAAGATAACGCAGGGAATATGGGAGGATCTTGGTGGAGCTGGCGTCGCCTGGGGCAGAGGGTGATGGCAGTGAGAGCAGTGAGCATGGGGCTCAGGCAGGTCCAAGGGCAAGGACACTAGTCTAAAGGCAATATGGGACCAGAGGATGAAACTCAGTGAGTTCCTAGCCTGCCTTTCTCTGGAAACAACTCACATTCCCCAGGCAGGTGGGGGAGGTTGACTCAGAGGCTGCTGTGAGCTCAGGGGAGTGGGGGAGCTGCCACCCCACGCTCCCACGCCACTGTGAGCTAACACCCCGGCAGCCTCCCAAACACCAGCTCCACCAGCAAGAAGCAGCCGTTCCCAGCCTGCTGAAAGCAGCAGGCTCTGTAGTGCTGCCAGGAAGCTGAGCATAGCCCAGTGAGGTCAAGGGCTGACTGATGGCAGCCTCACACCCCTCATCCAAACCCAGGCAACTGTGGACCCTAAAACCAACCCACGAGCCTGCCACAGAGCACAGTATTCTGGCCCCTTCCCCTCACTTGGCTGCCCCATAGAGACAGGGGGACCAGCCCATGGGGTCTAGCACTTTTCTCATTCAAATTTAATACCTTCAGATCCATCTCTTTCATTTCATCACATCTGTCCTCGATAAACATTTGCACATGGAAATAAAACATTCACTGTGGCAAAAGCGAAGCTACTGGAAAAATCTGCATCAATAAGGAGCTAGTTAGAAAATTCTGGTAATCCATACTATGGAATACTACACAGCAGATAAAAATAATGGCACAGATCTGTACTGTACATGTTCTGGCATGAAAACGTCTCCAAGATATACCGTTGGATGGGAAAAAAAAAAAGAAAATTGCAGAATAATGTATCCAGGATACCATCACTTATGTAAAAACTTTTTAAAAAAGAAACCTGGCTCTATATTTCTCTTAAGTCCACAAGTGCATATGCAAATGAAAAAAATACCTGGAAAAGAAACATCAAACTAACAACAGTAGTGATGGATGGACAAAAAGAAGCAAAGGAGGGGAGGAAGGAGAGAGGGAGGAAGGGAGGGACAGAAAGGACTTTTTACTTTGTACACTTCTACGTTGATTGATTTTTACAAGAAGAATGTATCTGTGCATATTTAGGTTCTGAAAAACATTAAAGTCTGTAAAAAACAAAACAAAATAAAGTGCGTTATCACCGTGCTGGTACAGGTCTCAGGGTAACCTTTCAAAGAACTGTCACATCCAGGACCTTGTCTAAGTCTTGCCATACCCTCTTGAGGGCAAGCTTTCAAAACCTGATTTTACAGATTAAAAAACTGAACGCGGTGGCTCACACCTGTAATCCCAGCACTTTTGGAGGCCAAGGTGGGCGGATCACTTTGAGGTCAGGAGTTTGAGACCAGCCTGGCCAACATGGTGAAACCCCAACTCTACTAAAAATACAAAAATTAGCTGGGTATGGTGGTGCATGCCTGTAGTCTCAGCTACTTGAGAGGCTGAGGCAGGAGAATCGCTTGAACCCGGGAGGCAGAGTTTGCCGTGAGCCAAGATTGTGCCACTGCACTCCAGCCTGGGCGACAGAGCGAGACTTCGTCTCAAAAACAAAACAAAGCAAAACAAAAAAACTGGACCCATAGAGGTGAAACAAGCTGCTCAAAGTCACAGGCAGGGCTGCGGGGCACTGATCCCTCCACTCCCAGCCCAGTGCTCCTTCTAACCAGGAAACAAGACATCAGCAAGGGGTAGGGGCTGGGCAGGGGGCTGGGAGGATGGTCTGAAGCCCGCAGCCCATGCACAGAGCCCCTCAGGGAGGGGCAATGGGGCTTTGTCAGGGAAGAAGGCAGTCAATAACGAGGGGTGAGAGAAGAGCTGATGAACTTCCGCCCCCAACAAAAATTAGACATCATGACAAGCCACCCACTGCGTGGGGATGGGGCTGCCGCATCACTTGGCAAACTGCACGTGGGAAGGAGCCTCGGGGCCATGTCCCCAAGCCCAAGATTCCACCTCTCTTTTCACCCAGGCTGCTCACCCCAGGCTTTCAGCGGAGCAGCTCCCAGCAGAGTGGTTCCAGGGATGCCTCTTGGCTCGTTTCCTAGAGCCCTGTGCAGCCAGGTGGAAGTGGAATTACACTTCTCAGAGGGTTCTAGAACCTGAAGAGCAAGGTGACTAAAACCCAGCACCCTCTTGGGCCAGAAGTGCCACACCTCTCTGCTCTTTCATTGACTGGAAGGTGTGTGCAGGGACCCAGGAAGCATGGCTAGGCCTCTCCAGGGACAGCCAGGAAGGCTTATTATACAGGGATGGGCCATGGGCGCCAAGGGGAACAGGGAGGTGCACAGACCTTGGCTCACAATGAGCAGGCGAGACCGCCTCTGAACAAGCCCAGGGAAGGGGGCTGTGGTTACATCATGGATTCTCCATTCATTCCTACAACAGGAAGCAAACCTATAAGGCCATGAGGGCAGTGACAAGAGTCGGATGCCAGTGGTTCTGATCCCGCTCTGCCACCTTGGTCAAGGTTCTGAACCTCTCTGAGTTTCAATTCCCCCATCTGTAAAATGGGTGTTATCATACATGGCTCTTAAAGCACTATACATAGTACAGATCATGATATCTAGCTCATGAGACACAAAAATAATATAATTAAATTAAACATGGCAAGTACAAGGTATCCATAAAATCTGGAAACATAGGCCAGGCACAGTGACTCATGCCTGTAATCCCAGCATTTTGGGAGGCCAAGGCAGGTGGATCACCTGAGGTCAAGAGTTCAAGACCAGGTTGGCCAACATGGCGAAATCCCATCCCTACTAAAAATTTAAAAAAATAGCCAGGGCATGGAGGTGAACGCCTGTAATCCCAGCTACTCGGGAGGCTAAGGCAGAAGAATTGCTGGAACCTGGGAGGCAGAGGTTGCAGTGAGCCGAGATTACACCGCTGCACTCTGCCCAGCCTGGGCAACAGAGTGAGACTCTGTCTCAAAAAAAAAAAGAAAAAAAAAAAAGAAAAAAATCTGGAAACATAGATTGTATGAATGTGTATACATGTTTGTTTATATTTATTTACTCATTCACTTTACAGAGTGAAAATATCCTAGATAGCATTGTCTATATCTGTTTTCAGACTTTATGGACATCCTTTGATAATGTAAATAAAATATACTAATATAATAAAATAAAACAGTAATAATCACTTCCTCAGCATAAGGGACCATATTTAGGAACTTCACAGGGATTTTCTAACTTAATGTTCACAGCAAGCCCTTAAAGTGGATTTTCTTATTAGCCCCATTTTACAGAGGTGTAAACGAAGTATAGAGAGTGGAAGAGACTTGTCTACTTGTCAAGCTCACGTAGGGAACTGAGAAAGCCAGTTTTAGATTCAGGTAGTCTCACTTCAGAGTCCATCCCTCTACACCATTTATGACTGCAGCAAAGGCTACATACACGGAATACACGGAACAGCATTCAGAGGGTGCCAGGCATGGGGTCTGGCACAGAGGAGAGCTTTATGAATTGCAAGATCCTGTGAGTATTGAGCTTTTGGTGGGGAGAAACCAGATCCAACTTGTTCACCACTATATCTAGGAAAGTAATGCAAAAGAAGGTGTCTGTAAGTATTTGTGGTTGTCTGTAAATATTTGTGGGAGGGAAAGAAAGTTATTATGGTATTCCTCAGCCAAAGGCTGGAATCCTTGTTCCCAAAAAAATACAGCTGGGCAAGGTGGCCTGCCTATAATACTAGCTACTTGGGAGGCTGAGGCACGAGGATCCCTTTAAGCTGGGAGTTTGAGACCAGCCTGGGCAACACAGTAAGACCCTATGTCTAAATAAATAAATAAATAAAAACAAATGAACGAAGATGTTTAAACAAAAAGTCTAGGCCTGGCGCTGCGGCTCTTGCCTGTAATCCCAGCATTTTGGGAGACCAATGGCGGGCAGATCACTTGAGCTCAGGAATTCGAGACCAGCCAGGGCAACAGAATGAGACCCCCATCTCTACAAATTTTTTTTGTTTTAATTAGCTGGGTATGGTGGCAGTACACCTGTGATCCCAGCTACTAGGGAAGCTGAGGTGGAAGGATCACTTGAGCCTGGGTGGCAGAGGTTGCAGCGAGCTGAGATCGCGCCACTATACTCCAGCCTGGGAGACAGAGCGAGACCCTGTCTTAGAAAAAAAAGAAGTCTAAGATAAATTCGAAGTTCCTAGGAACGTCCACTTCCTAAGAGGAATGGGGCTGCTGGAACTTGGAAGTGGGTCTGCAGACCTGCCTTGCCCACACGTCTACTGCACAGAACCTGGATTCCAAACCCTGATCAGAGGCCAAGGCAGCTGCGTGGCCGCCAAGGCACAGAGGGGCCTACCTTCCTCGGCGTCGTTCCTCAGCGAGGCCTCCAGCAGGGCCACGCTGGCCTCGAAGGACACTTTCTTGCGGCGGCCGCCCGTGCTGCGCTTCCGCTCATGCTTTCGCTTGCGGTGCTGCAAGTCCTGCTCGTACTGTGCCCATTTCTTCAGCTGCTGGGCCCGGCGCTTCTGGGCAGCCCGCAGCCGCTCCAGCGTGGGCACCTTCTCCAGCAGCTGCAGCTCCGTCAGCAGGTCCACGTGACTGGCCATGGCCACCGCCCTCCCCAACGCCCTGGCTGGGGGCTAGCACGGTGCACCGGGGGCCAGGGCAGCGCGGGGCCTCTGGTGGGGCTGGGGCCTCATGGTGTGGCCTGTGGCAGGGAGGGAGACACAGATGAACACATGTGTCAGACTCCACAACTCAGATCTGATCGTCCCCCAACGCCCCGTGTTCGAAACGCTTTTGAGGTTTTCCTTCCATTGCTCCTCAAGAGAAGTGCAAATCCTTACAGTGGCCCTGTAAGTATCAGCAAGGTCTGGCTATGCTGCCTAATGCAGCAGCCAGTAGCCACCTGTGGCTATTTAAATTTAAATCAATTAGAATAAAGTAAAATAATTTAATTCCTTGGTTGCACTATCCACATTTCAAGTGCACAATCGCCACATGCTTCATACTGGACAATGCAGATAAAGAATATATCCATCACTGCAGAAAGCTCTATTGGATAGCTTGGTTGTCTGCCTCTCTAGCCACAGCTATTTAACAAGAACCATGCCATTTTAGTTTTCTTGTATAGAGTCACCCTACTTTAAGGATTTGGGTATCTGAGTGCTGGAATCAGAAGGGGTGCAGGGAGGGTCAGGACATGATGGGGGCTGCAGGCCCCCAAAAATCTGGAGACTATACAAACATCCAAGGCCTCAGAATTATGAACATCTGACACTTCTGCTCAAGCCTCTTTTGTTCTGATCACTATGGGATGCAAGTTGTACTGGAGATGGGACAGACAGGACAAGAAAGAGACCAGAAGAAACAATACACTATTGCAGTGCTTCTCAAAGTGTGGTCTGGGAACCCCATAGGGAATTCCTGAAACCATTTCAAGAAGTCCATAGGTCAAAACTATTTTCATAACTATACTAAGATATTACTAACCTTTTCTACTCATTATCTTATGAGTATACAGTGGTTCCCAAAGCTATATGAAAAGTGACATTGCAACAAACTAAATGCAGAAGTAGATACAAGAATCCAGCTGCTAAGCTCAACATAAAGAATTTTGCAAAATTTTTAAACATCACTTTTCTCACTAAATTTTTTTTGTTTTGAAAAATAGCTATTTTTCATCAAAATGTTATATATTATATGTTATGCTTTTATAACAGTCTAATAAAAATATGTTATAGATTATTATATTGTTATAATATATCATGGGTTTATGGTTTTATCTTAAAGGAATTAATGCTATTCTTAAAAATTCCTCAATATTCATTTATATTATGATAAATATTGACAGATATAATCCACATAAACAAAAGCTCTTTGGGATGCTCAATTTAAGGAACTAAAGAAATCCTAAGACAAAAAAGTTTAAAAACTGCTGAACTACTGGGACATAGAAAATCTTAGTTAAAGTTTCTCTCTTTGGATGACCTTTAAAAAAAAATTACATCCTTGCTCTCATGAGTTTCAAATAACATGAGGTCAACAAAATTTCAAAGTCTAAAGCCAGCTGGTCTTCAGCACGGACTCTATGAACTTTCAGACACAGAGGGAAAGGGTCTTAGGACAATCACTTGATCCTCTCTAAGCCTGTTCCTCCACCTGCAAAGTGTCCTATCCACCTCCCAGAAGTTACAGGTGCAAGGAATAAAAAGAGCTGGGGCTGGATGCACTGGCTCAATGCCTGCAATCTCAACATTTTGGGAGTCCAGGGTGGGACGACAGCTTGAGGCCAGGAGTTCCAGACCAGCCTGGGGAACATAGCGAGACCCTTATCTCTACAAAAAAATAAAATAATTTTTTAAAAAAGAGCTGGCCCTAAACATTAAGACACTAAACAATGAGACACAAGCTTGGAGGAGGAATGGTAGGGAGATGTAAATGCAGCATGTTTGTGAACCAGCAGGCAAGGCTGGTTTATGGTTGTTGGGTAACAGGAAAGAATGGCAGGAGTCTACATCTGTGTGATGTGGTCCACTGTCTCAAAGAGTATTGGGTTAGCCCCTGGTTGGTTTCAGGAAGCGTTGTTAATCTCCTGGGTCGCCTGCGTCACCCGCCCCTCCAAAAGCCCTTTCTACAGAAGCTGAAGAGCAGGGCTCAGGCTAAATCCTCAGGTGCTCAGATTGGGTCAGATCCAGATCGTTCTTCATGTCTCTCCCAGCTCGGAGACTGGAGAGTAAGCAGGCAGAATGGGGAAGGGGTTGGCTTGGCAATGCCCAAAGGGCAAAAGTTCCAGGGTCTGAGTGGGTGTGACCTCCAGCATAAATAAGCCAATGGCAAGGCTCAATGGGAGACAAGCTAGCTGGTTTTGGTTGCCTTTTGTTTGTTTTGTTTTGATTTCTGTTTTGAATACACTTGCAATGCACTTTCAACTAATTAAACTTTTTATTTTAGATCATTGTAGATTCACAGGGAGCGTAACAAATAGTACAGAGAGATTCTGTGTACACTTCACCCAGTTTATCCCAGTGGTAGCATCTTGAAAACTACTATACAGTATCACAGCCAGAAACCTGACGTGATACAACCCACCAATCTTATGCCGATTTCCCTAGTTTCACATGTACTTATTTGGATGTGTTTTGTTTTATGCAATTGTATCAATGTATCTACCACCTCAGTTCATAACCACACCTATCTCCTTCTCTAGGCTCCCCCTCCAACCCACTCCTGTCCCTGCCTTGGCAATTACTAATCTGTTCCCCATCTCTAGAATTTTGTCATTTCAAAAGATGTTATATAAATAGAATCAGATAGCAGGTAACCTTTGAGGATTGGCTTTTTTCACCCAGCATCATTCCTTTGAGATTCATCCACATTGCTGCATGCATCAATAGTGCGTTTCTTCTTGTTGCTGGGTAGTATTCCATTTTATGGATGGCCCCAATTTGTTTAACCATTTACCTATTGAGGAACATCTGCATCGTTTCCAGTTTAAGGCTGTTCCATTCATCTACAGATTGTGTAAACATAAGTTTTTGTTTCTCAGGAGCAAATACCCAAGAGTACAAGTGATAAGGCATATGGTAATTGCACATTTACTTTTTTTTTTTTTTTTTTGAGATCTCGCTCTGTCGCCCAGGCTGGAGTGCAATGGCGTGATCTCGGCTCACTGCAACCTCCGCCTCCTGGGTTCAAGCGATTCTCCCACCTCAGCCTCCCAAGTAGCTGAGATTACAGGCACCCACCATCATGCCCGGCTAATTTTTGTATTTTTGTAGAGACGGGGTTTCACCATGTTGGCCAGGCTGGTCTCAAACTGCTGACCTCAGGTAATCTGCCCACCTCGGCCTCCCAAAGTGCTCAGATTACAGGCGTGAGCCCCCGCGCCTGGCACATGTTTACTTTTAAAAGAAAACTGCCCAACTGTTCTCCAGAATGGCTGTGCTGGTTTCATACCCTCCAGCAATGTGTGAGTGATCCAGTTCCCCTTCAGCATTTGGGATTGTCACTGCTTTCTATTTTAGCCACTTAGATATAGATGTTTTGGTTGCTTTTTTAGAAGTAAGGAGTTCAAAAGAGTTCAATTCACAACCACACAATATCATTATTATAGTCAGACCTCTCTGGGAGCTAGCAGATCACAAGTTTATTTCACTCCACTTCCTCGAGTGAGTAAACATTTAATGAAGTCCTGCTCTGTGACGAGCCCTGATTCAGAGACGGATGCGGACCACCTCTGCCTTCTGTCTGTCAATTTATCTCATAAATCCATTTAATTATCCCAGTAACCTAATAAAATAGTAGTACTAGGTACTATCATGCCCATTTTCCAGATGAGGAAACTAAGGCACAGAGTGATTAAGTCATTTACCCAACATACCACCGCTAGATAGTGGAAGAGCCAGTCTGCCCGGGGTTCTCAAGGAAGGCTTTCCAGAATACAGGACAACAGATTTGAATCTCAGTGCAGAAGTAGGATTTCACCAGTTGAAAGGAGCAGACACGAGCTGAGAGGGAGTTAGGCAGCGCTCAAAGGTGTACAGAGTGGCTGACCACAATGGAGGGAACTCTGGAAACCAACATGCACAAGCATGGCCCGAAGAGGACGTGGCTGCCCAGCCCAAAAGGAGCAGAGAAGTCTTGTTGGCAGTGATGAGCCACTTGTGGCTGTGGGCCAGGCCTGACCAGAAAGCCTCCTGTGATCCACATCGTGTTTGTTGGTTAGTTTGGTCGAAGTCCACACCATGTTTTAAAATATTTTAATTCATTGCTGACATTTACAACTTGGAGATTTTATATCCAACATCGGGGGGTCTGCTTTTCTTAGAACATCTTGGTATGGGGCCACAGTGGGCTCACACGGCATCACCATCAACTGGTGTAGAGTCGGGCTGTCCCCTTTAGATAGGGCACATACGCTCTCCATTACCATAGTCCCCAATGCTCCCCATTACTCCCGCCTGACTGCCCTCACTAACTGACATCATTTGCCAGCTCCAATGTCATTTGAGTTTGCAAGCTCTGTCTTAGGCAGAATGAGACAGCAGTTTCCAAATAACCAGAGCTCCACTCTGAACAAGAAAGGAAAGAGAGCCTGTGAGTCTCCCCAACACACAGCAGGGTGAACACAGCAGCTAGGCGGCCCCAAGACAGGGCACTGGCCTGGGTGCTGGGGCAGCCCACGGCAGCCAGGTTCCAATGGGCTGCAGACTGGCCTCCTCGTGAGACCCAGAGGGTGATGGGAACACAGCCCAATGCCAGGATCTGGGAGAGCAATGGTTATCATCAACCCTTAAAGGGGACCCCCAAGGAAGACCTCATTTGGAGGAACAAGGAAGTACAAGGAAGCAGCTGTGTGCACCCCAAGAACAGACACCGGCCTCTAGAGCTGTCCAACAAGCAATTCGACAAAGGTGCTCGTGGTCAATGGCTGTCTCAGGAGGTGGCAAGTTCCTCGTCACTCACTGGAGGATAAAATGTCCACCCGTGTCAGATTGGCCTAAGTATTCTGTGAGATGTCTTTCAGCCCTAAGATCCTGAACACAGTTACTCATTTCTTCATTATTATGACTGATCACCTCTGAGTGGAAGGTACCAAAAACATGCTAAAAGTAAAGAGTAATGGTACCAATCACTTGCGCTGTTACAGCACTTTATCCCTTTCAAAGAACTTCCCCAGCCATCATCTCAGCCAAGTGCTTCCCTAAGTGTGGAAGGAGAATCCATTCCAAGGAAATTTTCAAAAGTACAGGAACAAGCCTTGACGTAACATGGACCCACACAGAGAGCAGGGTATATAGGCTTTTCACTTCTCTTTTAATCTTTCAGACTTTCTCCAGAGAAAAGTGTCAGTCCAATGCTAACAGACCCTTAACATCTTTATAACTATGCCAATCCTCCTTCAAAACAAAGAGAAAGCAGGCCTCAGCTCCTGGCCTGGGCAAGCCACTGTATCTAGGATAGAATGTAATAACATTGTTTTGTTTCCTGTGGATTTGTTTTCACAGTTACTGTTTGTTTATGGTTGTGATATAAAATTTCCTTTTTAAACAAATCTATTTCAGTTGGAAATAGGAAGTTGATAGTAAAGAAAAATTTAATGACAATGGCGTTTAGTGTTGGCAAAACTTATAAGTGACTGATATTTGGGAAACCCATCTTGCCATTGATCTTCGTGGCAATAATCTTACAAGAGAAGCACTCATATAAACTCATTATTTTGTTTGACAAATATTTAGGTGGCATCTACCACATGCCAGGCCTGTGCTCAGGGCTAGAGAGGCAGCAGGGTAAAGGCAGACACAGTCCCTGTGCAGTGGATGGATGGCACAGACACATGGGAGTGGGTGACCTGCTCCAAGGATACAGAGGCTGAGCAGTAACTAAACCTGGGGCCTGACTCACAGCACAGTGCTCCCTCCATGGGCCCCAGGGTGGCAGGCCCCAGGCAGACAGAAGGCACCACTGCAGTGTCCTCCCTACTCCCAGCAAAGGAATTAAGGGCAGTTGCCCAGCTCCCTGGAGAAAGGTGAGAACAATGTCTCCCAAGGGCCAGTAAAAGGGGCCAGAGGCATATTTTCTCTGACTTGGCCCTCCCCGCGAGCCCCTCCCACCTTGCCCCTCTGGGTTCCTTGGAGCTGGGGCTCGAGGACAGCTCCCTCTTGATTACTGGTTTTCAGGTGACCTAGTTTCCCCCAATAGACCCGCACACCTCCTCCCACCCCCGTCTGAGAAATCCCTGCTTGGTCTAATTAAAGAACTGCCATGGTGCTGCAAACACAGCAGCGGGGTGGCCCCAAGACAGGGCACTGGCCTGGGTGCTGGGGCAGCCCACGGCAGCCATGGCTCCAATAGGCTGCAGACTGTCCTCCTTGTAAGACCTGGGCTCACCTATCCACACTTCCAGAGAAAGCCCCAGAGGGTGATGGGAACACAGCACAAACTGCCAGGACCTGGGAGAGCAATGGTTATCATCAAGACTTAAAGGGGATCCCCAAGGAAGACCTCATTTGGAGGAAAACCAGCTCCATGGAGACATAGCAAGCCCAGCATCGGAAAATCCAGACGGAACATCCTGCAGAGAATGGGATACATGGGCCCACAAGTCAACAGAGTGTCCAGAACTGGCAAGATATCTGTGGCAGGGATCTGTGGAGGCCAGGTCGGGTGAGGTCATCCAGGAAGTATCTGTGATATGAGAAGAGAAATCAGAAGCAAGGGGAAATAGGGTAGGGTACTTAATTTTTCTAACATCTGGGTGGATGAACCAAAATAGTTTGACTGTGGCCAGCAGGAAGTCTGAGGCCAAGGCACTTGACCCTTGGGGAAGCAGGAACAGGCCACTGAGGTGTGTTCACCTCTTCCCCTAGAGCCTTAACTCAGCCCCTCTTGTCTGACAAAGTCCGAACTCCATTCCTCTTGTTGACCCCAAAGGGAGAGACAGAGTCAGTGCATATCTGGGGAAGCAGAGACTCAGCTCCAGAGGGCTGACCCTTTAAGGGAAAGGCAAGAAAGTATGGCAGGGTACACCCCCGCCTTCCCACAACACACTTCTTTGAATAATAGCATCGCCCAAAATATGGCAGGGGAGTAGGCAGGATGTACTACAGAACTCCTCACACTCTCCACCTTCAAAAAAGAAAGAAGACTATTACAAGAGTGTTATTTGGGGGAATAAATATACCTCTGGGAAAACTACAGAGGCACTGGTTTGGTGGTGATCTGTGTATTCCCACATTATTACTCAGTGCTGGGTCCTGATGGGCCAGAGCCTGTCAGCAGCGGCCTGAGCCCAGCACAGTGAGTGGTTGAGGCTAGGCACGTGTCCTGAGTTGGCCCAATCAGAAGCTCTCTCTTCTCACAATCTGTGAACTGGAAGCACAACACACAGTTGCTCCTGGAAGCCTTGTTGCCACCATCCCTGCAGGAAGCTGGCTTTTGGATGAAACCAATGCTTGGCGGTCACCAGAGGGAAACAGGGTCCTTTAAGTAAGGGGTCTCAGGACTTCAGTTATCCAAGCCAACAAAAGCCCCTTTATTATTTGAGCCAGTTGAATTGGATGTTGCCACCTGTGGCCAAAAGCACCTTAAGAGACAGCAATGATGTTTTTAGGGGTGCAGAAATAGGGACCCCAGAGGCAACTGCTGCTTGTAGCAAAATGAATGGCCTCTTGCTGAGGCATATTACCAAATACCTCCTCTTCCCCTTACAATGGTTATTTCTTGGCTCTTCAGGCCTGAGGTGAGGCCCAGCTTTGAGGAAGGGTAGGAAGGTCAAAGCCAGGTTTCCCTGCCCACTCAGCTGGGAGAAGCGGGCCCAGGCTTTGTGACTGCTTAATTCTGGGGGAGCAGTCGGTTGACACATTTTTGGACTCAAGCCTAGTGCCTCGAGAAAAACAACATGAAGGAAGGTGAATTCAAATTTAAGAGATTTTAAAATATGAGTCAGAAAGTGTTTCAAAGTTCACACTGTTAAAAGGAAATGTGAAGATTTGTTTTCATGTTCTTCAGCTATTCTTCTCTACACAATATTGGCAGCAGCCTGGAGGAAGGCGATGGGTCCTTTTCTCCTTGTGTTTCCTGTACCATTGAGCATGAGGGAAAGAAGAAAACAAAACAAACAGTGCTGGCTTTCCTACTCCTGGGATCTCACTCGGGACCTACTTTCTCTCCTAAAGGATGTACACCCCCGCCCTCCCACAACACACTTCTTTGAATAATAGCGTCATTTTTTTTTTCCAGCATAAAGATGCTTTAACTCATGAGCAAAGAGACTTCTGGGGCCCTTGGTGCTCCAAATACCTGAATTAGAAATCAATGTTGTCTCCCCTAATCTCATTCCCATGGGATTTTTGTGGACTGACTGTCCTACTCCTGCTAGGATGAACCTTCTAGACTTTGGGCATTGCCATCATAGACAGATCTCCTGGTTTTAAATCAGTCGTGAAACTCAGATCCCCACAGGTCAACTCCGTAACTCCAATTCTCCCAGCTGTGCTCCTTCATTCAGATCTCTGACTTGTCACTGTCCCCTGAAGCCCATTGACTATAACCCCATTTAGCAGGACTTTGTGTGTGTTGGGGAGGCTGAAGGTAGAGGAGGCAGGATTCAAAAACCACACATTTAACAAGAACAAAGAGTGATGAAACAACTCATGCATCTTGAGCTTTCCCAGGAGAAGAATCATGTCATCATGTCCAGCAGTGGAACAATAACAGACCTACTGACCTCTGTCTGAACTGGCTGGGCCATATTGGGAGCAGACCAGGTGTTAACAAAAGGCAACAAAAAAGGATCGGCTTTGTTCCAGGCCTCTGGAGGGCAGAGTGAGGCTTAGGCATGGTAATATGAAGAGTGGGATCCACAGCCTGGGCAACATAGCAAGACCCCGTCTCTACAAAAATAAATTAAAATTAGCCAGGTGTGGTGGCGTGTGCCTCTAGTCCCAGCTACTTGGGAGGCTGAGGTGGGAGGATCACTTGAGCCCAGGGGTTTGAGGCTGCAGTGAGCTATGATGACACCACTCCATTCCAGCCTGAGTGACAGGACAAGACCCTGTCTCTAAAAAATAAAAATAAATCATTTAAAAAATAAATACATGAATAATTTTTTAAAAAGAACAACTAGGATCAGCCTGGCATGAGGATAAACTGTCTAACAGTGATAATTCAACAAAGTCCAGCCATGGCATGATGCTGGAGTCCCCACTACCAGGAACTCCATGGCCTTTAGAGGTCTATGGTGGGTGGTAGACGGGAATGGCCCCATGAAGGCCCATGAGCCCCAATCCTGGCCTGCAGGGGCTGGCATCGTATTGGGACTAAGCACTCTATCATGCATATCTGCACCCAGCATTTGGTAACCACCAGGCTACACAACTTGCAAGGCCCATTTTAAGCAGGTGCTGATTGATGATTTGGATTGGTTCTGCCTGTCAGGGTGAAGCCGCTCTCTCAGGCTCAGCTCCAAGAAAACTTCAAAGGAGGCCACAGCTCAAACAGGTAAAGGAATACCCATGAACACACTGGTCTTCCATGCTGAGCTTCCCCTGCAAGAACTTGAACCCAGGGAAGCCCACACACTTTTGGGTAAGTACAGCAGTGTGGAGAAGGCCGTAGGGGACAGGAACAAGGGTGCCAAGGACAGGGGCACACACAAAGCTAACATGATGTCTACAAACGCATTAGTCAGTCACAGTCACGGTGCTAAACCAAACAGCCTGTCTTCTAAAGAAGCTTATGTAATAGCTAAGCTTGGGGAAACGGGAGTCAAATTACAAACAGTTTCTCCAGGCTTGAGGGAGTGTGGTCCACCCCCTCCCTTCACAGGGAGATAAAAACTCCCTTTGCAGCTGGAGGGATCATTTTCCAAAGGAGGCCACCTGTGGCTACCGAACACACTCCTGGGTTACACAGTTATTAAATTGGGGATGGCCCTTCACATCGGGTAGGCTGGGGGTGGCCTCTAATCCCTGCCTTTCTCTCCCAGCACAACACTCATGACCAAACTTTCCTCTCTTGTGCCACCACTTAGGTTGGTGGTGGCTACTTGGTGCACTGTGAGGAGAGGGATTACGAAGCCATGTGTGATAACAGGGAGAACGTGTGTTGTGATCAATTAGCAAAGCCTGCCATGGCTGAAGAGGTGGGAAGTGGCTGCATGCACACTGAGTACGCAATTCTGTTCTACATCATCCAGTAGTTGCCTTTGTATCCACTGATTAAAATCCTTGGCTGGGCATGGTACTTTATGCCTGTAATCCCAGCACTTTGGGAGGCCAAGGATCTAGGAAGTTATCAGGTATGAGTGGAAAGGCCCTTCAAATCCCAGAATATCATCCAAACAACAGCAACAACTCACTGTGGCATCCATGGTAGATAAGCATCAAGGAAATCTCAGGTTCACATAGGAATGTTTCCAATAACCCATCCTAGGGAGCAAAGGAAGAACTGTACTCCACCCTGATAAGGTGACTAGATCCAGACTCTAGGAACTCAAGCAGAGGAGGGCAGTCCCTATTTTACTCCATATGGACGTTAGCAAGTACTTGTTCTATTACAAATTGGTCTATCTGGTTTGTTAACCAAAATGTCCCCTTATCTCCCTGATCACTAATACAATGGATTTTCTGATATCTTCTTGCATTTTACCAGGAAGATCTTCTAAAGCACTTGCGGCTCTTTTACAGTTTTTTTCTAGTTCCTACTTCCCCCTCCCAAGGCTGGCCCTGGAATGTGGGGAGACAGCATGCTGTTGGTAATTGGATAGGGTCCATTCAGGAATGGAAAAGGACCAAGGCACTGTCGCCACTGACACCCTTCCTCATCCAGGTCTGGGGATCACTGTCTTGTCCATTTGAAGCATCTTGGGCTCCACACCATTACCAGCATAAGAGGAAGGGGAACACAATTTGCTGCCTTATAAGACCACTCTCTCCATTTCAGAAACCTCAAATATCCCTAACAAGCTATCTCCTCCCCTTTAGCCAGGGATATTCTTAGCCAGTTAGGAAGTAGTTGGTATAGAATTTTTTTTGGATACAGAGTCCCACTCTGTTGCCCAGGCTGGAGTGTGTTAGTATGATCTTGGCTCACTGCAACCTCTGCCTCCTGGGTTCAAGTGATTCTCCTGCTTCAGCCTCCCAGCTAATTTTTGTATTTGTAGCAGAGACAGGGTTTCACCATGTTGGCCAGGCTGGTCTTGAACTCCTGATTTCCAGTGATTCCATCCATCTTTGCCTCACAAAGTGCTGGGATTACAGGCGTGGCCGCCATGCCCAGCCTGGGATGGGAATTTTTAAAAACTTTTCATATAGTTTGTTCACTGAAGCTCAGAGAATAATTCCAAGGAAACAAGGACGATTAAAAGCATAGAATTGAACTTGAAGGAAAAAGTCCTACCCTGGGGGACAAAAGAATGAGAAGAGGAAGACAGAGGGCAACGCAGAGAGCAGATTCCAATTAAGTGCATAGCCAGTGTGGGATGGAACTGACATTTGAACCCAGGTCTGCCTAACTCCAAAGGCTACACCCATAAAAAGCAGAAGGAGAAGAAGGAACTGGGAAAATCTCTAAAGGAACCATAACCATCTTTAACAGATCTTTCTCATGAATTTCAAGAAGATTTCAGAAAATCCACAGTATTCGTGACCAGGGAGATGGGGACATTTTGGCCAAAAAACCAGAGAGACCAACTGGTAATAGAACAAATACTTGCTGAAGTCAGTATAGAGTAAAACATGCTTAATGAAACTAAAGGCTAACATTGCAGAACCTATAAACTAGATACATGAAATGAACCTAGAAACAAAGAATGCCAGGTAATCATGGCAGCTTCTGTGTCCAGCATACCTTCCACCTGCCAAGTTCTTTGCATGTAACCTTTCTGGGAATCACTGCACCAACTCTGCAATGTAGATATTGTTCCCATTTCAGAGAGGAGAAAACTGGGACTCGGAGAGGTTAGGGAACTCGTAACTAGGGCTGATGTTCCAGTTGTGTGTGGTTAGCATCTCTTCTGATTAGTCTGGCATCTGTTTTGATTGGTCAGTCTCTATGCCATTAGTTAAGTATTTTTAATATCCCCTCTCCTTAAAAATAAAAAAAAAAATGTCAGACAGGAAAGATGAGCCACGGAGGCATGACGGTAAGAGGAGTCCTTGAAGGAAAATAAATGAAATCTATGCAGAGTAAGGATATCTGATTAAAGTCATAACTTCCCTTACTGTTGGAGCTGTCATCACTTTTGGAGCCTTGGGCAGGAAATATATCTCATCCTAAATTTCATAAAATCTGCTTTCCAAACCCCTATAGGCTCAACCCCCTATGGGTGCTCCTTTTTTCAGTGAGCATTTTTGTGTGTTTTTTGGATTTGTTTTGTTCTTTTTTTTTTTTGAGACAAAGTCTCTGTTGCCCAGGCTGGAGTGCAGTGGCACTATCTCGGCTCACTGCAACCTCAACCTCCCAGGTTCAAGCAATTCTCCTGCCTCAGCCACCTGAGTGGCTGGGACTACAGGCAAGTGCCACTCTGCCCAGCTAATTTTTGTATTTTTAGCAGAGACAAGGTTTCACCATGTTGGCCAGGCTGGTCTCGAACTCCTGACCTCAAGTGATCCGCCAGCCTTGGCCTCCCAAAGTGCTGGGATTACAGGTGTGAGCCACCGTGCCTGGCCTCAGTGAGCACTTTCACTTCATCCGGTAACTCCCAAACCAGATTCACAACAGCAACTGGCCTCTCTCCTCTCCTGTCTGAGAGATGAAACTGTTAGTACAATAAATCAGAAAGTTTCCAGATGCCCTACATTTTGGTAAGTGAAGTTTCCATCCCATAGGCAGGTTTTGAAGTCTCAGTACTGGATCTATGACCTTCCAGGTCACCATGCAGAGAAGCAGGCTGTAGTATTCTGCCTTTAGAGCATTACTTCTGTTCCTCCCCTCTTTGATCTCCAGCCAAAGTTCCTCCACTTTGATTCCCTCCTCTTGGGTATACAGAACTCCAAGCATACCTCCGCTTCCCTCTCACCGGTTGTATTTCCTTTGAACATGATAACTTCTCTATAAGCCATAGTTTCACCCCACGAAAGTGGTATTGCTAACACAATTGAATTTATCTCCTCATGTGAAAATCTCAGGTTCACTTTGTTAACTGCTTTGGTCTACACTCAAATGTCTGGAGCTCTACTACCACACCCATCCTTCTACTCAGCAAATTCCTGAACACTCTGTTTCATACTTGATGCCAACAATAAGTAACTACTAGTTTCAGGGTTTTCTTCTGGCAATTTTCTCTGAAAATTCACTTCCATTTTTAATTTAAATCCTATTTATTTAGCCAATAAACAAATATTTATTGCCATCTATATGAGGTAGGCAATAAAGTAGGGTGGGTCTAAGGATCCCTAAATGAACAAAGCTATTGATCAGAGAGGTCCTGCTTCTAGTAAGGGCAAAGTAGCTCTTTCTGGACCAAACTTCCCACACAAAACTATTACGAACTCTAGACAGAAAAAAAAAAAAAAAAAAAAAAGATTGGAAGGCACTAAATGTGTTCAACTACAAGCAAGTAGAAACTGGAGAGGAGGCAACACCTGAAGGAAAGAAATGGCACTAGATAACTTTCGTGTTTTTAATGGCTTTTTATTTGCGGGAAGCGCCCAGTCAGTGCTGTACTTACTAGCTAAAACTTGGATAGAAAACTACTCTCTTACTATTTGAGGAGTTTAAAGACAGAGTTCAGGTAACCACAGCTGGAAAATAAGGAGAAATATCCCAGAAAAGAATCACAGAACAGTAGCCCCAAATTCTGAGTATAAACAGTGCCCAAATCTCACTGAATGATGTACATACAAGGCAGACTTCAAGTAGTTCAACTAAAGCTAAATGAATTCAGCAAAGATTTCAGATGTTGTCCACCCAAGAAAGACTGAGTTTGGAGTTTGAGTTTGGTCAAGTTAATTGCCTGATTAAAAAAATATATATATTATATTTATATTATAAATTATATATAATGTAAATATAATATATATTATATATATTAATATATATATATTTCTGAGGAATAGAATTCAGAGTCTCTTCAGGTCTCATTCACAACATTTAGGATGTAATCCAAAATTACTAGGCAAATTAAAAACAAACAAACAGGAAAATGTGACTCAAACTCAAGAGAAAAGGCAATCAATGGAGACCAATCTCAAGGTGACCCAGGTGTTGGAAATAATAAAGATTGTTAAAGCAGTTATAACTTTGCTCAAGAATGTAAAGGAAATTATGCTTGTAATAAAAGAACAGATAGGAAATCTCAGCAGCAACATAGAAATTACAAAGAAAAGAACCCAAAGCATCAATTCCACTAAATTCTCACCAGTACCTTCCTCTGCACCTCTTTGGGTGGTGTCTCTCACTAGGGATAGTTCTAATATGTTTATTTCAATGACCATTTTTTAGCACCTTCCAAGTGCCAGGGTCTAGGCAGCCTTTGGGGCAAAAAAATATGTCACAAAGACCAGCTCTTCTTCTCTGACAATGTGTATATAGCCCACTAGTCACTTCTCATATCTTCCCTTCTCATTCAGGTCTTAAATTATAAAAAGAGATGAAAGTCCTGCTGTGGCATCTTTCCAGAGCTTCATAGTGCTTCCCCCTTAGCTTCCAGATCACTTCTGGTGGAGCCATTTGCTCCAAATAAAGCACATAGGAATGAGAGGCAGGCTGTCAGGTTTGACACATGTGAACATTCTCCCTCCACTGGCTGATAGCCAGGTCAGTTCTACCAAAAACTCTGGGACATCACAGGGAGTCCATGGGGAGGCACTCACCATTACAACATCTCTTTCCCCAGTTCTACTCTGCTTTTGCAAAATCTGTTAGGAAAGACGTTCTCAAACTTGGCATTGGAATCACTTGGAGATGCTGGGAATATACAGGACGATCACAGAGAAAGACCACTACAAATCTATCAGAATGGCCAAATTTTTTTTTTTTTTTTTTTGAGACGGAGTCTTGCTCTGTCACCCAGGCTGGAGTACAGTGGTGCGATCTCAGCTCACTGCAAGCTCCGCCTCCTGGGTTCATGCCATTCTCCTGCCTCAGCCTCCTGAGTAGCTGGGACTACAGGCGCCTGCCACCATGCCTAGCTAATTTTTATATATATATATATTTTTAGTAGAGACAGGGTTTCACTGTGTTAGCCAGGATGGTCTCGATCTCCTGACCTCATGATCCGCCCACCTCGGCCTCCCAAAATGCTGGGATTACAGGCGTGAGCCACCGCACCTGGCTCAAATTTTTTTTTAAGACAGAAAATGCCAACTGTTGGCAAAAATTCTTACACACTGAGTGGGAATATAAATTGGTACAACCACTTTTTAAAACTGTTCAGCAATGTCTTATAAAATTAAACACGGGCATGTCCTATAATCCTGCAATTGAATTCCTAGGAATACACCCAACAGAAATTTGTTTTTTTTTTTTGAGACGAAGTTTCGTTCTTGTTGCCCAGGCTGGAGTGCAATGGCACAGTCTCGGCTCACTGCAACCTCCACCTGCCGGGTTCAAGCAATTCTCCTGCCTCAGCCTCCTGAGTAGCTGGGATTACAGGCATGTGCCACCACACCCGGCTAATTTTGTATTTTTAGTAGAGAAGGGGTTTCTCCATGTTGGTCAGGCTGGTCTCGAACTCCTGACCTGAGGTGATCCGCTCGCCTCGGCCTCCCAAAGTGCTGGGATTACAGGCATGAGCCACTGCGCCCGGCCAGCAATTTCTGTATACATTCGCTAAAAGGCATTCACAAGAATGTTAATTGCACTATTTCTAATAGACGCAAAGTATAAACAACCCAAAATGCCCCCAGAAGTAGTTTGGAGAAAAAATATGGTTTGTTCACACAATGAAACATTGTACAGCAATGAGAATGAACAATATACAATTACACTCAACAATATGGATGACTCTCGCAAACAGTGTTAACCAAAATAACCCAAACACACAAAAATGCATACTATATGATTGCATTTATGTAAAATTCAACAACAGGCAAAACTAATCTATGTGGTTTCAGGGTGTAGGGAGTGACTGGAAAGGGACATACGGGGTTGGAGAGGGGGCTTCTGGAGTGCTGGTAGCACTCCAAGCAGGATATGGGTTAAATAGATAGGTTCAGTTTGTGAAAAATTGATCCACTTAAGATTTGTGTACTTTTGTGTATTTGTTTTTCCTTAAGAAATCATCACAATTTTTTTTTTTAAATACTGCTCTCTGGGTCCCACCTCGACAGATTCTAGTTTAATTGGTCTGGAACGCAGCCAGAAATTGACGTTTTTAAAAGCTCCCCAGGTGGGTCTCATGTGCACCCAAGAACCACTGTGTCAGAACCTGGCAACTCTCCTTACTATTTCTTGGAGCAGAAAGTGCTGCTGCTTCTCCAGGAAGTCTGAAAGCAGGATGTTTTTGGTAGAACACTAGTAGCGCCAGAGGATGTTAATAGGAGTTACATGAAAAAAGTCTTCTATAGTCATATACATAATATATTTATTTTTTAGTTTATCTTTTTTGAGATAGGGTCTCAGTATGCTCCCTAGGCTGGTCTCAAACTCCTGGGTTCAAACAATCCTCCCGCCTCAGCCTCCCTAAGCAGCCAGGATTATAGCTACCACCATGCCCAGCTAGTAATATATTTTATCACAATTATCAACTTTTACTGAACACTCACTGCATTCCTAGAGCTAAGCTATGTGTTTTAGCTACTCATACTATTTCATGTAATCTTCACAGCAAGCCTATGAGAAAAGTACTATTAATCCCTATTTTATAGAAGGGCAAACTAAGCTCCATAGGGTTAAGTAATTGCCCAATGTCCAGTAAGCAATAGGGGTGGGATTCAAATCCAGATTGGCTTTGACACTGAAGCCCATGCTCTTTTTTATTTTTTTTCCTTTTTCTTGCAAGAATTACAAGGGGTCAGGTACAGTGGTTCATGCCTGAATCCCAGCACTTTGGGAGGCCAAGATGGAAGGATGGCTTGAGCCCAGGAGTTTGAGAGTAGCCTGGACAACACAGTGAGACTTCATCTCAAAACATTAAAAAATTAGCTGGGTGTGGTGTCTCCCACCTGCAGTCCCAGCAACTCAGGAGGCTGAGGTGGGAGGATCGCCTAAGCCCAGGAGGTTGAGGCTGCAGTGAACTGTCATTGCACCACTGCACGATCACAGATCACTGCACTCTAGCCTGGGCAACAGAGTGAGATCTTGTCTCAAGGGGAAAAAAAAAAAAAAAAAAGAGGACAATCAGTGAAGCCTACACACTCGACCACTGCCCATAACTGCCTGCCCAGACAGCACTTGACTGCAGGAGTTAACTGAGCCTTTGCTATGCTAATCTGAGCTGTTGTCAAGACAAGAATATTGAATGCAGCAGTTCCCAAAGTGGTTTCCTTGCCTCCACCGCTTACCTTCCAACCAGCCATCCACAACGCTGGTGGAGTTTTCACTCTTAAACCAAGTTTGATCCTGTATTTCCCTTGGAGGGAAGCATCTGATGGCTCCCACTGCCTATGCTGTCCAGTTTCAAGCTCTCAGCCTAAACCGTCCAATATCTGGGCCTTGACATTTTAGCTTTCTCTCTGGCCAGCCTGACTTCCCTCCCCTCCCCCAACTCACTAAATACCCAATTTTCCAGCTGCACCGAACAGGACTGATGATTCACTCCTCCCCAGTGGTACTCACCATTTGCTGAGACTCTACTGTGTGCCAGGTACTATGCATAAATTGACTTTAATCCCCGCAATGAGTCTTAGAAACAGGCATCATTACCCCCACTGGATATATTAGTAAAAGGAGGCTCCTCTTGACACGCCCAAAGTCACAACTAGGAAGTGGCAGGGCTAAGATTTGAACCAAGATGTATCTGCTACAAAGCCCATGCAATTTTCACTACACCACACTAACCTCCTCACTTTCACACACGCTGTTTTTGTTTTGTTTTGTTTTTGAGACGGAGTCTCGCTCTGTCGCCCAGGCTGGAGTGCAGTGGCACAATCTCAGCTCACTGCAGGCTCCGCCTCCCGGGTTCACGCCTTTCTCCTGCCTCAGCCTCCCGAGCAGCTGGGACTACAGGTGCCCGCCACCACGCCCGGCTAATTTTTTGTATTTTTAGTGGAGACGGGGTTTCACCGTGTTAGCCAGGATGGTCTCGATCTCCTGACCTCGTGATCCGCCCGCCTCGGCCTCCCAAAGTGCTGGGATTACAAGCATGAACCACTACGCCCGACCCACACATGCTGTTTTATGAGTGGCAGTACCCTTCTTTCTCTCCACCTGGCAAACTCCTCTTGTTCTTTGAGAGGTAGCTCAAGTGCTAAAATGACAATAGCTATCATCTCTTAAGGGCTTTCCAGGCACCGTGCTCAGCACTTGCCTTGTCTCATTTAGACAATATTGTCTCAATGTCTTTTTTTTTTTTTTTTTTTGAGATGGAGTTTCAATCTTGTTGCCCAGGCTGGAGTGCAGTGGTGCGATCTCTGCTCACTACAGCTTCCGGCTCCCAGGTTCAAGTGATTCTCTTGCCTCAGCCTCCTGAGTAACTGGGATTACAGGCACACACAACCATGCCTGGCTAATTTTTTTGTATTTTTAGTAGAGACAGGGTTTCACCATGTTGGCTAGGCCGGTCTTGAACTCCTGACCTAAGGTGATCCGCCCAGCTTGGCCTCCCAAAGTGCTGGGATTATAGCTGTGAGCCACCACACCCAGCCTCAATGTCTTAATATTGCCTCTGAATTGTTCTTTATCTCTCCTGTGCCAAACAGTCTTCGTTCCACTCTCTAGTCCCAAGGCATTTGACCACATCTCTTCTGTGGCACTCAGCACTCTGGTAATTGCTGGTTTCAGATCTGCCTCTTCCATTGGACTGGATGCTCTCAGAAGACAAGGGATATGTATTGTTCACCTTTACATCCCATGATAGCGCCACCCAGCACATGGTAGGTATTCAATACGTGGGAGAGGGTGGACAGGAGGCTGGCCAAGAGACTGAAAATTCATGAAGAATTTCTGTTCTGCCATGAGAGAGTGGTCCTTTGACTTAGAACAAGAGCTGTAACATCAAACTGGGCAAAACAGACTTGGCTAATGGGGGAGGAGGAGGGTGGGCCCTGGGACCAGAACCAGGACATACCTCGCCTGGCCCCTGCCCTTTGCCTCCTGTAAGAGGGTGGACTAAGATTGTGCTGGTCTTCACAGTCCCTTTTCCACTCTGCATGCTTTGCAATTGGCTCTATATATCGCTGCTGAGGGGATTTGTTGTAAAACAATGGTTAGGTTCATTCCACAGCGCTGATTCAGTTGATTTTCTCAACTGCTCCTTGTGTTGTGTTGCTTTTAAGATGTCTCAAGTGAATGAAGAGCTATCTAGGACAGGTGGGCCCAAAGAAAATGTATATAGCTAAGGCTTGGTTCCCCCCAGGTGGGTCGACCAGATGATCATACCCCTTTCTACATGGACCTATTCTTTTTGAGAAGGAGGTCCCTTTACAATACATAGACAGATGTTTGATGTTCATTCATTGATTGAAAACCATTCTATGGATCCACTCTACCACAGGCCTGTTCAGAGCACACCTGCTTGTAATCCCTGTGGTAAACAGCCTATTTATGCCACCTACATCCAACCTCTATGAGCTTCAAGGTTGCTGATTTTTAAAGCCAGCCTCCTGTTTCCTTGCTCCCACTCTATCTGGACCAACGTACAGATCTGCCCGGGTTTGAGTGATCGGTAATCAGTGCCAGCTGCAAACTCAGCTGGGTTTCCCCACAGGCTCCCTCAAACAAACCCTATTTGTGAACATGGAAACTACCAAAGAGACTATTCTAAAATTACTCACCCCTTCCTAACTTCCCACTTCTTCTGCTGCCCCCACTAAGGATAAGCTCCATTATTTTTTTTTTTCTTTTTGCTTCTAATCAAGTTGTTTTCTTTTGAGAATTTCAAGCCTCCTCACACCCTGGGACATAATGCATACGGTATTTTATGAATTCATTTGTGATATTAATGAATATAGAGTTTATCAAACAAAAGTTAGCTAAGCTTATGCATTTCTCTAGCACAATGTGAACCATACAGTTTTGCTCTCATTTTATTTGTTCATTTGTCTGCCAACTCCAGGAGATGGGATCAACCTGAGGGCAAAAGCTGGTTTCATTTAATTTTGTATCCAATTCCAAGCCTAAGGCCAGGTACAATGTAGTTTCTGAATATTTGATCATCATTATGTAGGCATAATCCAAAGGGTCATAAAATCTAAAAATTACTGTAGAACCTTATGCAGAAATGTTCTGCTTTATATCTGTCAGACTGACAAAAATGAAAGTTACTTAATCCTCAGTGCTGGAGAATAGATGGGGGAAACAGTCATACACTGTTGAGGAAACAGAAATTGGTTCAGCCTCTTTGGAGAACAGGTTAGCAATGTCTATCACAGTTGAAACTGCCAGGAATTTTCCTTATGAATAAAATCATCAGTATGTAGAGTATACAAAGATATATACACTGTTCAAACAAGGATGTTGCAACATTATACATTTGTAGGAGGAAAAAAACTGGAAACTATCTTAGCCATCATCAAGAAACTAGAAAACAAATGATGGTACATTTTTATCACTGGACTATCAGATAGCCTTAAAGATCCAGGTATATCTGTGTGTTGGCATGTGCTCAGATAAATTAGCTGAAAAAGAAGATCTCAGGAGAGTTTTGTATAGTTGTGTTAAAAAGAAAAATGGATAAACATGTAAATGAATATGGGTTTATATATGCATATGAAATTTATGGAAAAATACATAAAACATTTATAGATTTATTCCGGGGAAAAGGGATGAGTGGCTGAGAAGATGGGGAAAGTTTACTTATGATACACTTATATACTTTGTGTAATTAAAAAGCATGACATACAGCCATAGGAAAACAAAAGCTTAAGTTTATATATAAAAGAAAAAAAATGAATGACATTTTGGTGAAAATCTTCCCTATATTTTTATAAGGTAATTGGCAATGTTTATAAGGCAACATTTCCTCTCTATCCAGTCCATGGGATAGCCAACGACAGCAATAGTTCCAGAAAGAAAACAGGAGACAGAGAAAGTCACCAAAAAGAGTCAAGAGACCTAAAGAGAATAAGTGTCAAAATTTGTATGTTTTACTTGTTCTTGGATGTGAGGAAACAAAGGCAGTTCTGACTAAGAGTCTGAACTAAGACATTCTGAGAACTCTCCAGGCTGGCACAGACTCTGGGGCCAAGAAGCGGAGGAGACTAGGGATGCCCAGGTAAGTAATGGCCATAAGTAACCTAGTGAACAAAATGAATGACCCAGCTCCTGGGGACATAATGACACAGTGCTTTGCTCACCTATTTCCCTAGCTCCTGAATACTCCTAGGGACTAACTCTAATGATAATAATGCCATAAGAATAGTTGGCATGTATCAGGTACCTCCTACCTGCCAAGCAGAGGCTAAATGCCTAATCATATCAATTTATATTATACTATTATTATTCCTGTTTTACATATGGGGAAATTGTGGCTCAGCAAATACACACATGTAACTTACTCAAGGTTGCAGTAGGTGCTGGAGGTAGGAATCAAACCCGTACCTGACTCTAAAGCCAGCCAAGGTCATTGCTAGCCTTCCCCCCTCTGAAGGAAGGACAAGAAAAAAGGTACTCCCTCAGAGTAGGGATAGCCCCATAAAGAGAAGACAGCATTTTTATGCAAAGAAAGGGCCAGAGAGTGTAATGATTCAGTACAAGGACTTTGAAGCCGGATGTCCTGAAATGGAATCCTGACTTTTCCATTTACTGGCTGTGTGACCTTGAGTAAGACATTGAACCTCTCTGCTTCACTTTCCTGAACAGTAAAATCAGAGTAGCACTAAAGTCACACCTGGCCAGACACAGTGGCTCATGCCTGTAATCCCAACACCCTGGGAGGCCGAGCCGGGTGGATCACTTGAGGTCAGGAGTTTGAGACCAGCCTGGCCAACATGGTGAAACCCCTTCTCTACTAAAAATACAAAATGTAGCCAGGAGTGGTGGCGGGTGCCTGTAATCTCAGCTACTCAGGAGGCTGAGGCAGGAGAATCACTTGAACCCGGGAAGCAGAAGTTGCCGTGAGCCGAGATGGCACCACTGCCCTCCAGCCTGGACGACAGAGTGAGACTGTGTCTCAAAATAATAATAATAATAATAATAATAATAATAATAATAATAATAATGATGATGATGATGATGTCACCCCTTAGAGTTGTTAGGAGGACTAAAGGAGTTAAGTAGACAGCACCTGGCTCATAATAAGTACCAAGTGATTATGATGAATATTAAGAAAAAGGTGCCCGTCCCTCTAAGCAGATGCAACCCTGCAGGGTGCAGAGCTTGGCAAGTGGATCCACAGGCTAGATTTCAGCCTCTCCTTTAGCCGAGTGCCACTGTGCCCATCAGCAATACACAACTCTACAACCTTACATAGGTCCTGCTGAGCAATTAACCTGCATGTACTGGCAGTTCTTCCTCCCACCTTCCCTTCCATCAGTCTGGCTGTGAATCAGAATCACCTGGCACACTTTGAGAAAATACAGACTTTCAGGGCCCTATATTGGCTGATTCTAACACAGGTGGACTGGGCTAAGGCCCAGGCATCTGTACTTCTCACAAGTCCCAGGTGACCAGATGACCCAGGAACACCATGTACCTGGATACATGTTTTTGAAAGTACTCAAAGCTCATCATTCTAGCTGACATTCTGGCTGTCTGAGTTGCTCCTTGAGACCAAGCATCCTCTTTGTCAAGTCTGGTCCCAGGCCTGGGCACACAGAGAAGGGGCACAGTGAACATCTGTGACTCCGCAAGCCAGCCAGCACAGCAGATGGCTGTGTGAACAGGCACAACAGGCTGCATTTGCTTTCATGCTTAAGCGGTTTGCACCAGGGAACCCTCACCTGTAGACTTGGGGTCTCCCATACCCTTGCTTCTCAAAGTGCAGTTCACAGACTAGCAGCTTGACACCCCCTGGGAGCTTGGTAGAAATGCAGAAAACTCCATACCCAGCCCTACTGAGTCAGTTTCTGCATTTTAGCAGGAAACCAAAGGGGATCCATATGCAAGTTTGTGGATACGCCCTAGATCCCTTCTCCCTATCCAAGTAAGTTCTAACCAATGGGCACATCTAACCTGTTCAAACACCCTTTGGGGCCAGTCTTCTCCTTCAAACTCCTACAGAGACCCAGAAGAACAGCACAGTCCCTTCAACAGCCCAGACTCACACTTAGCAGCCAGCCTAAGGCTCCAGGTGAACCTTCACTTTAATAAGTTATTTATTTCTAAGTCCATATTAAAATAAACCTTCCCAATAAATTGAAAAAGAGACACCTCTGGCCTCTATAATTCCAGGAAGTAAAACACCCTCCTCTTTCGTACAGAATTGAGACCCCTGCTTTCCTGCCTAAAGCCATCCAGGGACATCAAACGGTCCAAAGAAAACAAGCGATGTCTTCCCGTTGGCCAAGCTTCAAGTTATCAGGCAGATTTCACACTGCAGTTTGACCTCATTAATCCAAGGCCTATCACATTGCTGTAAATGTCAGTGGAAAATAGCCATTCAGTGGGTTTCCTTCATTCCACTAGAAAGGGACAAAACAGGAAGCTGACAAGCAGCTGTGCCCCAGCTTGGCAAATCCCAAGGGCCCAGCTGACAGCACCTATGCTCCTCTGCCCCAGCCTACTTTCCAGATAAAGACGGGTCCTGTATCTACATGGGTAAAATGCAGTGGTGATGGCAGGAACAATTCAGATAATCTGGGCCCCCAAGCACCTGCTTGGGAAGGAAAACAGAGAGCTCGGTCTGAATGTCTTTGGCCTGAGTTACTAATTGGCTGTTCATCATTCAAGTTCATCTAAATCTCTTCTGCCTATTCAAAATGTTCCACAAGCTAAACCCCTGGGACTCCAGGGGACATAAGGCCTTCCAAGTCCTCATTCATTCCTTTAATGCATATTGATTGTCTCCTGTGTGCTGGACATCATGCTGATCACGCTGGCCAACTGGAGACACACAGCTGAATGAATTGGACACAGTCACGGACCTTATGGGGCTCATCGTCCAGTGTAGTCTTTCTTAACCTCAGCACTATTGATATTTGGGATCAGATCATTTTCTGTTGTGGGGGTGCTCTCCTGTGCACCACAGGATATTTAGCAGCACCCCTGGTGTCTACTCACTGGATGTCAGTAGCTCCTCTCCCCCACTATCCCCCGAAAAGTTGTAACAACCAAAAACGTCTTTAGACATTGCCAAATATCCCCTGGGGAGGGTCAAACTGCCCCAAGTTGAGAACCACAGGTCTAGTGGATGAAACAGAAGACTAAAAGAGTAATGCTCACATATAACCATATAATCACAATTATAAGTACTGCAGAGAAAAATCTGCTGGATATTACATCAATATTATCTACAGCTTGGAAGCCAAGCATTTTCCATATGATTACAAATCCTTATGACAATTCAGAATTGTGTTTGTGAGTTACTATTTAGCAACTTATTGAAGATGCTAAAATTAGCAACTTATTTCTTCATCTTTATTTCCAGATGAAGAAATTAAGGTTCAAGGAAGTGAAAAAATTTCCCTAGGCCCCAAAGCCAGTGGAGGCAGAGCCAGCATTTGAACCCTGGCCCCAAACTTTGCCCCCATGTAAAAGGAAATGTAAGCCTGTGTTTGGATGTCCTCTGAAACAGGGAGGGTCTGTGGTCATGTGATGCTCTGATCAGCCATCCTAAAAGATTCATTCATTCCTTCCTGGGGCCACCGTGGGGCTCAGCCACCATCTTGCCACATCAATCAAGCTGCACATTGCCTGCATCAAGGCACATCTGTGGGCGAAGGAATGCCATTCTAGATTCTGAGACATCCAAGAACACCTCCCCACAAAGCGTCTGCACCCAGGAATTTCCCCAAAGTCAGGTTACATACCCAGAGCACACCCCACTGTGACCCATCTCCAAAATGCCTACTGCCCAGCGCCCAAAGGTACACAAAGCAAAAGAGGCCAGATATTCTGCAGTCAGCCTTAGATTTACAAAGTGTGTGAAGAAGGTGGTGAAGGATAGCACATGGCAACTTTGAGATGCCCCCCAAGACGTGAGTTCCTGTCACTTACAAGCTGCATGCCCTTTAGCAAATTGCCTCACCCTCTGTGCCTCGGTTTCTCCCTCTGTGCAGTGGGGGATAAGTGCATTCATTTCAACGGATTGGTATGAGAATTCAATGGCGATGCAAGTAAAGACCTTTGACAGTGACCAGCATCCAGAAATGCACTTGGTGCTATATCATGATCAATCAGTGAGTCAGGTCATGACGCTTCCTCCACTTCTACCCTCTTCTCTCAGGTGAGAAACTGAGTCCCAGGAAGAGAGAAACAAGTGCAGAGGTGGGAAAAGCATCTCAGGAAGAGGGAGTGGACCTCTTCTTCTTCGTGCTTCCTGGGTGGAATGAAGAGGGAAGGATGGTGAATGTATGGATAGTTGAGCAGAGACCAGCCCTTCCTCCCATGCAAAAGTTAATCCTGAAGTTTCCTGGACAACCCTCACTAGAGAACCACCCTCCAAGGAAGGTGCAGAGGGACTGCCTCGGGTCAGTGAGTGTTTAATCCTTCGGGGCTCCCGGCAGGATAGCCTCTGCTACCTCCCTGGCCTTGCTTCTGCCTCCATCAAACTTTCTCATGACTCTGCTCCATCAGCAACTCCTCCCACTGCTCTCCAAAAACATCCAGCACTTTTAAGCCTCGGTGCCTCTGCACATGCTGTTCTCCCGGCTAGGGCTGCCCTACCACCTGGAAAACTGTCACTGAAGGGCTCAACATGCTCCCACAGCAACTTTTGCCCACCTGTTATTGGCAATAATAGACTAATAATAGCAACGAACATCTGTGAGCACTTATTAATATCTAGAAAGCCCAAGCTGGGTTTTTAAGTTTTTTGGTTTTGTTTTTTTTTTTTTTTTTTTTTCGAAACAAGGTCTTACTCTGTTGCCCAGGCTAGAGTGCAGAGGTGCACGCAATCATGGCTCACAGGAGCCTCCACTTCCCCCGTTCAGGTGATTCTCCCACCTCAGCCTTCCAAGTAGCTGGGACTACAGGTGCACACCACCATGCCTGGCTAATTTTTTGTATTTTTTGTAGAGACGGGGTTTTGCCATATTGCCCAGGCTAGTCTCGAACTCCTGGAGTCAATCAGTCTGCCCACCTCTGCCTCCCAAATTGCTGGGATTACAGGCATGAGCCACCGCACCTGGTCCAAGCTAGGTTTTTTATCCACAGTGTCTCACTTCTCTCCTCACATCATCATCTTAGGGAGGTGGCTTATCTGCTTGAGAGGTAAGGCCTCTGTCCATCCTCACCCAGCTACAAGGTGGCAGCTTCAAGATTCAGACCTGGGTCAGCCTGAGCCATGTGGATCTGCTCGTCACTCTCTCTTCTTGCTGTTGCAGCCTTTATCCCACAGTGTCCTCATTATCTGTCTCCAGGCCTGCCTCTCCCCATAGAGGGAGAACTCTGAGAGCTGCCTCATTCATCTTGAAATCCCTTGCTAAGCACAAGGGCTGGGATGGAATAAACGTCTTTTGAATGAATCAATGAATCCTGGAAAATGGCAGTCAGCTGAGAAAGGCTAAGTGGCTGCTCACAGACTCCCCGGGGAAAAGCTGGTGCTAGACTCAAGTTCCCAGGAGTGAGCCCCCACCCCCGCCCCAGGAGACAGGCTGAGAGGCTTTCCCCGTCCTGATGGCTACAGGCAGAAGAGACAGGGTCGCACTCACTCCCCACCCTAGCACTGGAGGAGGTGGGACCTTTGAGAGTCCAACACAAAGGAGGAAATAGTAGTGATGGTGACAATGATCATTTCCTGCATTCCTACCCACACCAGATGCTGTACTGAGCACTTTTTTTTTTCTTTTTCTTTTTGAGATGGAGTCTCGCTCTGTCACCCAGGCTGGAGTGCAGTCATGTGATCTCGGCTCATTGCAACCTCCTGCTCCCGGGTTCAAGCAATTCTCGTGCCTCAGCCTCCCAAGTAGCTAGGACTACAGGCATGCGCCACCATGCTGCACTAATTTTTGTATTTTTAGTAGAGATGGGGTTTCACCATGTTGGCCAGCTGGTCTCGAACTCCTGACGTCTAGTGATCCTCCCGCCTTGGCCTCCCAAACTGCTGGGATTACAGGTGTGAGCCACTATGCTCCACCCTAGTACTGAGCACTTTCTATGTGTTAATGGTCTCATGGAATCCTTACAATCCCACAAAGTAGGCATTACTGTGATACCTATTTTACAAATGAGAAAACCAGACTCAGAGAGATTAAGTCATGTATACAGGGTCACAGAGCTTTTAGGTATAGATCCCTAATTAAAATTAGACCTCTCTGGCTCCCTCACTCTTCATACTCGTAGCTTTCTGTAAGAGGCAGGCTTGTCCGAGCCCTTCTTGAAGCCCAATTGCTAAGATGCACTCAGGACAGTGAAGGTTTTCCTGGTCTCTGCTGGAAGAGTGCCAGTTGGGACCTCCTGGTCAACAAATGTGACAAGAGTCCTGGGTGCAGGAGGGGTGGTGGCTAGGTTGGGAGAGGGGAGGGAAAGGTTGGGGGGATGGGGTCCCAAGAGTCCAAGCACAGCACCTGAATTCAGGTATGTGCCTTCTGCCTTCTCCTAAACCAGGTTGGCTGCAGCCTCTGTTGCTACACTTGGGGCATGGAGCTGGTTTTGAGAGGAGCTGAGCCCCAGTTTTCCCATCTGCAAAATGGGAATCAGTAATGCCTACTTCACGGGGTTGTGAGGATTCTGTGAGGCCATCACACATAGGCCTAGTTTCCAAAGGGCTCAAATGGGCTCTGCAGAAAGGAGAAAGGTTCTGGCTTTAAGGAAAAACCACCTGCCTACATCAGTATCCTCTTAGCCCTGTGGCTCAAGCTCCTGAAATGACTTAACAGCTAGATTAGAATTTAACCTCCACTCCGTCAATTACCAGGGAGAGCAAAGTCTGAGTGGGCACAGGGCCTTGCCTACCGTGTCTTTCTAGGCCATGGATGATCTGGAGAGCACAGATGGCACGGGGCCCTTGACACATGAACCACAGAGCCACTAATGAGTGTCACGGTGGTAGGAGACCAAAAGAGGGGAAAGAAGACATTACAGAGGCTGGGAAGAGCTGGAGCCAGGAAGGTTCCAGGACAGGGGAACACTGTTAGGTAGACCCCAGTAGACAAGTAGGCACAGAGTTGACAGTCCAGGGTGGCCTGGTTGACATCTTGCCCCCAGCATCCTGGGGACTCAGCCAGGAAGATGGGATTTGGGTGACAGGTGGGAGAGAAGGGCATGGGAGATTTGTGTGGGAAGGGCCGTGTGAGCAGGCAGCCGGCTGGAAGGATTTGCTGGCCCCCACCGGCCTCCTGCAAGCTGGCTTTTTATGACAGAGCTGGGGGAGGAAGATGTGGAAACTCCCCCAGCCCCTGCAGAACCACCCACCAGGGCTCCACTTCTGCACCTGTCTAAGAGAGACACGCCCCACTCAAAGCCAATCCCGAGGGCGGCCAGTATTGGCCAAGGAGTGTTCATCCTCCCGCTCTGCTGCACCCAGCCTCTCCCTCATCTCCCCACAGCCTGGCGGCTGTTAGCCCCGTATCTTAGAGGCAGTTGAGACTCCAGAAGCCAAGTACCTTGCCCACGAGTAGACAGCTAGTCGCTGGCTGGGCTAAGAAGCTTTATTACCAGCCTTGGAGGAGGCCTCCTAGATGGACGGTTTTTCTCCGGTGCTTCACCAGCCGCAGGAAATGGCAGGGTACACAGGGAAGTACCCCTGCGGACTGAGGCCGCCATCGGCAGGCCCTTTCCAGGGAGAGCCCTGCGGGAAAGGGCGCCTGTACCTCCGGGCCCCGGGTCCTCCACAGAGGGTGATTCAGAGGCGGCACCTGGTGTCCAGAGCCGCGGAGAGCTGGGGGGCTCTTCTGACAGTGAAAACAGGGGCCCTTTATGTGAAATGCAATCACATGGGCGCGCAGGCAGCTCGGTTTTCGGTTCCTAGAAGCGCTGATGAAGCCACATCCCTCTCCCTCCGCTCCTGAGGTGCCCGGGAGCACCGGGACCCAGGCCTGGCGCGCGGCAGCGGCGCAGCCCTGGGGTCTCAGGAGGGCCAGATTCAAAGCTCTCCCAGGCTCAATTATCCTCCAAGGGCTGGGAGCTGCATCATCAGCATCTCCAGTGAAGCTGGAGGCCGGGCCGGGGTGGGGGAGCGGAGGAAGGGAGTCTACATGGGGGAAGGAGGAGGGCAGCGAGCGCCTGCCTCCCGGCTCTCCACCCGGGGCGGTCTGGGCAGCTCAGCCTGGGCACTCCGGGTGACCTTGGGGAGACCCCTCTGGGCGACCTCTCAGGGGCGGCTGCACGTCTCCGCCCATCCTCGGCGCCCGGGGGCGCTCCTCTGGGCCGGAATCGATGAGCCGGAGTCGCCCAGAGGGGAGCGCTCCTGGCGCGGGGGACCCAGCCGCCGGCGCACGGGGCCCTGGGAGAGGCCGGGCGCGCCCCTCCCGGGGAACTACCACTCGCGGGGTCTCCCCGGGCTGGCTGGTGCTGTCAGCCGGATCCTGAGGCGGGGCGGGTCTGCAGGTGGAGGCGCCTGCCTTGGGGATCTTTCCCGCCCGGGCAGGAGCGCTCTCTGCGCCCTGCCGCTGCCCGCCAGGACCAAGCCCCGCCACGCGAGGGGGCGGCACCACCATGCCCGGCCGGGAGAGTGCGCGGGGGGGGGTTGTTTGGTGTCCGCTGTGGCTCCCGCCGCCCGGCATTGCACCCCCGGCAGACGGCGGCCCCATGAGTCCAGAACAGACCGAGGACCCCACCTCCCCGCCCCAAGATCGGTCTACGACGGCCGCAGCCAACAACCTGCCAATGCGCCCCCTCCCCTGGCCTCGTCAAGGAATTGCGAGGCCGGGGAGAACGCCCCCATTCCAGCCCGACTCCCGGACCTAGCGCTCTCGGTACCCGTCTTTCCAGAGTCCCCACACTCCCATTTATCTCAAGCTATCGTCCCTTGGCCAAAGCGCCCCGGCCCCCAGCTAGGTGATAGCAGGCTGGGACCACCTCCCCGCCCCATCCTCATCCCCCGCCCTGCGAAGCCGCAGAGCGCAAGGAGGGTGGTGGCGCCGCCGGGGAACTCACCCGCTCTCCCGAGCCCTGCCCCGGGCGGCTCCCGACCCCGGCTGTGTCTGTGGGTCCCCGAGCCGCAGCTGCTCCAGCGGCGACAGAGCTGGCTCTGCTCGGCCGCGAGCCTCCGCGCCGCCTCTCGGCTCCTCCCCCAAGGCGGGGCCTGAGCTCCTGGGACTGGGGTGGGCGCGCTCAACCCCATCCGGCTTGGGAGGCAGCGCGGGACAGGGTCCCGGCGCTCTCGGGTGGGGACCCCTCTTCTGAGCTGCAGGAAGTTGAAACCGGTTGGGACGTGGCCAGGCTTCGGAATAGTTTTCCTAACGCTGCCCCCTCCTCCAAAATAGTTTTCCTAACCCCCACCCCGACCATGGAAAGAGGGAAGCCAAGGACGGTATCCCTGCTCCCATTTGACAGACGGGAATCCTGAAGCCCAGAGAGGAGTGGTAACCTGCTCAAGGTCACACAGAATGAATGCCAGGGCCAGGAACTCAGGGTTCCTAGCTTGAAGGCCTGCGCGGCCTGAGTCTGAAGGCTTCCCAGGAGGTCCAGGGGCCGGCCCTGGCCTTGCGCTGGGGACAGATCTGTGGGGCCAGGTCCCCCAGCTGCTGGGGCCGAGACATGGGGGCTGTGGCCTGCGGTGTGGACTCGCATCATTTCCTCTTTCTGGAAAGAAGGGAGGTGAAGCGCTGGAGGAAGGAAGTGGTCGTACCTCTGCTGACGTCTGACGCCCTTTGAGATGTGCAGGATGAAGATAGGGGCTGCTTCCCTGAGATTTAACGCTAAAAATAAAAAGCAAAACATACCCGGTGGCTTCTGTCACCTCATTCAAGCCTCTTTCTGGGGCTGAAGGCCTCTGCACTCTGTGCACCAGCCTTTCTTTACAACACAATGGGTTTAACTATTTAAGTTGCTGAGAGTCACCCCCCACCATCACCACCCCAGGAAGAGAAAAGAAAGTTCATAAACAAAGCAGAGAAAACCTCCCCAAACATTCTCTGGAATCCACATTTGCTGAACCCTGGCCTTAGAACAATAGGTTTCTCTTCTCCACAAAGGCCTTGTTTCCTGAGCTTTCCCGGCCTACAGATGAGAGCCCTAGGCACCCCAGGGCCAGCCAGCTGGGGAAATTCAGAGTTTAAGTTTGGGGAGTTTGGGGATGGTACCCAGTTAATTTGATTCTCAGCTGTCATGTTTGAGGAACTCGCCCGAATCCTTTTTTTTTCACTGGCAATATTCTTTTGAGGCCACCAGCATCACCTGAGTTTAGTGATTTTCTGTTTGCTCAGTCACCTTTCTTGGGGGAGAGAAAATCTGTGGGTTGAACTTGTTCCAGGCCCCCAGGCCCTCTCCAGGAACTCTGTAAGCCCCCTTCATTGGCTCCCTGGCTCCCTCTCAGTTCATTAATAATCCAGTTGTGAATGACACTGTTTCAGGAAAAGCAATTAGACAGTAGAGCATGTGGGGAAGACTTAAAGCCATGTTTAAAATAACCCAAGGGAATCATTGTTCTCCGAAGAATGTTTCCATTGATTGATAATGAAGAGCCATGGGCTGAGAGGATGGGAACCCATCTCTCCAAGGCTTGTGTGGCACTTGGGGCCTGTGTTCCTAAAATAAGGCCTTTGGAGGGAGGGGGCTCCCAACTCCAATGTCATGCTGTTCATTCACCTCTCACACTGTGTTCGGTATCAAAAGTTAAAGTAAATTCAGAATAAGTTGGGGGACTCACAAGTCCTGATTTCAAAACTTACTAGGAAACTTCAGTCATCAAGGCAGGGTGGTACGGGTATAAGGATGGGCATACAGACCAATGGAATAAAACTGAGAGTCCAGACAGAAGCCCTTACACTTACTGCCAATTGATTTTCAACAAGAGTGCCAAGACAATTTAATGGGGAAAGAATAGTGTTTTCAAAAAATGGTGCTGGGACAACTGGATATCCACATGCAAA
Organism: Homo sapiens; assembly: GCF_000001405.40. NCBI lineage: Eukaryota > Metazoa > Chordata > Mammalia > Primates > Hominidae > Homo > Homo sapiens. Next base: position 38,803,855 of record NC_000020.11, on the reverse strand, counting down.
AGAATGAATTTGGATCCCTGCTTCATACTATATGCAACATATAGATCTAAATGTAAGAGCTAAAACTATAAAACTCTCTGAAGAAAACATAAGCCTAAATCTTCATGACTTTGGATTAAACAGTAGTTGCTTAGATATTAGCACAAGCAACAAAAGAAAAAAAAATAGATAAATTAAAAACTTTTGTGCTTTCAGGGGTATCATCAAGAAAGTGAAAAGTTATGGCTGGGCCTGGTGGCTCACACCTATAATCCCAGCATTTTGGGAGGTGGAGATAGGAGGATTACTTGAGGCCAGGAGCTCAAGACCAGCCAGGGCAACATAGTGAAACTCTGTCTCTACAAATTCTTTTAAAATTAGGCAGACGTAGTGGTTCATGATTGTAGTCCTAGCTATTTAAGAGGATTGCTTTTGCCTAGGAGTTCAAGGCTGCAGTGAGCTATGATGGTGCTACTGTACTCCCGCCTGGGTGACAGAGCAAGACCCTGTCTCTAAAAAAAAAAAAAAAAAAAAATTAAACATAAAAAGAACAAAAAGAGAGTGAAAAAATAACTGTTATAAGCTGAATTGTGTGCCCCCTCACCCCCATTCATATGCTGAACTGTACTGGTTACAGTCTCAGAACCTCAGAATGTAACTGTGGATGGAGATAAGGTCTTTAAAGAGGTGATCATCTTAAACTGAGGCCCTTGGATGGGGCCCTCATCCAATGACTGGTGTCCTCATAAGAAGAGACACTAGAGATGCGCCACACAGAGGAAAGACCAGAGGAAGGCACAGGGAGAAGAAGGTTAATTACAAACCAAGGAGAGAGGACTCAGGGCTGGGGGACCAGACCTGCCAACACCTTGATCTCAGAATTGTAGCCTTCAGAATTGTGAGGAATAAATTTCTGGGGGTTTGTTTTGTTTTGTTTTTTTGACATAGAGTTTCACTCTGCTGCCCAGGGTGGAGTGCAGTGGCACGATCTTGGCTTACTGCAACCTCCACCTCCCAGGTTCAAGCGATTCTCCTGCCTCAGCCTCCTGAGAAGCTGGGATTACAGGTGCATGCCCCCACGCTCGGCTAATTTTTGTATTTTTAGTAGAGTAAGGGTTTCACCATGTTGGCCAGGCTGGTCTCAAACTCCTGACCTCAAGTGATCCACCCACCTCGGCCTCCCAAAGTGCTGGGATTACAGGTGTGAGCCACCGCACCCAGCCAATTTCTGTTGTTTAAGCCACCCAGTCTATAGTATTATGTTATGGCAGCCTTGGCAAAATAATACAATATCCCACAGAACGGGAGGAAATATTTGCAAATCATATTCCTGGTAAGGGACTTATATCTAGAATATATAAGGAACTCTTACAACTCTATAATAAAGAGACAAATAATAAAAAATGGGCAAGGAGCCTGGGCAACATGGCAAAACCCTGACTCTACTAAAAATACAAAAAGTTAACTGGGCATGATGGCATGGGCCTGTAGTCCCAGCTACTGGGGAGGCTGAGGTGGGAGGATTGTTTGAACCTGGGAGGCAGAGGTTGCGGTGAACCAAGATCACACCACTGCACTCCAGCCTGGGCGACAGAGCGAGACCCAGTCTCAAAAAAAAAAAAAAAAAAAAAAAAAAAAAAAAAGGCCAAGGGATCTGGATAGACATTTCTTCAAAGAAGATAGATATACACATGGCCAAGATGCTCAACATCATTAGCAATGAAGGAAATGCAAAGCCACAATGAGATACCACTTCATACCCACTAAGATGGTTATAATAAAAAAGATAGGCAATAACCAGCATTGGTAAGGATATGGAGAAATTGGATCCTTCATACATTGCTGGTGGAAATGTAAAATGGTGCCGCTGCTTTGAAAACCAGTATGGCATTTCCTCAAAATTTAAAACATAGAGTTGCCAGATGACCCAGCAATTCTACTCCTAGGTATATACTCAGGAGAAATAAAAGCATACATACACAAAAATTTGTACACAAATGTTCATAGTAGCATTATTCACAACAGCTAAAAAGTGGAAACAAGGCCGGGCGCGGTGGCTCACGCCTGTAATCCCAGCACTTTGGGAGGCCGAGGCGGGCGGATCACGAGGTCAGGAGATCGAGACCATCCCGGCTAAAACGGTGAAACCCCGTCTCTACTAAAAATACAAAAAATTAGCCGGGCGTAGTGGCGGGCGCCTGTAGTCCCAGCTACTTGGGAGGCTGAGGCAGGAGAATGGCGTGAACACGGGAGGCGGAGCTTGCAGTGAGCCGAGATCCCGCCACTGCACTCCAGCCTGGGCGACAGAGCGAGACTCCGTCTCAAAAAAAAAAAAAAAAAAAAAAGTGGAAACAATCCAAATATCCATCAAATGATAATGGATAAATAAAACACGGTACAATCCACTATTACTTGGCAATCAAAATGAATGAAGCACATGCCACAACGTGAATGAACCTTGAAAACCTTGTGCTGAGTGAAAGAAGCCAGTTCCAAGGCCATACACATATTATATGATTGTATTTATAGGAAATGTCCAGAATAGGCTGATCTATAGAGACAGAAGTCAGATTGGTGATTGTCTAGAGCTGGGAGGGGGTTATTGGAGGCAAATGGGGGGTGACTCAAAAAGAGTACCAGTTTTTCTTTTGGAGGTGATAAAAATTTTTAAAATTGATTGTGGTGATGATCACGCAACTATGGATATATTAAAAACCACTGAATTATATACTTATAAGCCAGTGAATTGTATGGCATGTGGATTATATCTCAATAAAGTTTTTCAAAAAAAAAAGTTAAACTATGCTCTCATCCTCCACACCTCTCTCTCCTGTCCACAGGCAGGAAAGTCTCTTCCTTTATTTTGGAGGTCATCTGTGGTACCATCTGTAGTAAGACATTAAGGGACAGTCCAAGGCCACTGAATATTCTACGAGGCTATGGGAAAATGTTTGAGGGCCGCCAAATAAATAAATGGGCTCCAACATACAAAATCTAAACACTGATGTTTAAAAATATAGAGTTAAATGTCAACATAACTTTAGGTCAACCGGTCAACAGCAACTAAGTAAATTCATAGTTCCATAGAAATTATACAGAAGGTAGGCCGCGCGCGGTGGCTCACACCTGTAATACCAGCACTTTAGGAGGCTGAGGCAGGCAGATCACGAGGTCAGGAGATCGAGACCATCCTGTCTAACACGGTGAAACCCCGTCTCTACTAAAAATACAAAAAATTAGCCGGGCATGATGGCGGGCGCCTGTAGTCCCAGCTAGTCGTGAGGCTGAGGCAGGAGAATGGCGTGAACCCGGGAGGCGGAGCTTGCAGTGAGCAGAGATTGCGCCACTGCACTCCAGCCTGGGCGACAGAGCGAGACTCCGTCTCAAAAAAAAAAAAATTATACAGAAGGTAGAATTTGGGTGAATTATATAGTTGCTATGAGGCAAGGTCTAGAGATTCCTGAGTCTGTGAAAAATGAACTAATTTCAGTGTTTAAAGGGATTCATTCTAGAGGTTATCTGAACCAAGGTCTTTTGTTTGTTTGTTTTTTGAGACAGAGTCTCAGTCTCTCACCCAGGCTGGAGTGCAGTGGTACGATCTTGGCTCACTGCAACCTCTGCCTCCTGGGTTCAAGTGATTCTCCTGCCTCAGCCTCCTGAGTAGCTTGTATTACAGGCACCCACCATCATGCCCGGCTAATTTTTGTATTTTTAATAGAGACAGGGTTTCCCAGTGTTGGCCAGGCTGGTCTCAAGCTCCTGGCCTCAAGTGGTCCGCCCAAAGTGCTGGGATTATAGGCGTGAGCAACCACACCCAGCCTGAACAAAGGTTTTTGTTTTTGTTTTTGTTTTCTGAGACAGAGTCTCACTCTGTCACCCAGGCTGGAGTGCAATGGCATGAGCATAGCTCACTGCAGCCTCTGGCACTCAAGTGATCCTCCCATCTCAGCCTCTGAGTAGCTGGGACTACAGTCGCATGCCACTAGGCCCAGCTAATTTTTTTTTTTTGAGACCGAGTTTCACTCAATTATTTTTACTTTTAGTGCAGATGAGCTCTTGCTATGTTGCCCAGGCTGGTATTAAACTCCTGAGCTCAAACAGTCTTGCTGGAATTACAGGCATGAGCCACTGCACCTGGCCTGAACTTGTGGTTCTTAATGTCAGCCTGTGGGCAGGTGCTAGGCTGGCTACATTCATTCATTCATTCAACAGATACTTAGTCTAATGCTAGACCCAGAATAAGCCTTGATAGGCTGCCCTTGTCCCCATGCTGCTACTCCTGATGATGAAGATGATAGCTCCAGGCCAGGCCCAACCAACAGAAGAGCAGGAAGTGCAGAGGGTTCAACTTGGGTTCAAGTAAAAATGAGCCAAGAAGGAGAAAGGCATCCCAGGTAAGAGTTCTGGCTCTGGCATGAACTCGCTGGGCGGTCATTTCCTCTTCTGAATGTCGGTTTCCTGGTCTGTACAATTCTGATTGTACAATACTTATAAGTGTTTGTATGTGTGGTTTTTTCCCACGTCCTCATGCTTTTGTGGGAAGTGACTTTTACCTCTTTTGTAAGCTCCCCAAGAGCTGTTTGCACACAGTAGGAGCCCCATAAGTAGGTGGAAGGAGCCCCAGGCATTTAAGGCTAGTGGTGAGCTCAACCTGTGATGCTGTGAGGATAGGGGTAACGAAGAGTGGGATAGACTGGTTTTCAATTTTTTTTTTTTTTTTTTTTTTTGAGAAAGACGCTCGCTCTGTCGCCCAGGCTGGAGTGCAGTGGCACAATCTTTGCTTACTGCAACCTCCGCCTCCTGGGTTCAAGCAATTCTCCTGCCTCAGCCTCCCGAGTAGCTGGGACTACAGGTGCCTGCCACCACGCCCAGCTAATTTTTTGTATTTTTAGTAGAGATGGAGTTTCACAGTGTTAGCCAGGATGGTCTTGATCTCCTGACCTCATGATGCACCTGCCTCGGCCTTCCAAAGTGCTGGGAGTACAGGTGTGAGCCACCGTGCCCAGCTGGCTTTCATTTTTATATTCAATTTATGGAGAATCTTGTGCAGTGGCTCTCAGTCTTGGTGGTACTTTGGAATCACTAAGAGGTTTTAAATTTTTCTGATGGCTGGGTTCTACCCCAGACCCTTTGAATCAAAATCTCTGGAGGTTTATTTTTAAACATACATACAGATCAAAAGAACTCCCAAGGCATGTTGAAAATGCAACTTCACTTAACTTAGCCAGGATTAAGAATCACCACCTAAGTCAGTGTTTCACAAGTTTTGGTGACCACAAAGTGGGTAGGAAATGGGAGAGGGAGTTTAGTCCATTTTCTGTGGCTATAAGAGAGTACCTGAGACTGGGTAGTTTATAAAGAAAAGAGGTTTATTTAGCTCACGGTTCTGCAGGCTGAGAAGTTCAAGGGCATGGCCCAGGCTTCTGGCAAGGGTTTTCCTCTATCGCAACATGGTAGAGAAGGGAGAAGGTCAAAAGGGAAACAGACATGTGCAAAAAGGGGAAACCTGAGGACTGTGCTGGCTTTATGACAACCCACTCTTGTGGGAAATAATCCGTTCCTGCAACAACCATTCCAGTCTCCCCAGAGCCAGAACTCACTCACTACTGGGAGAACAGCACCAAGTTATTCCTGAGAGATCTGCCACTATTACTCAAACATCTCCCACTAGGTGCCACATCCCCAAACCTTCATTCTGAAGGTCAAATTTTAACATGAATTTTGGTGGCAACAAACAAACCATATCCACGGTTGGCAGGATGGTAGGGGAGAGATAGTATTAAAATCCTCCTTCCTGGGCCTGTCCTTTGCACCCGTTTCTCATTCTTTGGTGTACGGGCCTCAGAATATGCATTTTAGCAGATTCTAATGAATAATAGGCTTTAGCTAATGCCTTCAGCTGCCTTGGTAGCAATGCCTCATTCTCCTGTATTCCTTATATTGACTTAAATGGGGTTTCCAAAATTCCAGGCAAAGAAAAGTCACCTGAGGCACTTATTAAAAATGCAGATTCCAGCCGGGTGCAGTGGCTCACACCTGTAATCCCAGCACTTTGGGAGGTCAAGACGGGTGGATCACCTTAGGTCAGGAGTTTGAGACCAGCCTGGCCAACATGACAAAACTCCATCTCTACTAAAAATACAAAAAGTAGCCAGGCATAGTGGCACACGCCTGTAACCCCAGCTACTCGGGAGGCTGAGGCAGGAGAATTGCTTGAATCTGGGAGGTGGAAGTTACAGAGAGCCAAGATCGCACCATTGCACTCCAGCCTGGGCAACAGGGCAAGACTCTATCTCAAAATGAAAGAAAGAAAGAAAGAGAGAGAGAGAGAAAGAAAGAAAGAAAGAAAGAAGGAAGGAAGGAAGGAAGGAAGGAAGGAGAAAGAAAGAAAGAAAGGAAGGAAGGAAGGAAGGAAGGAAGGAAGGAAGGAAGGAAGGAAGGAAGGAAGGAAAGAAAGATGCAGATTCCTTTTTGCACCCACCAATATAATAATTGATTGAGGGAACAACAACCATGAACAGCTGCTACAGCCATTGAGAAAAAAGGTATTGGGTAACAGAACAGTCACACTCTTCAAAACATCATGCCACAGATCATTTACTAGGTAAAAGGGGAAAATGTACCTTTACATCAGAGAACTCCAGTGGTCTCTGCCTTAAACGCGAGATCACACAGCATCACCATAGTGGGACAACCTGACATTGTTCGCCCCCACTGTGATGCAATAAGATATACTCAACATCTTCTATGTCATATTCTTGCCAAAAATACTTAACCTGATTTTAATCATGAGGAAAATTAAGACAAATCTAGAATGTGGGGCATTCTAAAAGCCTAGACTCTCTTTTTAAAAGTTAATATCATTTTTTATAGTGGCAGGGACTTATTCCAGATTGAAAGAGATTAAAAGGACACAATAAAAAGTGCATAATGCGTGCACCTTGATTGGCTCTTGGACTGAACAAGTAAATAGCTATGAAAGAAATGTTGTAAACCACAGGGAATTTAAATATTATCTGTACATTAGATGACATTACTGGATTGACATTACTCTTCTTAAATATGACAACGGTGTTCTGGTCGTGGTTATGGAGGAAAAGGTCCTTTTTTGTTGTTTGTTTTTTGAGACAGGGTCTCACTCTGTCACCCAGACTGGAAGGCAGTGGTGCTATCACAACTCCCTGCAGCCTCAACCTCCCGGACTGAAGCAATCCTCCCACCTCAGCCTCCCACGTACCTGGGAGCTAATTTTTTTTTTTTTTTTTTTTTTTTGAGACAGAGTCTTGCCCTGTTGCCCAGGCTGGAGTGCAGTGGGGCGATCTCGGCTCACTGCAACCTCTGCCTCCCAGGTTCAAGCGATTCTCCTGCCTCAGCCTCTGAAGTAGCTGGGACTACAGGCACGTGCCACCATGCCCGGCTCATTTTTTGTATTTTTAGCAGAGACAGGGTTTCACCATGATAGCCAGAATGGTCTTGATCTCCTGACCTTGTGATCCGTCCGCCTCGGCCTCCCAAAGTGCTGGGATTACAAGTATGAGCCACTATGCCTGGCCCACAGCTGGCTAATTTAAAAATAATTTTATACAGACAGGATCTCCCTATGTTGCCCAGGCTGGTCTTGAACTCCTGGGCTCAAGCAATCCTCCTGCATCGGCCTCCCAAAGTGCTGGGATGATAGGTGTGAGCCACCACACCTGGCCTAGGCCCCTATTTTTAGGAGATGCTTGGTGAGGAGAGAGTGAGGGAGGGAGAGAGAGAAAGCAAAAATGAGCCAAAATGTTAACAACTGGTGAGTCTAGGTGAAGGGGGTTCAGGTGTTCCTTGTACTTTTCTTTCCATTTCTCTAGATTTGATATTTTTCAAAATAAGAAAAATTGTGAGGGAATGCAGATTCTCGGGCCCTTCCCCTTGGCCATTCTGATTCAGCAGACCTGGATGAGGCCTGGGATCTGTATTTTTAAAAGAGTGCTCTGGTGATTTTTACCTGGGGTAAGTTGCCACCATCTCCAACATAGTGCCCAGAAGTCCCCCCTCAGCAACCTGTGCCGCTTAATGCCTTTGGTCTTCATGTGCCTACTGGGGTATTCCCAGCCCTGCAGCATATCTTGTCCCTACACCTGGCCTGCTGTTCCCTCCCTCTGCTTAGCCCCCAACCTCTTTCAGGTCTCAGCTCAACCATCACTTTCTCAGGGAAGGTTTCCTAGAGCCCACTCAGCCAAACCCCCTGGTAGTAGCTCTCATAACCCCAGGGACCACAGTTGTCATTTTGTACATCGTTGTGGCATTGAATATTAATCCTGCTTCTCCCATTAGACAGTGTTATAAGCTGAACTGAGTCCCACCACTCCCAAATTCCTATGTTGAAGTCCTAACCCCCAGTATTTCAGCATGAGACTGCATACAGAGATAGGGTCTTTCATAAGATGACTAAGGAGCTGGGTGTGGTGGCTCACACCTGTATTCCCAGCACTTAGGGAGGCTGAGGCAGGCAGATCACTTGAGGTCAGGAGTTCAAGACCAACCTGGCCAACATGGCATAACCCCATCTCTACTAAAAAATGCAAAAATTAGCCAGGCATGGTGGCAGATTCCGGTAATCCCAGCTATTCAGGAACCTGAGGCAGGAGAATCACTTGAACCTGGGAGGTGGAGATTGCGGTGAGCCAAGATCGTGCCACTGCACTTCAGCCTGGGCGACAGAGAGAGAGTCCATCTCAGAAAAAAAAAAAAAAAAGAATAAAAAAGAATAAAAGAAGGTGACTAAGGTCAAATGAGTTCATATGGGTAGACCCTAATCCAGTAGGACCAATGTCTTTATTAGAGGAGATTTGGAGGCAGATAAAAGACACTGTGAAGACACAGGAGGAAGACAGCACCTACAAGCCAAGGAGAGAGAAAAAGAAGGCAGCACTGCTGACACCTTGATCTCAGACTCCTAACCCCCAGAAATGTGAGGAAATTGTCTGAGCCACCAAGTCTGCAGTATTTTGTTATGGGAGCCCCAGGACATTGATCCAGTGAGTGCCACCCTGCGCTCTGATCAGACACCAGGCCTTTTTGCTTAACACGGATTCCCAGTGCCTAACATAGCCTGGCATATAGGAAGAGCAAGGACATTTTTATTTATTTTATTTTACTTTTTAGAGATAGGGTCTCACTCTGTCATCTGGGCTGGAGTGCAGTAGTGCCACGATAGCATCATAGTTCACTGTAGCCTTGAACTCCTGGGCTTCAGTGACCTTCTTGCCTCAGCCTCCCAAGTAGCTGGGACTACAGGTGCCATCACCACACCTGGCAATTTTTTTTTTTTAAGGCAGAGACTTGCTTTGTCGCCCAGGCTGGCATGCAATGGCATGATCTCAGTTCACTGCAATCTCCACCTCTCAGGTTCAAGCAATTCTCATGCTTCAGCCTCCCAAGTAGCTGGGACTATAGGTGCGCACCACCATGCCCGGCCAATTTTTGTATTTTTAGTAGAGACGGGGTTTTGTCATGTTGGCCAAGGTGGTCTCGAACTCCTGGCCTCAAGTGATCTTCCAGCCTCGGCCTCCCAAAGTTCTGGGATTACAGGCATGAGCCACCACCCCCAGCCACCTGGCTAATTAAAACAAAATTTTTTTGTAGAGATGGGGTCTCACTATGTTGCCCAGGCTGACTTCTAACTCAGCCTCAAGCCCTCCTGCTTGGACCCCCCAAAGTGCTGGGATTACAGGTGTGGGCCACTGTGCCTGGCAGCAAGAATTTGTTGTAGGGATGAAGTGACCCTGCTTTAGGAGGCTGGTGGAAGTGTTTGGAGGATAGAGAAATATACTCCTGGCATACATCAGGGCTTTAATAAACAGAGCTTGAAAATGCAGCAAGACAATATTTTGGAAATTACAAATGTGGGTTAGGTTTCCTTCCCTTCTGCATTTGTTTTGTTGCGCTGCTACTGTGGTTGCCCTCAGCTCTCACCCATCTCGCGATTGTCACTCTTTGCCTCTGGGGAAGGACAGATGCCAGCGACAGCAAACAAAATTGTTCCTCAGGCCTGAGTGGCAAAATTGAGCCTGGAACACCCACAGCCCAGGAGGCAGCCTGAAAGCCGAAGCGCTTTTCATGTGTTACTGCCTGGAATAAGAGAGGGAAGGTCTTTTGAAATTCTAGAAATCTATGCTTGGAAGATATGTCATCCCTCGGTATCTGCAGAGGACTCTGGTTCCCAAAATCAGTGCGTAAAATTTCAGGAGTCCTGCAGGATTCCGGCAAATATGGTATCTTCCATCCGCATTGGGTTGCAGATGCAGAACCCATCCATATGGGCAGCCTACTGTATTTATTGAAAAAAAAACAAAAACAAAACTGTGTTTAAGTGAACCTGTGCACTTCAAACCCATGTTGCCTAAGGGTCAACTGTACATAGGCAAAGCCTGAAGTGGAAAGGCAAAATGTTTATCCCCACATGACAGATGGGTTGAAGAGATGCTCCATTTCTGAATTATCAGGGAAATGTAAATAAAACAGATAGGAGGTAGAGGTCACATCCATCGGAAAGGCAAAATAAATATAAATAAAATAGTCTCTCAATACCGCGGTGGGCTAAGACTGTGTAAGTGGAACCCCATGGGGTAGGAGGAACCAAACCCTGGTGCAATCGTTTTGGAGGGAAATTTGGCATTATTTGGGAAAGTTGGGTACTCGCGTCCAGTAATACAGCAGCTCCACATTTAGGAACATCCAGCTAGGAGAAAACCTCCCACCTGTGTAGAAGACATGTCTAAAGATATTCATTAGGCCTTTATCTGCAAAAGGCCAGCAACATCCTAAATGCCTACCAAAGGGGGAATGGATAAATGGATTCAGGAGTGCTTTAATATCGCAGAATTCTAAACAACAGAGAGAATGAACAGAAATAAAGCTGCCTGCATCAACATAGATAAATCTGAAAAAACAAAATGAGTTGGGAAAAAATGCAAGCTGCAAATGAACACTTACAGTGTGATACTTTTATATTTATTTATTTATTTATTTACTTTTGAGATGGAGTTTCACTCTTGTTGCCCAGGCTGGAGTGCAAGGGCACAATATCGGCTCACTGCAACCTTCAACTCCTGGGTTCAAGCGATTCTCTTGCCTCAGCCTCCTGAGTAGCTGCGATTACAGGCACCCACCACCATGTCCAGCTAATTTTTTTTTTGTATTTTTAGTAAAGACGGGGTTTCACCATGTTGGCCAGGCTGGTCTCGAACTCCCGACCTCAGGTGATCCACCCGTCTCAGCCTCCCAAAGTGCTGGGATTACAGGCATGAGCCACTGGGCCCGGCTGATACTTTTATATTTTATAACCACAATAGCATGCATTTGTGATACCCAGATTTGCACTAGAGGCATAATAAATGATAGGCTGGCTGTCTTCACTAGCCCTACAGACCTAAGACTGTGTAAGTGGAACCCATTGGGGTGGGAGGAACCAAACGCTGGTGCAGTTGTTTTGGAGGGAAATTTGGAGGCCTGAGTAGCATACTTCATCTTGCTCTGCACTACTGTGGATGACACCATAGGAATTCCCTTGTCTTCTGGCTTCTTGTAGGAGATAAGAGGGCAGAAGTGAGGCCATGTGAGTTGGCTGTGTCCCTCTACTGAAGGCCACAGCTTCTACTGCTGACCTTCTTCAGGCTTTGGTAGGTGCTCACACCACTTGCCTCAGTTTCCCCATTCATAAAATGGGTATGATAAAAGTAACTATCTCCTAGGTGCATTATGTGGACTAGATAAGCATAGGCACTTGGCGCAGTGCCTGATAGGTTATAAATAACTCAGCAAAAGTTAGCTTTTATTGTTATTAATCACACCCTTTCTCCATTCCTACAAGGAACTCCTTCCCCACTGCCCCCCCTTTTTTTTTTTGAGGCAGAGTTTTGCTCTTGTTGCCCAGGCTGGAGTGCAATGGCACAATCTCGGCTCACTGCAAGCTCCTCCTCCCGGGTTCAAGCAATTCTCCTGCCTCAGCCTCCTGAGTAACTGGGATTACAGGCATGCGCCACCATGGCTGGCTAATTTTGTATTTTTAGTAGAGATGGGGTTTCTCCATGTTGGTCAGGCTGGTCTTGAACTCCCGACCTCAGGTGATCCACCCGCCTCGGCCTCCCAAAGTGCTGGGAATACAGGCGTGAGCCCCCACGCTTGGCCCCTTCCCCCCTTTTTAGACATGAAAATCTCATGGCTTCCCTTAATATTACTTGACATTCCAAAATACAGGTCTGAAAGCAATCCTTTTTCATAAAGCATGGGACTACATGTGCTTAGGAATTTCACAATTTTTTGAATTTTATAAATGCAATGTGGTGGGTGCATAGAGTCTATATCAGTGACTCTCATATGTGAGCGTGAGTCAGAATCTCCAAGAGGGCTTGTTAAAGCACAGAGGGCTGGGCCACACTCACTCCGTAGGTCTGAAGTGGGGCCTGAGAATTTCCATTTCCATTTCCCATTTGATGCCAATGCAGCTGGTCTCAGAACCACACTTTGAGAACTACTGCTATTTTACGACATCCTTAGAGGGGTCTAGAGCAGCACCCCCAAATCAAATATTATTATTTCTACTGTGGGCTGGGCATGGTGGCTCACACCTGTAATCCCAGCACTTTGGGAGGCCGAGGCAGGCAGATCACCTGAGGTCAGGAGTTTGAGACCAGCCTGGCCAACATGGTGAAACCCAGTCTCTACTAAAAATACAAAAATTAGCTGGGTGTGGTGGCGGGTGACTGTAATCCCAGCTACTGGGGAGGCTGAGGCAGGAGAATCACTTGAACCCGGGAGGTGGAGGTTGCAGTGAGCCTAAATCGTGCCATTGCACTCCAGCCTGAGCGACAGAGTGAGACTCCGTCAAAAAAAAAAATTAAAAAAAAAATCTTACTGTGAAATGTTAATGAAAGACTATAAATAGCCTTAAGCCAGTTCGGATTAGATTTAGCTACTGAGTAAGCTTTTATAAACTGATGCAAACGCTTTGAGTTTGCAGAGAATTTTGGATTTTGGAAGAGTGTAAGGGATTGTAGACTTGTAAATGAAATTTCATGACCAAAGATGAAAGCATATTAAAAAAAGTAATTTTCGAATATGCTTTTTAAAACTACACTTGATCCACCACCATCAGGGATTATGAATGTGGAATGAATGAATGAATGTGAATAAACTCTTAAGGAAGAAGAAAGGGCGAAACAGCGGGTCTTGCATAGTTTCTATTGGCCACCAAGTGGCAGTATCAGGTCTCTCTCAAAGTTCGGGAGTGCTCGGGAGAGGGGCGTTCTACGCTGTTACGTCAAAAACAGAACCAGGCTGTGGGTAGCTGCTCCATCTAGAAGAGCCCTTGGGAGATGCTATTGCTTTGTATCCAACTACTCCAAAACTTAGAGGGGTAAAACAACCATTTCATTATGCTTATGAATTCTGTAGGTCTGAAATTTGGAAAAGGTGAAGCAGGGATAGTTTGTCTTTTCCACATGTCCCGGGCCTCAGGTGGAAATACTTGTTGGCTGGGGGTGACTCACCAGCTGGGGGTGGGGACGTGGAGGGGGGGGTGACTCAATAGCTGGGAGCTGGAATCATCCGGAGGTGTCTTCATTCACCTGTCTGGGTATTGATGATGGCTGTCAGCTGCAACCCCTACCAAGGGTCTCTCTGTGTGGTCTCTCCGTGAAGGCTAGCTCAGGCTTCCTCACAGCATGGGCTAGCCTGGGCTTCCTCACAGCATGGGCTAGCCTGGGCTTCCTCACAGCATGGCAGCTGGGCTAGCTTGGGCTTCCTAGTATGGTTGCTAGGCTAGCTCAGGAACAACATGGCAGCTAGGCTAGCTCAGGCACAGCATGGCTGCTGGGCTAGCTCGGGCTTCCTCATAGCATGGCGGTTGGGCTCAAGTGTGAGTTTCAAGGAGAGGAGAAATAGGACACCCTTTGATGGGAGGGATGTCAAAGTCAATATATTCGTTTGCTAAGGCTGCCATAGCAAAGGACCACAGTCAGGGTGACTTAAGCAACAGAAGTTTATTCCTCAGAGTTGTAGAGGCAAGAAATCCAAGATGGGGTGTGGGCAGAGTTGGTTTCTCCTAAGGACCCCCTCCTGGGCTTGCAGATGGCTGTCTTCTCACTGTGTCCTCACATGGTTCTTCCTCTGTGTGGCACATGCCTGGTGTCTCCTCTTCTTATAAGAACACAGTCATACTGGATTACAGCCCCACCCTAACGCATTCATTTTAACTTAATCACCTCTTTTTTTTTTTTTTTTTTTTTTTTTGTCGAGACAGAGTCTTGCTCTGTTGTCTAGGCTGGAGTGCAGTGGCATGATCTCGGCTCACTGCAACTTCTACCTCCTGGGTTCAAGCGATTCTCCTGCCTCAGCCTCCTGAGTAGCTGTGACTACAGGCACACACCACCACACCCGGCTAATTTCTTTTGTATTTTAGTAGAGATGGGGTTTCACCGTGTTGCCCAGGCTGGTCTCGAACTCCTGAGCTCAGGCAATCTGCCTTCCTCGGCCTCCCAAAGTGCTAGGATTACAGGTGTGAGCCACTGCGTCCGGCCAATCACCTCTTTTAAGGCCCTATCTCCAAATGCAGTCACATTCTGAGGTACTGGACTTCAACGTATATATTTGTGGGAACATGATTCTGCTCCTAACAGCCACATTGTCAGACGATCATGTGATATATAGGCGATATCTGTCTTGGGAAAATGCGGTCTGCCATGGCACCCGTCCTCGAGGCACACTGCACACACCGATGGTGTCGCAGTTGGTCATGCACATCATTCTCAATCCTACCTCCACGCCTTTGGATGCACCGCTCTCTCTGCCTGGGATGCCCTTCCCTGCCCTCCTCTAACAGGCCACTCCTAGTCACCTATCCAGAGCTCTCTGCTCATCCAGAACATCCATGACCCTGCCTCCTGTCACCAATGTCAGGGACCATGATGTTTATCACCACTCTTATCACACTGATCACTAGCACCACCATTTATAGACTGCTGCTTTGTGTCAGGCTAAGCTCTTCTGAGCTCCTTTGATTCTCACAGCAACCCTGTGAGGTCCATTTCACAGATGAAGAAACTGACAGTCAGAGTAGGGGAGTTACTAGCCCAGGACCACAGAAGAAGGAAATGGCAGAGTGAAGACTTGAACCCAGGTCTGCCTGGTTTGAGAGACTGTGTTTGTCACCTCTAGCCACAGGGCCTCTGAAAGCCCTGGCATTGGTTAAGCCCCCTCCTCTGTGCTATGCTAGCCCCTGGTTTAATCCTATCAAAGCACCAATCCCCTCATTAATGCAGGTTGCACCAGCTCTAGTCTCACCTGCCAGGCTCACTTGCTTATGCTTGGGCTGTCCCAGGGAAGGTCTCACCTGAGCTTAGACATAGGCTGAGGGCCAAGCATGCATTGTATATTACATGGCAACGTCATGACATTAATGGAGTCCAATGGACCACACTTCCTGACATCCACGCCTATGCATAGCCCCCTCTCACACTGACTTGGGGCTTGTCCATGTGACTTGCGCTGGCCAGTGGGCCATCAGCAAACATGAGGCAGGCAGGAGCTTGGGATGCTTGTATACACAGGGCCTGGTTCTCTAGGAACACTGTCACCTTGTGAATAAAGTCGGAGTAGACTCCTTAAGGATGAGAGGCTACATGCACGGAATAATCCAGCCACTCAACCTGTTCCAGGAATCCCAGCTGATGCCCCAGACATGTGAGTGAGGCCACCTTGGACTGCCTGCCCCTGTTAAGTTCCGTATCACTATAGACATATGAGTGACTCTGGCATGACCAGCAGAAGAACTGCCCAGCTGAGCCCAGCATGAATTGCTGAGCCACAGAATCCTGAGCAAATACAATAGTTGTTGTTTAAGCAGCTAAGTTTTGGGGTGGGTGTTATGCAGCAATAGATAACCAATCCCCTGCTGTGTGTCCCCTTCTGCTCCAGCGCCCTTCTTAGGCTTCTAGAGGGGCCTCGCTGCTGCTGCCGGTGTCCACCGCTCAAGCACTCCTGCCGTTCCCAAAGCAGTCAATATTTGAGGCACCAAGCCCCTCTCCCCAGTTCTGGTGCCCCCTTGGGCCTGTTACAGCCATGCTCACTTGTAGCTTGTGCCTTAGAGAACTCTGCTCTGAAACATCCTCAGGTGAGGCTGGATCCAGGGTCTCACATGATGTCCTTGGGGCTCTGTGTTACTCAGCTCTTGGCTCTGCTAGATTCTGCTGGGATTCAGTGTGCAGACAGGGTTTCCCCACATAGTTGCTGTGGTCCACCTCCCACATGTTAACTCAGTGAGCAGCTGGAGCCCTCGGGCAGCTTCCATTCCCTTGCCTGGCTATGGGCCTGTAGTGGAGGCTTTCCAGGTGTCCACCTCAGTGAAAAAAAGCCCTGAAGTAGAACCTCAACAGAGTTAATGGTGGCAGCTTTGCCATTTCTGACCTCCAGCCTGGGGACAGGCAGGAAATGATTTTGCAGTCAAGACCAGTGTAATAGTAATAGTACCATAATAATCACTTTACTTTCCTGCTATGATCCTCTACTTAATACAAGGATATTACATATTTTACCCTTATTTTGGTATATTTTGTTTATCCTCATATTCTTTTTTTACATGATAGCATGCTATATATATAATATATGATATATATTATATTATATATTACATATATTTTATATATAATATATATTATATATATATATTTTATATATTTTTTATATATATATTTTTAGACAGAGTCTTGCTCTGTCACCCAGGCTGGAGTGCAGTGATGCGATCTTACCTGACTGCAATCTCCACCTCTCAGGTTCAAGTGATTCTCGTGCCTCAGACTCCTGAGTAGGTGGGATTACAGGTGTGTGTCACCATGCCTGGCTAACTTTTTGTGTTTTTAGTACAGACGGGTTTCACCATGTTGGCCAGGCTGGTCTCAAACTCCTGGCCTCAAGCGATCCACCCGCCTCAGCCTCCCAAAGTGCTGGGATTACAGGTGTGAGCCACCACACTTGACCAATAACACACTGTTCTTTAATTTCTTGTTTATTTTTATATTAGCATGACCTTTATTATCTTATTATTTTATATTTTTAAAATCCTTTGGTCCATCAACTTCATTTATAGTAACATCATTTCCAAATACATATTTTTGCAGGGATACTCTTTGCAGTGCTATATGTAACAGAATAAACTTGGAAACAGATTTATTCAAATGCCATTCAAAGATAGAATGATTAAATAAACCATGGAATGAAATATAATAGAATACTATTCAAATGTTTAAATGAATGAGTTACTTCACAAGGAATGTACAGGAACTATATGACTAAAACTTTCAAAGGCTATTATGTGCCATGAGACTTGAATAAAGGAAAAAGTCATATCCATTTTTGGCTAGAGGAGTCAATTGAAGAAAAGATACCATCTTTCTATCTTTTCATCTATAATTTTAATGGGATACAAACAAACATACCAACAGGATTATTTTGGATCTTGACAAGCTGATTCCAAAGATCATGCAGGGAAATCAAGAAAAGTTCTGAAAAAGAAAGAGAAATGCGGGAGACAAACTCTGCCAGATCTTAAAGTGTATTATAAAGTGACAATAATAAACTGTTCATTGCAAATTCAGAAATAGAAAGATGAATGGAGCAGAAGAGCAAGTCTGGAAGTAGACCACAATATTTAAGGTCATTTAATAAATAATAAAAGTGGCATTTACATTAGTGGAGAAAAGACGGATTACTCACTAAATATTGTTGGTGCAACTGGCTAGTCGCCTGAAAAGAAATTCAGCTGGAGACTTACTGCAAATCTTTGCCAGGATAAATTCCAACTGGATAAATAAATTATGGTACATGCATACAATAAAATACTACAAAGCAATGAAAATGAACCACAGCTACACACAACATGAATGGATCTTAAAAACAATGTTGGCCGGGTGCAGTGGCTCACACCTCTAATCCCAGCACTTTGGGAGGCCGAGGTGGGTGGATCACCTTAGGTCAGGAGTTCGAGACCAGCCTGGCCAACATGGTGAAACCCTATCTGCACACACACACACACAAAAACACAAAAATTAGCTGCGCATGGTGGCATGCCCATGTAATCCCAGCTACTTGGGAGACTGAGACAGGAGAATCACTTGAACCCGAGAGGCAGACGTTGCAGAGATTGCATCACTGCACTCCAGTCTGAGCAACAGAGTGAGACTCCGTCTCAAAAACAAACAAACAAACAAACAAAAAACAATGTTTAGGGGCTAGGTTCAGTGGCTCATGCCTATAATCCCAGAGCTTTGGGAGGCCAAGACAGGAGGGTTGCTTGAGCCCAAGAATTTGAGACCAACCTAGGTAATAAAAGGAGGCCCCTGTCTCTACAAAAAATAAAATAATTAGCTGGGCATGATGGCACATGCCTGCAGCCCTGGCCACTCAGAAGGCTAAGGTAGGAGGATCACTTGAGTCCAGGAGTTTGAGGCTGTAGTGAGCCTCAAACTCATGATTGTACCACTGCACTCCAGCCTGGCTGACAGAGTAAGACTCTGTCTCAAAACAACAACAACAGAATAATGTTTAGGGATGCATAATGAGGTAGCAACATGATAAGGAACATGAAATAGAATACCACTGACATCAGTACAATGGTCTCTTCTAAGGAGGAAGGAGTGGATTTTAATGAGGGAAGATGGATCATACTGGAGGCTTCTAGGGTGGCAGCAGTATTCTATTTCTTGACCACAGAGGGTGGTGGTCATGCAGGTGTTCATTTAGCCACAGTTGTTTGGGTGTACATTTATGTTTTATATCATTATATGTGTGTATGTATTACCAAAAAGGATTTTTTTTTTTTGAGATGGAATCTTGCTCTGTCACCCAGGCCAGAGTACAGTGGCATGATCTTGGCTCACTGCAACCTCCACCTCCCGGGTTCAAGCGATTCTTCTGCCTCAGCCTCCCAAATATCTGGGACTACAGGCCCGCGCCAGCACACCTGGCTAATTTTTGTATTTTTAATAGAGACGAGGTTTCACTATATTGACCAGGCTGGTCTCGAACTCCTCACCTCAAGGGATCTGCCCGCCTCGGCCTCCCAAAGTGCTGGGATTACAGGCGTGAGCCACCGTGCCCAGCCCAAAAAGGATTTTTAAAAAACCACATATGTGAAAAGAAAACGTAGGATTTTTTTTTTGTTATCTCAAAGTGAGTGAGGCCTTTTAAAGTATGACATAAAACCCAAAAGCAATTTAAGTCCACGAAAAGAATCTGAGTGGAAAAACACCCCAACAAAGTTAAAAGACAAATACCATCATAGGAAAATGTTTGCAATTCTCATCCGTTTCTTAAGAGAAAAGAGCCAAGGAGGCCGGGCGCAGTGGCTCACATCTGAAAACCCAGCCCTTTGGGAGGCTGAGGCAGGTGGATCACTTGAGGTCAAGAGATCGAGACCAGCCTGGCCAACATGGTGAAACTCCATCTCTACTAAAAAAAAATTTAAAAATTAGCTGGGCATGGTAGTGGGCACCTGTAATCCCAGCTACTCAGGAGGCTGAGACAGGAGAATCGCTTGAACCTGGGAGGTGAAGGTTGCAGGGAGCCAAGATTGTGCCACTGCACTCCAGCTTAGGTGACAGAGTGAGACTCCATCTCCAAAAAAAAAAAAAGAAGAGCCAAGGTTGGAGAGTAGATTTTCAATGCATTATCCATGAAAAATAATATTAAGATAAGGGAAAAAAGCAGAAGCTTGGTTTGTATTGACATGGAGTGATCTTCAAGACATATTGTTAAGCCATAGTATGCTACCGTTTGAGTAAAATTTATATGTATATGTCATAGATATGCTGATTGCATGTCCATGGCGTTATCGTGTTTGTGACACATATAATTTATACAGACATACATTATAAAGAGACAAGGAAGAAGCATCCCCACCTGTAATCCCAGCTACTCAGGAGGCCGAGGTGAGAGGATCGCTTGAGCCCAGGAGTTTGAGACCAGCCTGTGAAACAATAGTGAGACTCCTGGGTTTTTGTTTGTTTGTTTGTTTTTTAAGCAGCAGCTCACTACGCACTGCTACTGAGTGATATCCAAGAAATATTGCTATATGATAAACAAAACAAGGCTAGACAAGAGTGTCATTACTTTTTATCTTATTTTTTGAGACAGTCTCACTGCAACCCAGGCCAAAGGGCAGTGGCACAATCACTGCTCACTGCAGCCTGGATCTCCCAGGCTCAAGTAATCTTCCCACCTCAGCTTCCGGAGTAGCTGGGTCACCATGCCTCACTAATTTTTTTTGCTTTTGTAGAGACAGGGGCCTTGCTACATTGCCCAGGCTAGTCTCAAACTCCTGGGCTCAAGGGATCCTCCCACCTCAGCCTCCCAAAGTGCTGGGATTATAGGCATGAGTCACTGTGCCTGGCTCAACTTTTTAATTTTTTTAATGGAAAATTTTAAACACACACAAAAACAGAGAAGTATAACCAGCCCCTGTGTACCTATTCCCCCATATTCAGTGACAATCAACACACGGTCACTCACTCTTGTTTTATCTATAAGCCTTTGCCTATTTTGGAGCAAATCCCAAATATGACTCCAGCTGCCAACATTTCAATATGCATCTCTATAAGACAAGCTCACTCACTCTCTCTCCCTCCATAAAACTACAAAAATCACAACCACATCTTTAAAAACTATCAATAATTCTTTCATATTATTAAATATCCACATTTGCCAGATTTGCTCAGAAGTTTCTTTTATCAAACATGGCTTATTAGAATTAGGAACCAAACAAGGTCCACACTTTATATTTTTGTTATGCTTTTAAATTTTCTTTTTTCTTTTCTCTCTCTCTCTCTCTCTTTTTTTAAGGCCAAGTCTTGATCTGTCACCCATGCTGGAGTGCAGTGGCATGATCTCGGCTCACTGCAACCTCTGCCTTCCAGGTTCAAGCGACCCACCCATCTGATCCTCCTGAGTAGCTGGGACTACAGGTGTGCATCATCACGATTGGCTAGTTTTGTTTTTTGTTTTTTTTTTTTTTTTGTATGTTTTGGTAGAGACAGGGTTTCACCACGTTGTCCAGGTTGGTCTCAAACTTCTGCCCTCAAGCGATCCGCCCACCTTCGCCTCCCAAAGTGTTGGGATTACAGGCGTGAACCACCGCACTGGCCTAAATTTTCTTTTAATTTATATCTTCTCCCTCTCTTTTCCCCCTTTGCAATTTGTTTGGTGGGGGGAAAATGCTATTTGTCCTGGAGAGTTTTCTGCATTCTGGATTTTGCTGTTTGCAGCCCTGTGGTGTTATTTATCATGTTTGTGACAGACTGTACTCGTTTGTCCCATTTAGCAACTACCCTTCTCCACTCTGACCTTTGAATTTGCCCTTGGAGACTGCCATGTGTGAATTACATCAGCTGCGCTCTCTTGCCCTCTGGCTTCAGATGGGTTTGGCCAATAGGGAGCCCTGGCAGGTGTGGGAGGGAGGGAGGACAATGCAGTTGGGGCGTGTATTTCCCTGTCTCCCTCCTGGCAAGGCCACCTTGGTTTGGCTGTGCTTCTTGACTGAAGCTGTGTCCCTCTCAACACAACTGTTCTATACAACTCTTTCTCCTTCCAAATTTGGGTAGCCTCTCCTTTCCTATTGTAAAGGCTTCTCTGAGGACCTTCCCAGGACCCTGCACCATCTTTACACCCTGCCTTCACATCTCATTCTCCTAACCTGAGTATCCCATCTGCTTCCTGTTGGGATGCTAATTCATAATATGTTTCTCTGTCCCCAGAATTTCTAGTAAAATGGCAGTTAAATTTAGTGGCTTGATCACATTCAGGTTCAAATTTTTTCCTAAGAATTCTTCATGGATGATGTGCAGTATGTCGTATTGTATCACACCAGGAGGCACATAATATCCATCCATTATAAAGATGTCCATCAACTCTTTTTCTTTCTTTTCTTTTTTTTTTTTTTTTGTTTGAGACCAACTCTGTCTGTCACCCAGGCTGGAGTGCAGTGGTACGATCTCGGCTCACTGCAACTTCCAAGTGATTCTCCTGCCTCAGCCTCCCAAGTAGCTGGGACTACTGGGGTGTGCCACCACGCCTAGCTAATTTTTGTATTTTCATAGACGGGGTTTCACCATGTTGGCAGGCTGTTCACGAACTCCTGACCTCAGGTGATCCACCTGCCTCGGCCTCCTAAAGTGCTGGGATTATAGGCATGAGCCACTGTGCCCAGCCTTCCATCAACTCTTCACCGAGTGGTTTTTAGCTGTCATTGATGAAGAATTTGTCTCTTGCCTTTATTTCATTAGGAGCTAGAAAATGGTGGTATTCGGGAGGCAGAGGCTGCAGTGAGCCAAGATCACACCATTGCACTCCACCCTGGATGACAGAGCCAGACTGCGTCTCAAAAAAAAAAAAAAGAAAGAAAGAGAAAATGGTGGTAGGTATTTCATCATTCTGTTTTCATTTGTTTAGCTAGAAATCCTCTACAAAGAAAAACATTCCCTTATTATCTGTTCGGTTGCCATGAGGTACAGTTTCTACAAGAAAGGTGAGATCTATGCCTGCTTTTGCCCTTTATTTCCTAGTTTCAGAATGATGAACTGGTTCCCTAGCATTCTCCAAAGGTGACCATGATGAATTCATAGATTTTAGTATGTTTCAACCTTTCACTGTTATTTTTTCAGATGCTCAAATTGTCCCATTCCTGGGCCAGCGGGAGCCCCTTCAAGTGGACTCCTGAATTTTGAGGGTTTTATTGTTGTTGTCATTGTTGTTTTGTTGTTGTTTGTTTTTTTTGAGATGGAGTCTCACTCTGTCGCCTAGACTGGAGTGTAGTGGTGTAATCTCGGCTCACCGCAACCTCTGCCTCCCAGGTTCAAGCGATTCTCCTGCCTCAGTCTCCCTAGCAGCTGGGATTACAGGCGCCTGCTACCACGCCTGGCTAATTTTTTGTATTTTTAGTAGAGACAGGGTTTCACTGTGTTGGTCAGACTGGTTTTGAACTCCTGACCTCAGGTGATTTGCCTGTTTGATTGGCTGTTTGTTGTTCTAGGCTAATTAATTAATATTTGTAAAGAGAAAATACATCATGTGTTCATATGGATACGTGCAATTCAAATTTAGGATTATATGATTTTTCAGTTTTTATTTTATATTTTTATATCTTGTTATACTGAAAATCTTGGTTGCTAACAATGTTAACATTATTTGAATATATACACACATATTTATATCTTCAGAATAATCATACCAATGCCATTACTAACAACATAATTACTGAAAACAGTAAGATTTCTTACTGTGCGGTTATTTTTTGTTCTTAGAATATATCCCACTAAAGATATACATTCAACTACTGTGGTTTCTTTTTTTCCAACTACCATGGAAAGTCACTTAAAATAAAGTCACCTAATTAAAGTCACTTAAAATAAGTCCTCTCCGTGTGAGTAAACCACCAACTTGATATATAATGAGGTTCAATTGTTTCACTTTGCTTTGATTTTAAGGATTGTGCTTTTATTTTTATTGAAATTGGTTTGTTTTGTAGTAGTGTATAACATACACACAATTCTCAAGTCAAATATGCAAAGTATGTATTGTTAATTTAAAACGAAGCAAGGCCTCTCAAACTCTTTGTTCGAAGAAAATCATAGTCATAGGAGAAAGATGAACAAAGAAACTTGCAAAGCTCTTCTGGCCAATACAGACATTGTAGACCTTCATTTTTTAAAAAGAGATGTCAATTGCAAGGTTATTACCAGGGCAACATGCAATTAAGCAAGGTTACCAATTTAAAAGCAGATTAAAAAAAAAAAAGTACACAGTTACATTTCTTTGAAGCCCAGGTGGCTTAAAAGATTCCTTTGTTTCATATACCATTTGCAGCAGGTATCAGAACTGGATGAGTCACACATTCTCACCTAAGTGCCTGTCCTGGGAGCAGGGGGCGGAAGGAATGATCTCCTGGGTGCTTTATCAGAACAGGCTTTCACCAGCTTTATGAGGCTCTCAGGAGAGTGTCTGCTTTTCCACTCTTGCAGCGGAAGAAGGAACATCTCCTTTGTCTTTCTGAGATTCCCTTCTCTAGAAGTTGTCAATCGGGAGAATCTGCATTCTCAAGGTCAAGCTCTGGAATTCCATTAGACAGCAGGGAGCCAGAAGAGCAGGCTGAGGAGTCAAATCGAGAAATGGAAAGAAACAAGCCAGGAGAAGTCTTACGATTCTGCTTCTACAGCCTGCAAAGAGCCAAAGCCGAGGTGCTGCACGGCCCTGAGCTACACCTCTGCTCTCACTTTCATCACCCTACCAGGCTCCTCGGGTGGCTTCTTCCCACATGCCCCCCCCCCCCGCCTCCCAAGACGGAGTTTCGCTCTTATAAACGGGCTGGAGTGAAGTAACGTGATCTCAGCTCGCTGCAACCTCCTCCCCCGCAGGTTCAAGCGATTCTCCTGCCTCAGCCTCCAAAGTAGCTGGAATTACAGGCACCCACCACCATGCCCGGCTAATTTTTGTATTTTTTAGTAGAGATGGGATTTCACCATGTTGATCAGGCTGGTCTCGAACTCCTGACCTCAGACGATCCACCCACCTCAGCCTCCCAAAGTGCTAGGATTACAGGTGTGAGCCACTGCGCTCAGCCTGGGCCGCTTCTTTAAGTTTGGCCCTTCTGCAGAGTCAGCTTGGAATTCAGAAAAGAGCCTTCAGAGATTTTGCATTCCTGTCATTTTGGTGCTCCCCAGAAAGCTTTGGAGTGGCATCAAAGGATCTACCCACTCACCCTGTTCCCATAGCCCCTAGCTTGGCACACACCAAGGAGTGCCAGAACTGGCTGGATGTGATCGGTATACCCTGGATTTCCCAGTGTGTCTCAGCAGTTTTGTAAGAGCTTTCTTATTGCACAGGCCCAGATGTGAGAAAAGTTGTCAAGAAAATGAGGGCAAGTCATCCTCTCCTTTGGGGCCTTCTGAAAATATCCTGGTCCATTTTATTCATATCTTAGAGTATACTGTAGCATTTGAGTGTATCTTCTCTGAATGGCTAAAGGAATGCCTGTAGCAAAGGCTGGCAGAATCACCATCAACACGAGGACCTAGTTCACACTCTTGGAGTGCCCCTTTCTATTGATAACCAGGGCACGGTTATTAATAGTCCAAATGTAAAGCCTTGGAGACTTAACACCACTTGTGATGAAACCCAGTCCAGATTATTGCTGAAGCATTGCAAGCTGGGGAGTATCAGTGGGTAAAGCCCTGCCCCCATGACTAAAGCAAAAGGGTTTCCAGAAATTTGTCCTGGCTAGGGCATACGATCAACCTCAATGCCAGGCAATCCACAGGAGGTTCCCCGGGCAGGGGATCGGCTGGACAGCACTACCCTACTCCTGGCCACGTGCTCATCAAAACCTGATGCAGGCCGGGCGCGGTGGCTCACGCCTGTAATCCCAGCACTTTGGGAGGCTGAGGCAGGTGGATCACGAGGTCAGGAGATCAAGACCATCCTGGCTAACATGGTGAAACTCCGTCTCTACTAAAAATACAAAAAACTAGCCAGGCATGGTGGCACACGCCTGTAGTCCAAGCTACTCGGGAGGCTGAGGCAGGAGAATCGCTTGAACCCAGGAGGTAGAGGTTGCAGTGAGCCAAGATCACACCACTGCACTCCAGCCTAGGTGACAGAGCGAGACTCCATCTAAAAAAAAAATAAATAAATAAAAATTTAAAAAACTGATGCAGGCTGGGAAGTGCAGGCAGCCAAATTCATCTCCCAATTCTTGTGGAACCAGAGGGTTGTGTAGACTGAGGAATGGCTGCCTGCAGAACCCCACCCCACTCCATGTCCTCTGGAACTTTTCCAAAAGGCTACTTAAGCTGGGCACTGGCCAGAGGCGAAGCCCCCTCCCTCATCCTGTTAAGCATTCCTCAGAGGAATGTCCAAGCTGAGAGACTAGCGTCAAGGAAATGACCTCCCTCCATCCCTACTCTCCTGTACTGGAAAGGGCCAACTTGCAGGTTAGTGCTGAAGACCATCTTTTTTTTTCTTTTTTTTTTTTTGAGACAGGGTCTTGCTCCTCTGTCACCCAGGCTGGAGTGCAGTGGCGCAATCATGGCTCACTGCAGCCTTGACCTCCCAGGTTCAAGCAATTCTCCCGCTTCAGCCTCCCGAGTAGCTGGGACTACAGGCGTGCACCACCACCATCAGCTAAGAGTTTGTTTTTTTTTTTTTTTTTTTTTTTTTTTTTTTAGATGGAGTCTCGCTCCGTCACCAGGCTGGAGTGCAGTGACACGATCTCGGCTCACTGCAACCTCCACCTCCTGGGTTCAAGAGATTCTCCTGTCTCAGCCTCCTCAGTAGCTGGGACTATAGGCATGTGCCACCACACTCAGCTAATTTTTGTATTTTTAGTAGAGATGGGGTTTCACCATGTTGGCCAGGATGGTCTTGATTTCTTGACCTCATGATCCGCCCGCCTCAGCCTCCCAAAGTGCTGGGATTACAGGCATGAGCCACCACGCCAGGCATTTGTTTGTTTTTTAATAGAGACAGGGTCTTGCTATGTTACCCAGGTTGGTCTTGAACTCCTGAGCTCAAGCAGTCCTCTCATCTTGGCCTCCCAAAGTGCTGGGATCACAGGGGTGAGCCACCACACCCAACCAAGACCATCTTTTTACATTTCTCTAGAAGACTACTACATAAAAAAAATTCATACTGTTATGGGATTCACAACATAATAGTAGATAAAATACATGACAATACCACAAAAGACCAACCGAGGGGAAACAGAGTTATACTGTTATGGTAGCATTCTGACATTGTATGTGAAGTATTGTAGAATTAATTAATGGCAGACTGTAATTTTTTTTTGCCTGCGACCCCCCAGAGTGTAATATTTTAAGGATATATATTGTAATTCCTAGAACCACCACCATACACACACACACACACACACACACACACACACACAAGGGCATACAGTCATAAATAAATAGAAATACTAAATAACTAAAAATGAAATACTAAGAAATTAAACATGGCTAAATGACCTGCTTTGGCCAGTGAAATTTGAGTACTCGTGGTGGATATGTTCTGGGTGGCACATTTGGGAGCCAGGACTTAACGCTTGATGTTCTCTTTCCTTGCTTTGCGTTGAGAAGGAAGGATCATAAGATGGTGTGGAGTAATTAATTATCCACAGCAATGCATCACCCCCTCCCCACACTCCACCATACTGGTATTTACTGAACATGCAGCATAAGAAATATACTTGGTGTTAAGCCACTGAGATTTTGGTGTTTGACACATACATTTGCATTTCCTGGAATAAAACCCATTTGGTCGCGATGTTTTTGTTTGTTTCGTTTTGTTTTGAGACAGCGTCTTGCTCTGTCGCCAGGCTGCAGTGCAGTGGTGCGATCTCAGCTCACTGCAACCTCCGCCTTCCGGGTTCAAGCAATTCTCCTGCCTCAGCCTCCCAAGCAGCTGGGACTACAGGCATGTGCCATCACGCCCAGCTAATTTTTGTATTTTTAGTAGAGACGGGGTTTCACCATGTTGGCCAGGATGGTCTTGATCTCTGGACCTCGTGATTTGCCAGCCTGGGCCTGCCAAAGTGCTGGGATTACAGGCATGAGCCACTGCACCCGGCCATGATGTTATTTTTTAACGTGTTGGTGGATTTCAATTGCAAATAATTTGTTTTCTCCATTGATATTTTTAAGCAAGATTGTTTTGTGTGTGTGTGTACAACCTACTGGATTTTGATAGCAACATTATACTCACTACATAAAAATCATTTAATTTTTTTTTCCTATGCTCTGGTAAAGTTTAAGGAACACTGGAAGTATCTAGTGTTTAAGGCTAATAGCTATTAAACTCAACTGGACCTGGAGTTTTTTGGAGGGAGGGGGGCAGCTCTGTGGCAATTTTCTTGAGTTCATCTATGGAAAAAAAAAAAAGTCTGTTTGAACTTTATATATCTCTGTTAAGGTCAGTTTTGGTGAATTATTTTCCTAGAAAATTCACTTTTTTAAAATTAAAGGCTTGAATGCAGAAAATTGACAATTGCAGCTAGATTTTCTCACGTATTTCCAGAGTGTGTGAAAAATAGATGATTATTTATTTGAGACAGGGTCTCACTTTGTTGGCCGGGCTGGAGTGCAGTGACACATTTATGGCTCACTGCAGCAATCCTCCCACCTCAGCCTCCTGAGCAGCTGGAACCACAGACATGCAACACCACACCCAGCTGATTTTTAAATTTTTTTGTACAGGTGGAGTCTCCCTATGTTGTCCAGGCTGGTCTCAAACTCCCAGACTCAAGTGATCTTCCTGCCTCGGCCTCCCAAAGCGCTAGGATTACAGGTGTGTGTCACTGAGCCCAACCTATTTCTTCTTTTGATGACTAGTACCTTATTTATTACATGCATTTGTGCTTTCTACATTAATTAGGTTTTCTAGTAGTTTAAAAATGTTGCCATCCTTCTTCAAATTTATCATTTTTGTTTTCTAATTATTCAACTTATTTAACTTCCTAGTATTAGTGCTGTTAAAAAGTCTGACACCATCTAATTTCCCTTTCTTGTGTAAGCCTGCATGGAGGCTGAGAAGACTTTTTTTTTTTTTGAGACAGTCTTGCTCTGTTGCCCAGGCTGGAGTGCAGTGGTGCGATCTTGGCTCACTGCAACCCTGGCCTCTTGGGTTCAAGCAATTCTCATGGCTCAGCCTCCCAAGTAGCTGGGATTACAAGTGTGCACCACCAAGCCCAGCTAAGTTTTGTATTTTTAGTAGAGATGGGGCTTTGCCATGTTGGCCAGGCTGGTCTCAAACTCCTGGCCTCAAGTGATCTGCCTGCCTCAGCCTCCCAAAGTGCTGGGATCACAGGCATGAGCCACCACTCCTGGCCCGAGAGGACTTCTTTTATCTTTAAAATCTAATCGTTTCACTAGGATCTGACACCTCTGAGTCAACTTTCCCAAGCACACAGAGTGGCCTTACAGTATTTATATTCAGGGTGGTTTGTTTTGTGGGGGAAGAAAATTTTATTATCAGTTTAAACATTAATTCTATTCCAGTGTTTTTTCTTCAACATAAAACGTAATGTAGTTGATAAAACCTAAATATAAGACCTGAAAAACTCCTAGAAGAAAACTCCGGGAAAAAGCATCACGACACTGAATTTGGCAATGATTTCTTGGATATGACACCAAAAACAGACAATGAAAGCAAAAGCAGGCAAATGAGACCATATCAAACTTAACTTCTGCCCATTAAAGGAAACAAGAGTGAAAAGGTAACCTACAGAATGGGAGAAAATATTTGCAAACCATGTATCTAATAAGAGGTTAATATCCAGAGTATATAAAGAACTCCTATACTCAACAAAAAATGAAATAACCCAATTAAAAAAGGGGCTAATGACATGAATAGAGACTTCTCTAAAGAAGGCATGCAAATGGCCAATAAGCAAACAGAGAGATGCTCCACATCACTAATCATCACGGAAATGCAAATCAAAACCACAATGAAATATCACCTTACCCCAGTTAGAATGGTTATTATCAAAAAGATGAAAGATAGTAAATGAGGAAACTATCAAAAAAAAAAAAACAGCATAATGAGTTGGTGAAGATGTGGAGGAACTGGAACTCTCATGCACTGATGGTGGGAATGAAAATGGTGCAGCTGCTATGGAAAACAGTACGAGTGTTCCACAAAAAATTAAAAATAGAACTACCATATGATCCAGCAGTCCCACTTCTGGGTATATATCCAAAGGGATTGAAATGAGGATCCTGAAGAGATATCTGCACTCCCATGTTAATTGCAGCATTGCCTGCAATAGCCAAGAAATGGAAGCAGCCTAAATGTCCATCGAAGGTAAAGAAAGAAAATGTGGTATATCCATATGATGGAATGTTATTCAGCCTTAAAAGGGAAGGAAATTCTGACACATGCCACAACATGGAGGAAGCCTGAGGACATTATGCTAAGTGAAATAGGCCAGTTACAAAACAACAAATACTGTATGGCTTCTCTTATGTGAGTTATCTAAAGAAAAACTCTTACAAAGTAGAATGGTGGTTGCAAAGAGCAGGGGATGGACAGAGGCAGGGGGAAGGGAGTTGATGGGTATTGAGTGTGGTTTTACAAGATGAAAAAGTTCTGGAGATCTTTTGACCAACAATGTGCACAGAGTTAACACCCCTGTTCTGGACGCTTAAAAACGGTTAAGATGGGCCCGGCGCAGTGGCTCATGCCTGCAATCCCAGCACTTTGGGAGGCTGAGGCGGGTGGATCATGA
The DNA here is from genome assembly GCF_000001405.40 of Homo sapiens. Lineage (NCBI taxonomy): Eukaryota > Metazoa > Chordata > Mammalia > Primates > Hominidae > Homo > Homo sapiens. The sequence continues at coordinate 38,773,575 of NC_000020.11, read as the reverse complement.
GGTCAGGAGATCAAGACCATCCTGGCTAACACAGTGGAAACCCCATCTCTACTAAAAATACAAAAAATTAGCTGGGCTTGGTGGCACAGACCTGTAGTCCCAGCTACTCGGGAGGCTGAGGCAGGAGAATTGCTTGAACCCGGGAGGCGGAGGTTGCAGTGAGCTGAGATTGCACCGCTGCACTCCAGCCTGGGCGACACAGTGAGGCTCTGTCTCGGGAAAAAAAAAAAAATGGTTAAGATGGTAAAGTTTGTCATGTTGTTTTGACCATCACCACCACAAAACTCAATATAGTTAAATTTTCTTCTTCAACTACAGTTTAATTTCCTTTGCCTCTTTTCCTTATCTATTACTTTCTTATTTCATTTCTTTTCAATGGAGTATCTTCCCCCTGTGCATCTTCTATTTAGGTTTGCGATAACCTTTCCTTTTTCCTTTGTTTACGGTCAGCTGTGGTCTTCCACTCTCTCCATCACCACTGCCCCTTCCCTTCCGGTCTGCAGTTTCTAAGCCCTTGAGAGCTGGAGATCCAGGTGATGACCCTTGGTAGACTGTATGAGCAAACAGGTTCTAAGGTGGCCTCATCAGAGGGGTGGGCTAGAGGCTCCATAAGATTTAAAGGTACAAATTCAGTGACAATATTAGCTCAGGGGCCTTCTGGGATCAATAATTGGTTGTCTTTGAGTTAAAATTCTCACCGAGCAATCTCTGTGAAGGTGAGGGGTTATCTGTCCACTTAAGACACAGCTGGGAAGGTACAGGGAATGGGAGGTTATGGCAAAACTGAACAGGCTACAGGATAAACCTCCTCCAGTCTTATCTTTCTTCCAAAAAGTCTGAAAAAGTTAAGAAGCCAACAAACTCAGAAGGACAGAAATAAAACATTTGTAGGCCTTGTATGGTGGAAAAGTTTACAGCAGAGAAAGTATGAACAAAGTTGGGCCACTGGCTCTGGCACCAAGCAAGTCCCTGGCTTGCAGAGTGACCTCACATGCTGGTAACTTTCTGGGCTTTTCTCCTTATCTGTAAGGGGAAAAAATAGGAGGAGGGAAATATTTCCGGTTCCTGAGGCAACTGCTTTTATTGAATAAACATTACCTTTTATGAAAAATGTATCTTTTTAGAGACAATGTCTTCCTATGTTGCCCAGGCTGGAGTGCAGTGGTTATTCACAGGTGCGATCACAGCACACGATAGCCTCGAACTCCTAAGCTCCAGCGATCCTCCTGCCTTAGCCTCCCACAAAGCTGGGCCTTAACAGGCACGTGCCACTGTGCCCGGCAATAAACATTACCTTTTTATATGCATGAAAGACCTCCCCTCACTGGGCATTCATGCAATTTCTGAATACATCCAGAAGAATAAAGTATCTACACGGACAAGATAAATTTTAAAGAATTTTTTTTAAAACAAGAAAGACTAAAATGTGGTAAGAAATCAGTCTTGTGCATTTTGTACATTTGTGTCCTCCACTCTGTCTTCATTTACTGCTCCAGGAAGCTGATGCCACAGCTGGCCACAGTTGAACAAAGACATCAGAAGGCCAGTTAGTCTCTACCACAGAAGCCCCCAAGTGAACCGAATTCTGAAGGGCAGGTCTCAGTGTCCCTTAACTTTGTTCTCCCCAGGAGAAATCCATTTTGCTGCCAAATGTGACCAGCAGACTTGGGCAGGTACATCTAGCACAATCACAGTCCTGTCACACTGCCAACGTGGCCCAAGGCATGGCGTGCAGGGCAGTCTCTCTGGAGGGCCTCTGCTATGCCTGCTCACCAGCACCACCTCCACCAGCAGCGGAGCCCTTGCTGGATGCCTGGGCATCTGAGGAGCGGGAGGCCTGCTTCGGCAGGCGGATGGGGACATAGATGTTGGAAGCACAGTGCTCCTTGAGGTACTCTCCTCCCTTTTCTTCATACTCTTTCCTGGTGATCCAAACTTCATTATCATCTAGGTGGTTCAAGGCCCAGTCACGAGCACCGTACCAGGCATCCAGCACAGGGTTCGAGGCAAGTTGAACCTGAAACACAAAGATTCACCAGGACACCTCCACCAGGGCTCCAGGAGTGAATGTTGACCTGGCTCAGCTACAGCCCCCGATATTTTATCCCCAGAAATATACACATAGGTGGGCCCAGTGCACTCCAAGACAGTTCGGGGCTAGCTCCACACCCTGTAAACAAAGGTGAGCTGGAATGCCCAGACTCTCCAGAACAGACGGCTGTCAGACATTTTACTAACATAAGACCTGACACTCGGGGTCAGAGAGGGGCCAGTGGCTCAGCCTCCTGCTGCCTGATGCTGTCAACCACAAGCTGTCAGGGAGAGGTGAAGTGGAGGCTGGCCCGTGACCTGGGGAAAAGGCCTTCCTGGCCCCGCTCCCCACTCTGAGTAGAGGGAAACAGGGGCCGCTGCAAGGCAGCTCTAGCCAGGGTAGCAAAAGAGCCTCAGGAGAAATGGCAGCAGAGAGGGGTGACCTGGGCGTTCTCTGTGAGGCTGCCAGCACTTAGTTTCCCCTGCTTCTCACTGGAGTTGGGCTGGGGTTCAGCAGCTCTGAGAAGGCCCTCGGCTAGGCTGATCTGATCATTATGGTAACACTGCAGCTTCCATCGGGCCTCCTGTGTTCTGGAGTTACCCGCCTCACTTCCTACCTCCCTCTCACCTCCCCACTCCACCAATCCCATGAGTTCCAGGTTAGAATGGTGATTTCAGAACTTTCGGGACTGAAGGGCAGAGGCCATAACAGTGGAATCAACATGCACAAATGGAGGTGGGAAAGTGCAGGCTCAGGAGTCCAGCTGCTGGGCTTGCCACGTGGGCAAGGGGCCTGTGAATGAGGACCTTGTCACTAGGATAACCAGAGGCCCCACCCCCTGGCTTCAGGGGATTTAAGTGCATGAGTGTAAGGCACATGGTAGATGCTGCCTGGTACAGAGTATTCAATAAAGCATAGCTGTCATCATTACTAATAAAAAATGCAGCAAGACATATGGTTAATAGACTATACAGCCATAAAAAGGATGCTCTGGAAATGTACCTATTGATATAAAAAAATTGTCATAATAATTTGAAAGTGAAAAAAATACAGGTTACAAAATAAGCTATCACCAATCTCTTTTTGGTTAAAACCATACATGAGATGAAAACGACTGGAAAGTATACAAAGAACATTGCTCGCAGAGGCTGAAACTACAGTTTTCTTGGTTTTCATTTTGGTTTAAATTGTCTGATATTTTTGTAATATTTAAAAATGTTTTACTGTTTAAGAAAAAACAGGAACTTAAAGTTGTAAATTTGCACATCTTGGGGTTCTCTTCCTTCTAATGATCACGGAGGGCCTTAGGTGGTTGGTATGTTTGAGCCACTGCTGAATACATAATCTAAAATTGGAACATTAGGGCTTAGTGACAGTGTGACACACTCATTACATTAGCAATGTGAAAGGGGGCAGAAACAGGAGGGGAGGGGGGAGCTGAGGCTAGGCCAGGTGACACCATAACAGCAAAAGCAGGGCTGGGAAAAGATCTGGCTGGTAGCAGCATTCCACAACCAATGCTCACAGAGTAATTCATGGGAGACTTTGGAAATTACCAAGAAATAGATCTTGAAAATCCTCTACGATTTTTTTCTCTACTACTTCATCCTAAGTCGCCGCTGCCAGCGTGACCCAGCCCCATGCTCATGCCCCTTACTGTCACCCCCTGGCTTCAGCACTGCTGCTCTCTCCTGCTCCCCACTCCTCTTCCTCCACCTCCTTCTTAGACTCATGGGTGTCCTACAGCCCTTAAATGCTAGTGTTCTTTAGGGGTTCATCCTTAACATCACTACCCTCCCAAAGAGTGCCCAGAGCACATTTTATGTTTGTGGCAGGTGGGAGGGTGTGAAACTACCCTCTTGCTTTCCCCCTTACCCACCGAGCGCTCATCCAGCTAGCTGTGGCCACCTTTTCGTGTGTCCACTGGAAACTCAACCCACCCTGGAAATGGAACGTACTATCCTCTCCCTTAAGCCTGTCCTCCCTCCCGCGGCTCCTCGTTCAGTGAATCTCTTAATCAGCAAACTAGTTGCTCCACTTAGAATTTAGGAATTATCTTAGGTCCGACTTCCCTCCCCAGATCCAACTTACTATCAAGCTCTGACAATTTGACTGCCTTAGCCTCTTTCACATCAACTCCCTCTCTTCCTCTCCCTCTGCCACTGCTTTTGTATTTCCTGCAGAGCTACCAAGTAATACTGTGCCAAGGGCTTGGGACACTTTTCACAAGACAGTGGCTGTCTCTTCCCTTACAAGAGGTGGATCTTGTAAGGAACATAGGGAAAGACAGGGAAGGCTTCCTGGAGGAAGTGATTTCCAGGAAACCAGCCACTGAGAAAGCTGGATGAGGAGAAAGAGTATTCTATGCAAAGGGAGCCAGCATGTACAAAGGCCCTGAGGCAGGAAAACTCTGGAAAACTAATAGTGGTTAGCTGTGGCTGACGAGCGGGTGGAAGGGGGAATGATGAGAGAACCCTGGACAGTTCTTAAGGTCAGAACACAAGAGACCCTGTAAATCCTGGTGAGTGGAGTGAGGACTTCCTCCTAGAGGCTGGGAAGCTGCCTCCTAACTGGTCTGCTTCCAATATTTCTCTTAATACTCTATTTTGCACAACAGTGTCAAATATATCTTACTAAATGTAAATCAGATCACATTCCCTGCTTAGACTCCTTCATGGTTCATCACTATGGCCTAAAAATAAGAGCTGTGCAGAAAAGAGTTAACAGGACCACCCTACTGTTACCTTAGAAAGGCATACTTACAAGGGTGGGGCCTTGGTAGGCATCTGGGAACTTGGATATTGGGAGGGTTCCTACCACCACCTGATAAGAATGGCTCAATAAGCCCATTCACACAAATAATGTGGTTTATGCCAAACACGTGCTTCCCTTCTGTGAGCCTGGAATTTGGGTATGCTCCAAGCAGGGGGTGCCTATGTGATCAGCCCCCAAATAAAAACCCTAGACACTGCGTCTCCTACAAGCTTCCCTGGTTGGCAACACTTAATGTGCTTTTACAAGGCACTGCTGGGGAAATTATGTCTTGTGTGACTCCACAGGGAGAGGCCTCGGATGCTTACACCTGGTTGCTCCCAGATTTCACCCCGGGCACCTTGTCTCTCTGCTGAGTTGCTGTAGTAAGTCACAGCTGTAAGTAGGATTACAAGCTGAGTCCTGTGAATCCTCCCAGAGAATCATCCTGCCTGGAATGGTCTTAGGGACCCTCAACACAACAGCTCATGTCTGAGAGTTTATTACATGCAGGCCCACTGTCGGGCGCTTGACAGGCACCAGTACACTGAATCCCAGCAACAGGTACCGATTACCCCCTTCCTACCACTGAGACAGCCAAAGCTTAGCACAATTCAGTAATGGTGATGATGGAGTCAGCACCAAAGCCCAGAGACGCCCCCCTGAATGTACACGACATCATGCAGCAAAGCAGAGCAGACCAAGGCCAAGCTTCTTAGCAGGATGCACAGGCTCTGCAGTGTGGGCTCTGCTGACCTCTCTACGTTACCCACCTCCTCTCCTCTTTATCAGCCATGTGCTCCAGCAACACTCAGCCACTTCTCACTCCCTCAACAAGCTTCTGGCCCCTGTGCCCTTGCTCATGCTAGTCCTTCTGTCTGGAACGCTCCAATGTATCCCATGCCCCACAATGTCTACAGGGGCCCGGACTGGGTAGGAGAATGACTTATTTTTGATGTACACTCTTTCACACTCTTAGAATTCTACGCATGTCTTCATCTTCCAATTTAAAGAAACCACAAAACAGTATATAAAACATGATTCCCATTTTGCTTTAAAAATTAAGCATGGACTTAAGACCAGAAGAAAAGCCACAAAAATGTTAACAGTGGATATTTCTGCATGATTATTACTTTTGCAATCAGAAAACAGGTAATGCTATTTTCAAAATAATTGACTACTCGAACAATCAGTACCTGAAAAGAAGACCGGAAGGGTCTCATCTCCAACAGTTCCTTCTCCATTCTGGCTTTCATGCCAGGATACATCGTGTTGCCGCCAGTGAGGAAAACGTTCTGAACCAGCATTTCCTGAATGTCCTTTGGGTACCTAGGAAAGAAACAACTCCTAATATAGTCCCTTAACTCAAATATCAGAACGAAATGTGGATGCAGAAATGTAAGCTCTCAGTACAAAACAGAAAAACTTCTACACAAAAAGCTAAAAAAAAAAAAAATCAAAACTTTCATTTTTCATTTGTGTCTCTACAAAACGCCAGCCCAATGTTTCCAAACAGCCAGACAAAACCGTAATCTGAATGGTCAACTTATTTCCTTAACATGATTAGAATTTTTATACTTTTATAATACATTTAAAAAATAAACTTGAGGATAAATTTACATACATTTTGATAAAGTCTAACTAATTTATACATTCCAGTAACCATCACTACAATTAAGACACAAAACATTTCCATTATCCCCAAAAGCCATGCCTCCCTTTTGAGGGCCCATCTATCGACCTGTGCTTTCTTTTTATCTTTTTTAATAACAGCTTTATCTAAGACATGTTTGATCACTTTCCAACCACTGTCAAGACAAAGCTCAAAGCCACTCAAACAAAGTAGCAGCAACAGCTTTTTCTTCCTTGCTAGGTACAAGTTTCCCTGCCGTTATGACCAACAGCAGCCAGAGTCCTACAAAATTCCATTCTCTACTTGCCCAACTTGAATTATCAAATTCACACTGCAGGAAAATGCCCGCATAAATGGGTAAAACACCTGGATTCTTATGGAAATGTAACTCTTAAATAAGTAAAATGCCTGCAAGGAGGGGAAAAAAATTTTATTAGCTCTGCAATATTTTTAGGGTGATTTAAAATCACTAGTCTTTAATAATGTGAAGGTTTACATGGAAACCAGTGTACATGTTATCGGGTTGTTCAAACTTAAAAGACACTCTTAAAGCTACTCAGTCAACCCAGCATTTACAGGTTCAGAAAACAACTACAGAGCCCCAGTTACGTGCCAGGCCTGGTGATAAGAGATGAAGGGAATACTATCTGAGCACAGCAAGTCAATGAAAAGAAGAGAGTGAGATGCATTTTCAAGTGCCTGACCATCAAATCTACCATTCAATGCAAAATCCAAGGAAATGGTTCAGGAAGATAGAAGGAAAAGCAGATTCGCTGTCTCACCTGTCCAGAATGTACTGAAGAGTCTCTGCAATCCCAGCCTGTTCTTCTCCTATGAGAGATGGCTGGAAAATAATCTCTGGAGCTCGAATTCTTTCTGTCCCAACAAATAGCTGATGATATGCTGCCAAGTTAAACACGGGCTTTAAAAACCCAAGGTTTAAAAGATATTTTTAGGCCAAATGACAAACATTCCAGTTGCTAGTTTCCTCAAACTGCGTTTCTTAATCCCAATAGTTTCTGTCCCTTGTTAATGCCAGTATAGCTTCTCCCAACTCTCTTGACCTGCTAATTCAATTTCCTACCTTCTTCCAACCTGTGTATTATAAACATGTACATGTTTCCATCATGAAATGGTCCCCGAGTTGCAGGGAGAGGCTTTGTGGAGAGCAGCAGTAAAAGGCCGAGTCTAGAGGACAAGTCTCCTGCTCAGTGCCTTGCTTAGTGCCCTATCCCTGCACGGCAAGGAAGCTCTCTCCCAGGTGGGTCTCAGACTCAGGACAGTTTATCTGGTTGGCATTGTAATGACAGAAACATAGATTCCAAAGAGGATTATGTGTACTGGCATTGGCTTAAATGTAAATGAAACTATTACAAGCCAGTATTCAGATCTCAAGTTCCCAATTACTTTACCAAATGTTTCTGCCGGGTGGACTGTTTCTCAGAGATTCACAGATCTTGGTACTAGAACCAATCGATCAATCACCGGGGGAAAAAAATCCCTGATTTCAGATGTTTTAAGTATTGGTACCCAATTTTCTAAAAAACATAACAGTTTTAAGTCCTAAAGAAACAGACTAGCCCAGCCATTTAGGTCAACACCTTCAAAGAATAAGCATGTTCTGGGCTGTAGAAGTCAAACCTGAACAGTGGTGACCGGCTTCTCCACTCCAGGTGTTTCCTCTGAAAACAAGGGATCAAAATCATTCATGCTTTCCACATCTTCCAAAGACGGCTCCAGCTGCTCCAGGTCAGGGGTCTAAGAGAAGGAGCAAAATGAAACAGAACCTGTACCTTCAGCAGGCCTCAGTTCTATCATTTTAGTGCCACAAAAAAGAACTGGGATCTTGCCCAATGTTCTAAAACCTTACATAAAAACTATGAAAATTTTTCTAAGCTATTTTTAAAAAAGCACACATGAACACGAAGACTAAAAAGCCAGGAACGGGCTTTGCTTTGATCTCCTACCTTTCCTACTTTATACAAGCCTCACCAACCCCCGCCTTCTCTAAAGCCTTCTGATGGTGCCAGCTCATGGCTGGGCCCCGTGGAAGACTTGCTGCTTGCATGAGTCACACCACCACACACGCAACTCTAAGAGAAGGGTGTGACAGCTGCTATCCTACAAGGCAGCTAGACTACCAGCAAAGTTAAAGCAATCTTTTAATAATTAATAAATACATCTGCTGGCCAGGGAGCAGTGGCTCACGCCTGTAATCCCTCTGCACTTTGGGAGGCAGAGGCAAGTGGGCTCCTTGAGCCCAGGAGTTTGAGACCAGCGTGGGCAACAGAGTGAAACCTTGTCTCTACAAAAAATACAAACATTAGCTGGGCGTGGTGGTGAGCACCTACAGCCCCAGCTACTTGGGAAGCTGAGGTCGAGGATCACTTGAGCCTGGGAGGTTGAGGCTACAGTGAGCCATGATCATGCCACTGTAATCCAGCCTGGGTGAAAGAGCAAGACTCTGCCTCAGAAATATAAATAAATGTATGTGCCAACGCTAATGAGCTCAACAATCAGTCCCTTAATAGCAGGTCCCACTGGGCTGGGAATGCGACTAGAGGCTCCAAGGTAGCAGAGTGCTTGCTATCTGTGGAGTCCTGCAGAACAAGTTCCCTCTATGACCACAATGAACCTGGAAGGGGTCTAGACATGCTGGCACCATTTCCAAAAGAGAAGTTAGGGTGCTTTTAATTTTAAACTGTACAAAATAAGTTGGGGATGGTGGTGGTTCTGAAAGACATCTTTAGCCATCTGTCATTAGACTCAATGGAGAGAAGTTCTGGGTAGAAATATTTAGTTGCATCCCAAGGAAGAATGCTGTAACAATGACAGCTGCTGCAGAATGGACTGTCTTATGAGGTAGTGTCTTGGGAGGGTTCAAGCAGAGTGTAACCAAAGCCAAGTATGCTTGAGAGGAGACTGCGCCATTGAGTATGCATTCTGAGTCTCTCCTTACTCTCGGAATTTATGAAGTATGTAAATCACCAACATAATTCAGAGGACTTAAATATACTTCTCTAGAACCTACTCATATATACTGCAAATGTAAACTAGCATTAAAATAAGGCAATACCCCTCAATACCCCACACACATTCACACACCAAAAGTCATGTGGCAAATATGGCATGCAAGATGGGTGACAATGTACTCTAAATTCTGTTCAGTATAGATGATTCTACAGTATTTGAGGGGGATTTTCCAGGCTTGAGGATAAACCCTGGAAAGGAAAGTGAATGTTTCTTCATGTGAGACTTGTGCACAGGATGAGGGGGCTGGTTTATAGAGGTAATCTGAGGAGGAGGAAGATGGGTTGGGTGACACGAATCTAAAGAACCTTGCTCTCAGGGAAGGAAGCAAAAGCTGTCCCTGCCAATACTGAATCAGACAAAGAGGGGAGGGACACCTGCTATCTGCACAACCCTCACTGCAGACATTACTGTATTTGATGGGTGAGGATGCTATGGCTCAGAGAGGTGAAGTAACTTGCCCAAGATCACATCACACTAGTAGGCAGTGGACATGTGGGAAGAGGCAGAACTGCTCAGTTCCAAAGTCTTTGTTCTGCCTTAAGCTGGAGTTCTATAAATCATGAGGCTAAGGATAAGACAATTGGGGCTTTAGGAACATGAAAACAATCTAGCCTGAGGTCAGAGTAGGTAATACAAGAGATGAATGAAAGATTTTACATGCAGCAGCAAGACCAGCTGAGGCAATGACAGGCTCCTCTGTCCCAGCAGGGACAGCAGAGAGGGAGTAAAGGAACATTCCCCTTGCCATCTGCAGTTTGTGATCTGGAAGACTCTCAGCTTCCCTCACAAGAAAGGAGCCCTACCATGGGAGTGTCTGTGCCTATTCTGGCTTGGCACCAAACCCAGCTCTTCAGGAATGACCCCAAAGGGGTTCCAGGGGAGGAATGGAAATTAATCATCAAAGTTCTTTTTCATTTGGTGGTTTGTCATCTGGGGGAACCAGGAACCAGGAGGCAGTGTGACATAACAGAAGGTGGTCAGGCTCTGGAGTCACACTGATCCAGCTCGGAATGGCAACCAAAGGTATATTAAAGGTCACAGTACTAGAGCTGGAAACAGTACACTCTGAGCTGCTTCTCCATCTATGTAAAAGTGGGACGTGAACTTAGGGCAGCGTCGGGTGAGAAACGAACAACGCTTCCCTCTTCCCTTTTAAACACACACTCAATTTGGTCCCTTAAATAATTCTGTTGTATTACTGGGTTGAAGACAAAGATGTCATCTGTGTATTTAAAATAACTACAGACAAAACCTGTAACCTGTGATTCCCCAAGTAACAGGTGAAAGCAAGCACTGGGCTCCACTGGAGTCCTTCCTCTCTACATCCCACATTTTTACCCTATTCTTCATCTTCATCCTAACCTCCACTCCAGCCTCCCTCAATCCAAGTGATGACCTTTCCTGTGGATTCACATGCCCTTCTCTACCCAGCCTGGAATCCAATCACTTTTGCCGTCATCCCTCCACCAACTCTATCTGCTTCTGTTACACCCAACCAGTAAGCCTGCAGTCTAAAGGATGCCTCCCAGTACTCTTTCCACTTGGGCTCCGGAGCAGATTATATTTTTAAAAGAAGGTCACAACAGTGACTTCTATCCCACACACTTTTCTGTAATGTGACCTTGACACTCCCCAAACAGAGGTGGAGGGTCTTTGTTTCCTCCCCTTGAGTCTCAGTGGGGGACTGTGAGGACTACAACCAACAAAGTATGGTGCAAATGATGTCATGTGACTTCTAAGGTAAGGTCCTGAAAGGTCATGCAGCTTATGCTTTCATCTTTTGAAACATTCACTCTCTAGCTGCTCTCTTGGGAAGCTCCCTCTTGGAAACCAGTGGCCACACTGGGAGGAGCCCAAGGCACACCAAGAGGCCATATGTGGGTGCCTGGGTCAAGAGTCCCCCATGAACCCAGACCTTGAGTCCTCCCAGCCCAGATACCAGACAGGTAAGTAAAAAACCCTCCAGCTGATTCCAGTCCCCAACTATTTAATTCTTCCCAGCAGTGGCTCCAGGCAACTTGAAGCAGAGATCCCTGTAGCCTCTCTCAATTCCTCACCCACCAAACCCATGAGCACAATAAAATGGTTGCTGTTTTATGCTGCTAAGTTTGGAATGGTTTTTGTAGCAATAGAAAAGTTAAATATGCTCCAGGGGGGCAGGAGTGCAGAAAGTCCCAGGTGCTATTTAGGCAATCCTGTGGTTACTTCTCAGCTTCCTTCTGCCTGCCCTTTCCCAACACCCTTCTCCACAGTCTCCTTTCTAATCTCAACCCTGGAAATCTTAAAAGATCATCTTAGTTGCCTCAAAAAATGAACTTCCCTCTTTATTCTTCATTCTACTTCCTTATCTATTTTCATGTCCTTGAGCGCTTGTTTGGAGGTTCTAGCAGGGGAGCGCAGCTACTCGTATACTCTTGACGGAAGATCAGTCCTCCTCTATTGGGGATGGTCGTCCTCTTCGACCAAGCATGCAGCTTTGGGAGAGACACACACGAAGTGGTGAGGACAGAAAGACACCAGCTTAGCCAGCCAGATCAGCCGAATCAACCCTGGCAATCAATGGGGTGACAGATATCGCAGCCAGATCACCCTCACATCCTATTTTCTTATCCTTTCAAGCTTTCCTTGTTTCAAAAAATAATTCTCATCCTAGGTTAAGCTGACCATTCAAGCTTTTAACTCTCCCATCAACCCTTTTGGCTTCCTTTATCTCTTACTGCTCCTGCTCAATCTTCGTCCTGGCTTTTCTTCTGTCACCTAACTTTCAAGTGGTGGCATTCTCCAGGAATTTTTCTTTTCTTCCTCCCCATTTGATTCTGTCCTCCCATAGCTCCACCTGATGTCCCACAGAGTGCTGAAAAGCTCCACCTGATGTCCTACAACAATTTTAAAGATAAGGAGCTCAGGGCCAGGCACGGTGACTCATGCCTGTAATCCCTGCACTTTGAAAGGCAAGGTGGGAGGCTTGCTTGAGGCCAGGAGTTCGAGAACAGCCTGGGCAACACAGTGAGACCCATCTCTACAAAAAATTAAAAAGCAAAAAGTTAGCCGGGCATGGTGGTGCACTCCTGTAGTCCTAGCTACTAGGGAGGCTGAGGTGGGAGGATCAATTGAGCCCAGGAGTTCCCAAAACAAAATCTCATCGTCTCATTCCCTTGCTCAACATCCCTGGAAGGCTCCGAATGTCTGAAGGATAAATTACAGTGAGCCATCATCACAACATATACTCCAGCCTGTGCAACAGAGTAAGATCCAATCTCTTAAAAAAAAGAAAAAAAAAAGGTGCTCAAAACTAAGCCAATTATCTTCCCAAACTTGGTCAAAAGGCACTACCATCTACCCACTGCCTTTCAATACAGCCTAAGGGTTACAAGGGTGGAATCTGGAATTGAACTGCCTGTGTGTGAATTTGATCAGCACTACTTCTAGCTATGTGACCTCACTCCAAATCTTTCCTTGTCTGTAAAAGGGGGATAATGATAGTACCTACCCATTGAGTTGTGAACACGAACCAGGAGGACACCTACGTAGGTGCTCAGCAAGGAGTCGGCACATGCCACATGCTCTATTATCAACACTGCTACTCTTGTCACCTTGGCTTGCAAATGGCAGCGAGATCTTGGGATCCTACATCTGATCCTACATCTGTTTTGTTTTCCCACCTGCAGTCTCACCCCTCCCTTCAACCCATCATCCTAACTGCCACCAGTTAGTTTCCCAAAACAAAATCTCATCGTCTCATTCCCTTGCTCAACATCCCTGGAAGGCTCCGAATGTCTGAAGGATAATATGCAGGCTCATAAGACTGATGGGTAAAGAACTTAATAGTCATCTCCACTTCATCACCCACCACAGCTTTTCTTGTTCACACTCTATATGCCTGCATGTGTGGTTCTTTCCACCTAAAATGTCCTTCCCTCCTCCTTTTGCTACCTACTGAAATCAAATAATCTTCCTTTTCTTTTTTTTTTTTTAGACAGGGTCTTGTTCTGTTGCCCAGGTTGGAATGCAGTGGCACAACCATGGCTCACTGCAGCCTCGAACTCCCAAGCTCAAGTGATCCTCCCACCTCAGCCTCTCAAGCAGAGACTACAGATGCATGCCCAGCTAATTAAAAAAATTTTTTTTAGAGATGGGGTCTATGTGACTCAGGGATTGGTCTCAAAGCGCTGGGCACAAGTGATCTTCCCTCCTCAGCCTCTCAGTGTTGGGATTACAGATGTGAGCCACTGTGCCCGGCCCAAATAATCTTTCAAGGCCCAGCTGAAACATCCAGTCCTTCTCAAAAAACCAAATGTGTATTCCCACACACATTTACCACCATACCTGCTACGCTTCATTACAGTCAGCTAAGCATGGTGCTATAGCCCTCATTTTTTGTTTTTGAGGTACCCAGGAAGGCAGGCATTGTATCTTAATCACCTCTGCATCCCTGGTATACTGCACCTGTCACTGAGTGGTGGGCCCCTGGGATACACCCTCAAATTCCCCTGAAATAGAGATGATTGTAAAGCTTTGGGTTTCAAGAGGTTTCTTCAGCTGCCAAAAAAAAATCAACATTCACCTTCACCTAGCTTCACTCCAAAGCATACCATCTTAAGATAACTTCTTAGCTTCACAAAAATTATAAAAAGGACATTTATTTATCCCAATTCATACAAGTCGCAGAGAGGAACAAAGCTGATCATTTCAACACAGAGAACAGGCATCCAACAGAGAATAGTTTTCTCTGCCACGGCTGGCTTCTCTCTCGCTAGAGTTTGCCAGGGTCTCCACATGTCTTATGTGGCGTTCAGAAACACTAATATGACTGTTCTTTTGGAACTGCAGGGAATGACAGTTTGCCAAGGCATACCACAGAAGATGCAGCATGGTTCCCTAAAACAGCCTTGAGCGGCATAAGAAGAAGCAGAGGCCAACCCTGATCTTGGCTAGTAAAGCCGGAGAACTTTCTATATTTGGCCCATTGCGTTTTCCAACAAATGATGATGCTCAAAACCTGTGTTCTCCCCCCTCCTACCCTCTTATGCTGTGCTTGTAGCTATGAAAAGCAAGCATCTTCTGGTTTAAATACTTGGTAAAAATGCTAACAAAGCCTGCTCCTTCACAACATCCTCACAGAAACAACTGCAGAATAGCAAGGGTCAGAATAGATTGGTCTATAAGAAAAAATAGATTTTCGAGACCTCTATTAGTTAAATTCCAGCTGTATTAATTCAGTTCAGCCATTACTGCTTAAGTGCAATTTCAATATGAATTTTGGTTCACATATATTGATTCAATTCATTCTAAATGAATTATATTATTGGAAACTCTACAAATACTTTTTGAATGGTAGAACTGGCTAGCCATTGTCATGGTCAAGTTTATCCCACAAATGTGACTGTAATTGACTCTGATCATTAAGAATTACCCTAAAATGCTGAATGCTGACTAACCATTAAAGCTTTGACGACTGATCATCACTTTTTTTTTTTTTTGAGACGGGGTCTTGCTCTGTTGCCCAGGCTGGAGTGCAATGTCACAATCTCAGCTCACTGCAACCTCCGCCTCCTGGGTTCAAGCGATTCTCCTGCCTCAGCCTCCCGAGTAGCTGGGATTACAGGCGCCTGCCCCGACGCCCGGCTAATTTTTCTATTTTCAGTAGAGACAGGGTTTCACCATGTTGGTCAGGCTGGTCTCGAATTCCTGACCTCAGGTGATCCACCCACCTCGGCCTCCCAAAGTGCTGGGATTACAGGCGTGAGCCACCGTGCCCGGCCCAACTGATCATCAAATTTGTTGCATATAGAAAAATCTTTTGCAGTCCGGCATTTCAAAATCCCCTAAACCCAAGGAGATTTAAATGTGTGTACCAGAGCATAAAATGAAGTAGGTACCTACTGAGTATCTGCTGAAAGAATGGGGGAATGGGTGATGAATCACATCATGTAACAAATGCAGACAAATGAACAAAGAAAAGGAAAAACTAGTTTCCCCACTGCTGAAGAATCACATCTTCACAGCTGTTTGGTTTTTTTTCCCTTTTTGAAATCTGAAATCCCTCATCTGCTTGTGGCTGAGTGGCACTGCTCTGGTATAAAGAAAACTATGTCCTGCTAACATGTCAAGCATGATAAAAACTAAATATGGATGAATACATAACAAAGACAACATGGTTCCGGATTTCAGTAAACAACAACTCAAATCTCAAAGACCTGAAAAACCAAGAGAAGCAAAATGGAAAAGGCACACACTGATTCAACTGAGGCTGATCTGGGATGCTGTGTTGGAAGAAGATGGTAAAGGCCCCTTCTACACAAGATCTTGGTGATCCAATAAGGTGTATCTAGTAAGCCTATCTCAGGATCTGCTCTATAAAGCATACACTCATGTACTGTCCTCACATAATCGACAGCCTGGGAATGAGATGTAGAGGATGCAACGGTGAGAGCAGAACCTTGAGCGAGCCTCCAGCTGGGAGCCCATCACTGCAAAAGCAAGCTTCCTGTTGAGCCAAAGGCAACTCTGACATCACTGATAAGCACTATGCTACACCCAGCATCAAATGGCACTGACTTGCATTTTTCCAAAGTATCATTTTTTTTCTGAAAGGATAAGTAATCAACAGCTTAATGAAAGCTGATTTAAAAAGGAAAAAACAAAAAACAAAAAACAAGAGGCTAGTCTGGTTTATCCTGCCTAAAACATGTCTCAAGGCAGTAAGTTCCTTTGTTTTGGAATTCTAGGGATGACAGATCCAGGAACAGGATGTACACTTACTCTTTGTTTCAGTTCTAAAGGCAGGCGACTCAACCAGCGACTTCTGGACTGAGGAGTGACCTGCAGGCTGCCCCTTTGCCATACAGGAACTAAGATGCTGGGGCCTAAGCTCTTTTGGCTACTTCGACACTTATTAACAGCCAAGCATGGTGGCTCAAGCCTGTCATCCCAGTGCTTTGGGAGGCTGAGGTGGGAGGTTCACTTGAGGCCAGGAGTTCGAGACCAGCCTGGACAACTTGGTGAGACCCCATCTCTACAAAAAATTGTAAAAATGACTTAGGCATGCTGGCGTTCACCTGTAGTCCTAGCTTCTTAGAAGGCTGAGGTGGGAGGATCCACTTAAGCCCAGGAGTCTGAGGTTATATTGAGCTATGAACATGTAACTGCATTCTAACTGGGCAACAAAGTGAGACCCTGTCTCAAACAAACAAAAATACTTATTTATTTATTTATTTTTTTTGAGATGGAGTTTTGCTCTTGTTGCCCAGGCTGGAGTGCAACGGAGCGGTCTCGGCTCACTGCAACCTCTGCCTCCCAGGTTCAAGTGATTCTCCTGCCTCAGCCTCCCAAGTAGCTGGGATCACAGGCGTGTGCCACCACACTCAGCTAATTTTGTATTTTTAGTACAGACAGGGTTTCGCCATGTGGGCCACGCTGGTCTTGAACTCCTGACCTCAGATAATCTGCCTGCCTGGGACTTCCAAAGTGCTGGGATTACAAGCGTGAGCCAGCACGCCCGGCCTCAAAAACACTTATTAACAGTGCACGGGTGAGGAAACAGAAGAAGAAGAAGAAGAGAAAATCAAAGAGCTTATGCAAAGGGTCTTTAGCAACTAATAAAAGGCTGATCTTAAGGCAACCTATACATATATTATTGAGCATAACTACCAACTGCTGTAAAAAATTCATAAATCATGTATGAAGCATGATCCCTGTCCTTAGGGAACATCAAGATGGAAAGGAGGTAAGTGAACAATCAACCACAATATATTTAATAAAACACTAAAAGAAAATTAAAGGAAGTATATGACTGCCAATGACTATCAGTGGAGCTGGTTTAGGTTCAAGACAGCACCACAGGTTTGGTGTGTGAATGTTCTTCCTACGTTAAATGCACTTTCTGCGCTCAGGGGTCCGGGGATCTACAGGGTGAAATCCCTTCTGACAGAATTTCAGTTGGTACAAGGTCAGTGCCATCTCCACCACCACCCACATCCCCTCTGCTCTCTTTCCCTCCTGACTCTGGGCACAACCCCTTTGATGTCAGGCCTCTCAGGACACTCCTCCCCTCAAGAAGGGCTGCTCCTTCCAAGGCCCTAAGTTACCTCTGGCTTGCTGTCTACCACATCCACCTCGAGGTTGACTTCCGCTTGGAGGATTTTCTGCTTAGCCTGCTCCACTGCTATACTGAGCTTCTGGATGTAGGACTGCAGCTCTTCTGGGGAGTCCATATTCAGCTCTATCAGAGCTTTGTGAAACTGATCCATCTGGCCATCCTCTAGAAGTTCCTGAAAACAGAGCAGTCACAAACAGGAAGGAAAGTAGCTTCAAAGCCAAACGGAGAAAACGACAGCTGGAGAGGGCTTCCAGAGCTCCCCTGGCCTACCCTGCCCAGAGCCACGCCTCCAGCTGCCTCCAGTTTCACACAGCTGCCCACCTCTCTGTCTCTAGGCTAGCATTGCATCACAGTTCCAGCAACAACTGATTAGGTAAAACTAATGATGGTGACAGATGTCTAAAAGGTTGTTACCCTTTTTTTTTTTGGTGGGGCGGGGGATGTGAAGGAAGGTGGGAAAGTTACTAAGAGGAGACATGAAAGGAGCCTTCTGGAACGCTGACAATGCTGTTTCTTAACCTGACAGCAGATACACGGGTGAGTTTCACTTTGAAAATCCATCAAGATGAAACATAAAGATTTGTGCACTTTGCATCATGTATGCTACACTTACAAAGTTTAAAAACATAAAGGAGTTTATAAGGTGAAAATAAATAATGCTGGAGTCCACAGCTCTTTCAGAAACAGCTGCTTCTACACTGTATTCTATGCTGATGATCCCCCTGGACTCCTTCGTGACCCCAAAGGTGACAAACAGTCAAAGCATCTTAAGGCCAATGGAAAAATATGCAAGAAAATCTTCTGAGACTATCTTGTTAACACGGAAGGGCGCCCGTCCCTGTGTCTGCTATTACCTGCACATATAGCAGTCGGTCCAGACGCTCCTGATCCAGCTGCAGCTTCTCCTCCCGCCGCCGGGCATTGAGCTCCTGCAGCCGCCGCAATTGCTGCTGCCGCCTTTCTTGTTTCTCCTCAGAGGTCAGAGTGCTGCCCAGGAGCTTGCTGGAAAATGGGAGCTGCATCTTGTGGACATTATTCTCATAATAATCAGGACACCGCCATTTGTGTAATTCTTCAAAGAAACAATTTTGAAAGTTATGAAATGGAAACACTATTAACACAACAATTAAAGTCAATACCAGCTGGGCGCAGGGGCTCACGCCTGTAATCCCAGCACTTTGGGGAGCCGAGGTGGGCGGATCACGAGGTCAGGAGATCAAGACCATCCTGGCTAACACAGTGAAACCCTGTCTCTACTAAAAATACAAAAAAATTAGCCATGCGTGGTGGCGGGCACCTGTGATCCCAGGTACTCGGGAGGCTCGCCCTGTCACCTAGCTGGAGTGCAGTGGTGCGATCTCGGCTCACTGCAAGTTCTGCCTCCCGGGTTCACGCCATTCTCCTGCCTCAGCCTCCTGAGTAGCTGGGACTACAGACGCCTGCCACCATGCCCGGCTAATTTTTTTGAATTTTTAGTAGAGATGGGGTTTCCCCATGTTACCCAGGATGGTCTTGATCTCCTGACCTCGTGATCCACTCGCCTCGGCCTCCCAAAGTGCTGGTATTACAGCTATGAGCCCCCATGCCCGGCCGACTCCATTGTTTTTTTTAAAGTCAGTACCAGCATTTCAGACATAGGTCAGATGGAGAAAATACACTCCATCCAATCCCTGAATCCACTCAATCAACTAAAAGCAGCTACCAAACCTGGACATAATGCCAGCAGGCCTGTTCTAAAAGAACTGCTAAGTAAGTTCTTCAGCGAGAAACAACACCAGAAGGAAGCTTGGAGCATCAGGAATGAAGGAAGAGCAACAGAAATGATAAAAATCTGGTTAAACATAACAGACTAATCTCCTTACGAGTTCTTTAAAACCTATTTGACAACTGAAAGTAAAAATCACAACACTGTCTGATGGGTTTCCAATGTATACAGATGAAATAAATAAGACAACTTTAAGATAAACCGGGCGAAATAAAGGAGTCTGTACATTGCTAACATTTCCACATTCCCCTTGAAGTGGTAAATACAGAATCTAAGTAGACTGTGAAAAGTTGTGTTTACTGTAATCTCTAAAGCAACCACTAAAAACTACAATAAAAAGGTAGAGTAAAAAACACAACAGATAAAATACTTTAAAAAAAAAAAAAAAAAGCTCGAATAACCTAAAAGGAGGCAGGAGAGAGAAACAGAGGAACAATAAACAGAAGGAACAAAAACAAATAATAAAATGGTGAACCTAAATCCAAGCATATGAATAATTAAAACTAATTATAAATGGTTTAGTCTAACAATTAAATAGAGGTTGACTGAATAGATTTTTTTTAAAAATCATCCAACTACCAAGAAATTCACTTTGAATATAATGATATAGGTAGATTAAAAGTAGAAGGACGGAAAGACATACCATGCAAGCACATGACCCAGCAATCTATTTACTCTGGAGAAATGAAAACAAGTTCACCCAAAAGCTTGTCTCTATCCCAAGCCCAGGCAATCTTTCCCTCACTTCTTCTCTATCACTATGGTTTTATCTTTTCAAAATGTCACATAAATGGAATCAAATAGTATGTACCTTTTGAAACTTTTTTTTTTTTTTACTCAACATCATGCCTTTGAGATTCATTCAAGTTGTTGAGTGTATCAGTAGTTTGTTCCTGTTTATTGTGGATAAAAACAGGATATGATTATAAAGAGAAAGCATATGTAATCAACACCACAATCAGGATACGGAAGAGTTCATCATCCCAAAAAATTCCCTCATGCTCTCTCTTTATAATCATATCATAGAATTGTAAAAGAAAAAGTTAACTAAAAAAAAAGAGTCAATACCAGAGCAACTGGAGAACAGAGAAGTGGGAGCACGGAGAGCTGTGTGCCTCAGCCGTGTCTTCTGGCAAGCCTCTAACTCTCCGGACTGAGTGTCCTCATCAATTATTTATTTCCCTATCTGTCTCCCGCAACTTCTTTGTATCCCAGGAATAACAGATGTTTAATAAATGCTTTCTAAAGTTAATTAAAACACAGCTCTTCACACATGAAACGTATACTTAAAAATGGTTAAAATGGCAAATTTATGTTATATGGTTTTCACAATTAAAAAAAAAAGATGCAGTTTTTGTCCTTCAGGAGCTCATTATTGGTCAGCTGAGATCAGTACCCTCAATGACAACAAGCAAATCCATTCTTGGAATAGAGTTGTATTCACAGTGGCATTGTCCGTAGTCCTTTGGTTTTATATGAACTATTTAAATTCACGAGGAAGATATTTTCATCACATTCATGTGACAATAGCAACTAAAACTCATACTTTAATTTGAAGTAAAATACAACCAAAAGTCCAAGACAAGTTTGAAAAGAAAAAGAGGTGTTTCTGCAGCATAGATGTTATTATAAGGGTATAATAAAACAATTTCAATTGTTTTCTAGCTTAAGATATTTTTAGTCTGATATGTTCTGCTCACTCTTAAAAATATTTAATATCTGGAAAAGCTGAAAGTTGTGCAATTCCAAGTTCTGTATTAAAGGCAAGTTATAAAAGCTACCATTTGTGAAGGGAACCTATACAACATAAGTTATCAGTTTACTGAATAGTTTAAGAAAGGGAATACAAAAAGGGGAAGGAGGTGCTTAAAAAGTGAGCAAGCAAAGAATCATGCTGGCAATAATTTAAGGAATACAAGGTAGACAACACCCAAAAGCTGCAGGCAAACATCCTCTTGGATACCTTCCACATAATCCTCAGCGATGTAGCTGTGCTCATGCAGAATCTCCTCCATGCGGCTGAGGGTGATGGCTGCCAGGTGCCCAGGGTACTTCAGCTGGAGGAGACGCTGGAGGTAACCAGCTGCTTGGCTTCCTCCAAGATTGATGCGCTTGCAGTTTTTAGCATCTAATCTATAACCAAGCAGTAGAAAACAGCACTGAAATTTCTGGAGGACAGAAATATGGAGCATCTTGGGAGAAACAAGATAATTTAAGGCAGATAAAGAAGAAACAGACCAGCAGGAGAAATACAAAACCTGATAGTCAGAAGGGACGTTGAAGTTCCCCTGGTATAACCTCTTATCTAGGCAGGCATTCCTAGCTCACCCATACAGTCACACGGCCACCTAACAAGTATGCACTCCAGTCAGATCTTAATGAGTCTCGTCATATATTTCTCAAACTGTAGTCCTGGGACCAGGTATCCCAGAATTAGCTGGGGGAAATTTTAAACATGCCAATTCCCAGGACACAGCTGCTCTGGGGTGGGGCCTGGGGATCTGCATTTTAATGAGCTCCCTAGGTGACTGAAGGCCAGAGTTTAAGAAGCCCTCCCTTAACACTCCACATCTACTGAAGCAAACACGTTAAGTAACCACACGCATCCTGACTTACTGTAAAAGAACCAGAATAATTTTATTTTCCTAATGTGAGAAAGTAAGTGGCAGAGCACTAGGAACTTACTGTAGGGAACTAAAATGTCACTGCTGTATCATACCTCACCAGCAGATGCCAGCATAGAACACGATATGATTCACTCTGATAATTTCCCAGCCTTCAGGTAATTTTCTCTCAATATAAAATATGTTACTTTTTATTTTTGCATATTCTGTTTACATAGAGAACTTCATACATCAGGAGCATTTGGTAACACCTAAGAATTACTTTTTTCTTCAAAAATTTTCATAGAAACTTCATGAGAAATTCAATGGTATTTGCCTTATATGTTCAGTCTGCTTTACAGTTTACAAAGTGCCATTACCTACCTTATCTCATTTCATTCTCAGGGTAACCCTGGGAAATCAGTTTTTCCCAATTTTACGTATCAGGAAATGAAGTGAGGAAGTTAAGTAGCAGAGCTGCAAACCCAGGCATTCAGCTGTAAAGCGTGGGTCTCTTTGTGCCAATGTGAGAAACCTCAGGAGAACACAGTGGTGGCCTAGGCTCTTATCAGACAGTTAAAGCTCAACGATAAAGTGGCAACAGATTTTTAAATATGACATAAACTACCCTTGCCTTTTATTCAACTTGAAAATATTTAGTAAGGGTCCATTACGTGCCAGGCACTGTACCTGAAAGGTCTAAACAATAGTGATTAAATAACTTGAAATTGGCTGGGCGCGGTGGCTCACCCCTGTAATCCCAGCATGTTGGGAGGCCAAGGAGGGTGGATCACTTGAGGTCAGGAGTTTGAGACTAGCCTGACCAACATGGTGAAACCCTGTCTCACTAAAAATATAAAAAAAATTAGCCAGGAATGGTGGCAGGTGCCTGTGGTCCCAGCTACTCGGGAGGCTGAGGCAGGAGAATCAATTGAACCCGGGAGGCGGACGTTGCCCTGAGCCAAGATCCCACTGCACTCCAGCCTGGGCAACAGAGCAAGACTCTGTCAAAAAACAAACAAACAAACAAACAAAAACAAAAACAAAAAAAAAACAAAAAAAACTCCAGAACACAAAGATGGTCTCGATTAAATTTATTCAAAACATTTCTACTGAATGCCTACTACCTGCAGATACTATGTTAGCTATCTCCCCATTATGTCAGAATTATAATATTGTAGAATTATGGATGTGGAACTAAGAGATCATCCACCCCAACTCCCTCCAGAAGGTCACAAAGGACACAACTATGGGCAAAGGGACTTACCCAGTCACACAGTGAGGTAGTTCAAAGCTAAGCCCAACGGCTCAGTTCACAGGCTAGTACTTGCTCTTTCTACTCTGCCTTTAAAGCACGCAGTAAATAAATGTTTCCTGAATGCTTCTCAAAATCGCACTCAAATGCCACAAGTGCAACTCACCTCCCTTCTAAGATGGGTAAAACATGCGTACACTGGTATCCAGATGAAATGATTAGCCCACTGCACATCGAGTTCTTTGGCTTATTGTGGTAGAAGCTGAAGAGGCTGTCTATTCCATAGGCAACCTTGGGAATCCCGTAGCACTCAAAAAGAAGCTCAGACATCATTTGCCGTGAATACAGTGGGTTGCACACAGCTTCTGTCAAAACTATGGGATGATCAACACAGCCCTACTTTGAAAGAAAAGGGCAAATAAATGAGTGGTAACAGAATACTCTTTTTGAAGCATAAAAGAACCCAAAATCCTTATTGCAGGACTGAATTTGCTTTTGGCTTCTTAATCAAAAACCTGATCAGAGGCGATTATAAAACTCCCATCTCATCTTTACTTGAAAATACGAAAGTAGAGTCAATTTAAGTTATTAAGTCAAGGTCCCATCCAAACTGTCAGCAAATCGTGTTGGCTCTATCTTCAAAGTATTTCCAGAATCCAACTGCTTCTAATGACATTCCCTGCTATCTGCCTCATCTAAGCCACCATCATCCCTTACCTGGGTTATTCCAACAGCCTCCTAACTCGTCCCTGTTTCCACCCTATGATCCAAGACAATTCATTCTCCATACAGCAGTAATAGTGATCCTTTTAAAACACAAGTCAGGTCCTTCTTCAGCTCAACACCCTGCCATGGCTCCCCATTTCACTCAGTAAAAGCCTATAAGGTGTGTGATCTGCCTCTCCACTACCTCTCTGACATCCTCTTTCAGGTACTACTCTCCCCCTCACACAGGCAGCCTTGCAGTTAGGATTAGGGCACACTCCTGCCTCGGGGCCTTTTTACTGGCTGCTCCCTCTGCCTGGACCGTTTTTCCTTCAGATATTCACATGGCTTGCTACCTGAATCACCTCCTTCAAGTCCTTGCTCAAACATCACCTTCACGAGTCCTACCCTGACCATCTTACTGAAAAAATGTAACTCCCTCCTCTCCTATCACGGCGTAGAATCTACTATTTCTATGTTTACTGTCTGCCTTTTCATACTAGAATATCTTTCCATAGTATTAACAGCTCCATAAGCACAGGAAGTTTTGTGTTCACACATGTACTCCAAATGCCTAAAAAGTGCCTGACACAGAGTAAGTGCTCAATACGTATTTGTTAATAAATGGGCTTCTTAACAAACAAGCATATATGCCCAAAGGTATGCTCCAAGATACAAGGAGCAGCATTTTATTCGCTGCTACACCCACAGCGCCTAGCATCTGGTCGACTAAAAGACAATCGGAGCTACTGAAGTGACTGTTACCTCTCCGAGAGCAGAGTGAGCGGAGACGAGACCGCACCCCTCCCCTCAAACCCAGCCCAGCCCAGCCTACTCCGCCCTTCACCTGTGAGGAGACACCCAGGTGCTGGAAGCTGTAGTCCAGCAGCAACTCCTGAAGCTCCAGGTTGACCGGCACGTTGCGGTCGAAGGGCGAGCGCAGCATCCAGCGCAGTGGCTCCAGGCTGCCCAGAGCGTTCCCCACCTGCGGGCCCGACGCGCCCCGTGCCCCGCCACGACCGCGGGCGCACACCGCGCGGAACTGCAGGCGCGGCTCGGGACCTGGGTCCTGCCCGGGACACGCCCAGCCAGCGCGGACTTGGAACGACCCGTTGTCCAGCACCAGCGGTACCGGCAGTGGCCCGTGTGCCACCGGGCCGGCCTCCAGCACTGGGTCCGGTGCGGCACGGGCGTCGCGGAACGGGAACACGTTCGCCGCCATCTTGGAGCGCGCGTCCAGCCCCGCCCCTCGGCGCAGTGTCCGCCCAGACGCCGCGAAACCGCGCCCCCGACGTCACGCCGCGCGATTCAGGCCTTTAAGTACCTCGATGCCCCCTCCCTTCTCGAAGCCCGGCCAGCCTTTCCACTTGACTCGCCTCTGGCTGTCAAGGCTGCTTTCAGGATCGCTGAGACGTACCCATTCTGGCTGCGAAATTCTACGTTTCTTAACCTCTCCCCCAATAGCCTATGAGTGCCCACGCCCCTTCACTCTAGCCGGGACGCCCGGTTTGGAAGCCCCGCCCCAAAGCCTATCGCCGCCAGGCCCCGCCCCTTTCTGGCTGCCAGCTTCAGCGCCGCGCTCGGTGGAGCCCCGCCTCTCTGCCTGGCCACGCCCCATTGCCGGGCGCGCACCGTCGGCCGGGCGCGCACCGTCGGCCGGGCGCGCACCTTCGACCGCCGGCGGCCCCGCCTCCGCGTGGCTGTCTCGCCCTCAGTCTTGCGTCCTGGCTAGAAGGGTCCTTTATCTTTTGACGCTTCCTTTACGTTAAGAAATCTCAAACTCTGCCGACTGTTCAATTTCTTGACTAGGGAGCTGACTACTCAGTTCTGTTCACTTTACTAACTCGCACAGACTGTGTCTTCTCACTAAGACACAGTGTTTTCTCAAACCCTGAGAAAAGACTGCTGATTGTTCCCCAAGCATTCCCTCTCTTTTAGTGGCATCACCTCCCACTCCCACGTGGCCATCCGTCTGGCTGCGATCTAGATGCGCTCATGTGACTAAATTCTGGCCAGGAGCGGGTGGGAGAGGAGGCCATGTGTGTGACCCACTCAGTTTTAGCCCTAAAAGCACTCGTCGCGCTCTATCCTGTCGCATTTCCATCTTTTCACTAGCTAAGGGGGTAAGAATTAGAGCAGTTGTTTTACTACAACCTTTTTTTGTGCAGTGGGGCGATCTCGGCTCACTGCAGCCTCGACTTCCTGGACTCAAGTGATTCTCCCGCCTCAGCCTCCTAAGTAGCTGAGATTACAGGCGTGCACCACCACGCCCAGCTAATTTTTATATTTTTAGTAGAGAAGGGATTTCACTATGTTGCCCATGCTGGCCATAACCATTTTGAAAGAAGAAAAAGAATAGAGCAGCTGCCTTGAATCTACTCTACCAGGTCTATAACACTTCAGTTTGAGAGATAAAATCAAATTAGTTACAAAAGATATTGTAAGCGAGAAATGAAACTCCTAACTTATCTCAAGAACCTCTATTAACAGTGTTTGTTGTTGTTGTTGTTTGTTTTTTTTAAGACGGAGTCTGGCTCTGTCACCCAGGCTGGAGTGCAGTGGTGTGATCTTGGCTCACTGCAACCTCCACATCCCCGGTTCAAGCAATTCACCTGCCTCAGCCTCCCGAGTAGCTGGGATTACAGGCATGCTCCACAACACCCAGCTAATTTTTTTTATTTTTAATACAGACGGGATTTCGCCACGTTGGCCAGGCTGGTCTCGAACTCCTTGGCTCAAGTGATCCGCCTGCCTCGGCCTCCCAAAGTGCTGGGATTACAGGCTTGAGACGACGGGCCCAGCCTGTTAACACACCTAAACCAGATTGGGAGCCAGCCCAGTGGCAAAAATCAGGTTGTGTTGTCTTTCAACACACGTCCATTGTTCAGATATCTGAAGTAACCATCGTTAAGTTAATTAAGAGGGGGACCAGCAGAACACAGAAACCAGTAAATGTAAGTTAGTGAATGTTAATTTAAGAATTGTGTCTATGTATATTAATATGAAAAAGCACTGGCTGGGCGCAGTGGCTCACACCTGTAATCCCAGCACTTTGGGAGGCCGAGGCTGGTGGATCGCCTGAGGTCGGGAGTTCGAGACCAGCCTGGCCAACATGGTGAAACCCCGTCTCTAGTAAAAATACAAAAATTAGCTGGGCATGGTGGCAGGTGTCTGTAATCCCAGCTACTTGGGAGGCTGAGGCAAGAGAATCGCTTGAACCCTGGAGGCGGAGGTTGCAGTGAGCCGAGATCACGCCAGTGCACTCCAGCCTGAGCAACAAGAGTGAAACTTTGTCTCACAAAAAAGAAAAAAAGAAAAGCACCAAGGTAAATATATATATTATATATATTATTATTTTATATATATATGAGAGGCAACTCCAACGGGGATGGCCAGTGTGGTGGCTCATGCCTGTAATCCCAGCACTTTGGGAGGCTGAGGTGGGAGGACTGCTTTAGCCCAGAAGTTCAAGACCAGCCTCAACCTCACTAGTAGTTGGGACTACAAGTGCACACCACCACATAGAGACAGAGTTTTGCCATGTTGCCCAGGCTGGTCTTTATAAGCGTTTGGCACATGAGGTAGATTGGATTATTATTCCCAGTTCTTCATTCCTTTACTTTTTTTTTCTTCACTCCTTTATAGTAGGATGATACATCCATACCATTTGCCTTGTAACTTTGTAGAGCCTCTCCTTGAGGACACTGATATTAGGCTTGGTCATGTGACTTGCTTTAGCCAATGGACTGTTAACTGAATATGATTGGTTTAGATTGCCTTCTTGCACTCCTGCTTTTAGTCATGAGAGGAACATACCTGAGTCCAAAGAGGATAAGAGATACATGGAGCAGATCTGAACCTAAACTGCAGTCCGAAGCCAAGTCCAGCCAACCTGCAACCTAAAGTTGAGCTGCCCCATGGACCTCTGAACAAGAAAAATGTTTATTCTTATAAACCACTGAAATTCTGGAGTTGCTATGCAGTATTATTGCAGGAGAAAACCGACTAATACACTAGACCAATGCTGTCCAACAGAACTTTGTACATTGGAAATGTGCAAATTGATGGAGATGATCTAGTATCTGTTGTGTCTAACACAGTGGCCAGTAACCACATGTGGCCGCAGAGCACTTGAAATGTGAATAGTGTAACTGAAGAACTGAATTTTTAAAATGTTCTTAATTTTAATTTTTCTTTCTTTCTTTCTTTTTTTTTTTTTTTTGATGGAGTTTCGCTCTTGTCACCCAGGCTGGAGTGAAGTGGCACAATCTCGGCTCACTGTAACCTCTGCCTCCCAGGTTCAAGCGATTCTCCTGCCTCAGCCTCCCGAGTAGCTGGGATTACAGGCATGCACCACCACACCCCGGTAATTTTTGTATTTTCATTAGAGACAGGGTTGCACCATGTTGGCCAGGCTGGTTGTGAATTCCTCACCTCAAGTGATCTGCCCACCTCGGCCTCCTAAAATGCTGGGATTACAGGTGTGAGCCATTGCACCCAGCCTTAATTTTAGTTTAAATTTAAATAGTCATGTAGCTAGTGGCTACTCTATTGCACACTGTAGCACTAGACAAAATCTAGGGCTGTAAAGATTTACCCATGGAAATGACTAGAAAAAAATACATTAGGCTGGGTGCAGCGGTTCACGCCTGTAATCCCAGCACTTTAGGAGGCCGTGGGGCAGATCACTTGAGGTCAGGAGTTCGAGACCAGCCTGGCCAACATGGAGAAAGCCTGTCTTTACTAAAAATACAAAAAATTAGCTGGGCATGGTGGTGCACACCTTTAGTCGCAGCTACTCAGGAGGCTGAGGCACAAGAATCACTTGAACCTGGAAGGTGGAGGTTGCAGTGAGCTGAGATTGTGCCACTGCACTCCAGCCTGGGCAACAGAGCAAGACTCTGTCTCAAAAAAAATGCTTTAGAAGCCTACTGTATTATTTTCCTAGCTGCTGTAACATAGTACCACAAAGTAGGATGACTTGAAACAAGAGAAATTTATTTTCTTACACTTCTGGAGGCAGAAGGCTAAAATTAAGGTGTCGGCATGGCCATGCTCTTCTTGAAGGCTCCAGGGTAGTATTTGTTCCACAGCTTTCTCTTAGCTTCCTGGTGCTGTCAGCTATGATGGTTGGTTTTATGTCAGCCTTTCTGGCTGCCCAGATATTTGGTCAAACATTTTTCTGGGTGTTTTCTATGGAGTGCTTTAGGATGAGATGAACATTTCAATCAGTAGACTGAGTAAAGCAGATTTCCCTTCCTAATGTGAGTGGGCCTCATCCAATCAGTTCAATAGAACAAAGAGGCTGACTCTCCCTGCCTGAATGGCTTTGGACTGGGACATCAGCTTTTTTCCTTTTTTTTTTTTTTTTTTTTTTTGAGACAGAGCTTCACTCTTGTTGCCCAGGCTGAAGTGCAATGACACGATCTCGGCTCACCGAAACCTCTACCTCCCAGGTTCAAGCAATTCTCCTGCCTCACCCTCCTGAGTAGCTGGGATTACAGGCATGTGCCACCATGCCCTGCTAATTTTGCATTTTTAGTAGAGACAGGGTTTCTCCATGTTGGTCAGACTAGTCTTGAACTCCCGACCTCAGGTGATCCACCCGCCTTGGCCTCCCAAAGTGCTGGAATTACAGGCATGAGCCGCCGCCCAGCCTTTCCTGCCTTTAGACTTGAACTGAAACATAGACTCTTCCTTGGTCTCAAGACTGCTGACCTTCAGACTGGAACTACACTACTAAGGCCAGTTCTCAGGCCTTCGGACTTGGACTCTGATATGGTTTGGCTCTGTGTCACCACGGAGATCTCGTGTTGAATTATAATTCCCAGCGTTGGAGGTGGGGCCTGCTGGGAGGTGATTGGATCATAGGGTGGTTCTAATGGTTTAGCACCATGGACCTGGCTGGTCTTGTGGTAGAGTTCTCACAAGATCTGGTTGTTTCTCCCTTCGCTTGCTCTCTCCTGCTCCACCATGTGAAGATAGTACTTGCTTCCCCTTTGCCTTCCACCATGATTGTTAAGTTTCCTGAGGCCTCCCCAGAAGTGAAGCTTGTATAACCCGCAGAACCATGAGCCAATTAAATCTCTTTTCTTTGGAAGTTACACAGTCTCAGGAACTTCTTTATAGCAGGGCGAGAACGGACTAATACAGACTCAGACTAGAACTAAACCATTGGCTCTCCTGGGCCTCCAGCTTTCCAACTCACCCTGAAGATCTTAGAACTTGCTTACCTCTGTAACTGAGTAACCCAATTCCATGTAGTGTGTGTAAGTATGTATACATATATAATATTAGTTCTCTTTCTCTGGGGAATCCTGACGAACACACCTGCAATCCTCAGTGACGAACACACCTGCAATCCTCAGCATTGCTTGGCCTCTCCAGTCTCTGCTGCCGTCATCATGTGGTGCTCCCCTTGAGTGTATCTGTCTCTTTTCCTCTTCTTTTTATTTTTTAATTTTTTTTTTTTTTTGAGATAGAGTCTCGCTCTGTTGCCCAGGCTGGAGTGCAGTGGTGCCATCTTGGCTCACTGCAACCTCTGCCTCCCAAGTAGCTGGGATTACAATCATGCGCCACCACGCCCAGCTAATTTTTTGCATTTTTAGTAGAGACAGGGTTTCACCATATTGGCCAGGCGGGTCTCGAACTCCTGACCTTGTGATCCACCTGCCTCGACCTCCTACAGTTTTGGGATTACAGGTGTGAGCCACCACGCCCAGCCCACTTTTCCTCTTCTTCTAAGAGCACCAGTCTTATTGGATTAGGGCCCCACCCTACTTCAGTATGAGCTTCACTGATTATATCTGTACTATGTACCTGCAACAACTATATTTCTAAATGAGGGCACATTCACGGATGTAGTGAATCAGAACCCACATTAAATACACCTTCTATTTGGTTTAAGTTATGGCCATGTTGGCTCCTGTCCTAAGTAACACACACACACACACAGGTGATCATATGATGTATCTAGTCTTGTTCCTTAGAGAGCCTTCATGACAGGACTCAGACGGTAGAACTATCAGAAAACTGTTCCAAGGAAACCATGTGCCATGCATTCTGCCTGCAGCTTGGTGGGGAGGATGTGATGAGAACAGGTATCAAATTAGGCTGTTGAACCTTAATTCATCATGGCTGACCAAGGCCTTGTGCTGGACTTGGTTCAGGGCTCGTTGGGCCAACTGCCTGGGAAACAGAAAGGATATCCACGTAACTGAGGAGACAGGTGGCAGACTAGGACTGGGGGCAGGTGATTTAGCACAGGGTCTCCAACTTCATCCCAGATCCTGCTAACCCACTGGTTGGAATAATCAGATATAGGGCATGCTGTGGCCTTTTAGTAGCCTGTACCTTTGCACATATGTATTGTTGATGCAGACCGAGATGCTCTGCCCTACATCGTTTGCCTCTAGAATCCTCATTAAGGGCCAGCTCAGATGTCACTTTGGTCTTCCTTCCCTGGGGAATAGAGCAGAGTGTCCCATAAGGTGCTTACTATGGGGCAGGTTCCCTTGATCACAGGTGACGAGAGCCTTGGTTGGTGAGAATGTGTTAGGTAAGTTAGTGCTATGTCCTCCTCTAAGCCCTCAGGTTAAGTAGATGGAGCAGGGGGCAGGGGACTGACAGTTCACACCTCAATAAGGGGATTTTTTTAAAAGGAAAACCCTACAAGAATAGGAGAATGGGAGAGAGAGATTTCAAGAACTGGAAAGTATACATGCAAGTGGTATCTAGTTTAGAAAACCTGATTCCCCAGCTGCTCTGGGAAAAGCTGAACACTAATCTGTTTCACACTGTACAATGCTGAAAAGTCTCAGGAATTAGTGGCACAAGGTTCTTCTAGAAAAGAGAGTAAAAGTGGAACGGCCAAAATAAGGAGAACTTGTTAAAACTATTTTATGAAGAAGCCTGCCGAAGTCTATAGGTGCTCTTCTTTCTAACTGCCTCCAGAATTCCCCAAAAAGACTGGAGGTTTGACTCTTTGCAAAGAGTAAAACAAATAGTCTCTAAACAAGGATATCAACTGAGAACAAAATGATTAAGTCAATATACATAATGAATGCTAAGATCCCAGTCTCTTCCCCTACTTTGTTCCTGATACTCTATAGGTTCCCAAGTTTTTACCCTTCAGCGAAAGAATGGAAGAATCTTCCCTGAGATTCTTATCCAACCTGAGAGGAAAACTCTAAGTGAATTGGTCTTGGATGTTCTCCCTCAAACAGCCCATTGAGATCATTTTACGATGAAACTCACAGTCAGTAGGACTCTTCCATGGACTCTGCACCTCCAATCAGCCTCTACTAGCCCAATCAGCCTGTACTACCCCAGTCTTTAAAATGAGGTACGCTTCTAACATGAAAGCCAGAGGTTAAAGCATACAAAGAGGGAAGAAAATCAACCAGGAGGCAATAGAGACTACGTGAAAAAGAGAAACCTTAAAATACTCATTATTACTACAATATCTTCAAAGAGATAGAAGAAGATATTGTATCCATGAAACAAGAAAAGTTTGCTATAGAACAGGGAGGTTAAGAGAACCAAAAGAAGGTTTCGGGGGCTTGGGGTGAGGGACAAGATAGCAGAAATGAAAAACTTCGTAGATGGAAGATAAAGTTGAGAAAATCTCCAATAAAGTATGTGTGTGTAGAGAAAGAGGGAAAGAGGAAAGAAAAATAAGAAATTTAGAGGAGCAGTTCTAATCTACAAATAATAGAAGTTCCAAAAGACAGAACAGAAAACATACAGAGGGCCATCCCAATTCAAGGCAACTTCCTAGAATTGAAGCACTTGAGTTGCTGTGTTGGGAAGAAGCCACAATGAAAGGAAACAGATCTACATGAACACACATCATGAAATTTCAGTTCCCTGGAAACAATGAGAACATCCAGTCGTTTCCAAAGAGAAAGAAAATGTTTGCATACAAAAGAACAAAGATCAATTTCAAACTTCTCCTTGGCAACATCGAAAACTAGAAAACAAATGGAAAGTGCTTTCAAGTCTAAAGAAAAATGGTTTCCAAACTAGAATTCAGCCAAACCCTCAATCAAGAACTGGGGTAGAATATAGACATTTAAAGTTATTCAAGGCCTCAAAAATGTACCTTCCATAACCTCCCTTATATTCCAGAAGCTATTGTGGAATCTGCTTCAAAACAAGGGAGTAAACCAAGAAAGAGAAATCACGTGAGACAGGAGACAGGAGCTGCAACATACAAGTGAAGTAAGAGAACCCTGAGGTGATTGAAAAGCCGGATCCCAAGAGGACAGCTGTGCTACAGGCATATGGGGTGCTGGCCAGGTTGGAGTGGGTCTGCTTTGGGAGAGACTTCTTCAGGAAAGGGAAACTGATACCATATTTTGTGTGAATGAAACAATTGAGGGGTGTTTAGACAATTGGAGGAGAGTTTGGGGTTCAGTTATTAAAAAGTATTTGAGGCTGGGAGCAGTGGCTCACACCTGGAGGCCAAGGATCACTTGAGCCCAGGAGTTTGACGCCAGCCAGGGCAACATGGCAAGACCCTGTCTCTACAAGAAATCAAAACAGTTGGCCAGGTGCAGTGGTTCACGCCTGTAATCCCAGCACTTTGGGAGGCCAAGGCAGGAGGATTGCTTGAGCCCAGGAGCTTGAGACTAGGCTGGGCAACATAGCAAGACCTCATCTATGGAAAAAAAAATCATCTAA
Organism: Homo sapiens; assembly: GCF_000001405.40. Lineage (NCBI taxonomy): Eukaryota > Metazoa > Chordata > Mammalia > Primates > Hominidae > Homo > Homo sapiens. The sequence goes on along the minus strand of NC_000020.11, from coordinate 38,740,016 downwards.
GCATGGTGGTGTGTGCCTGTGGTCCCACCTACTCAAGAGGCTGAGCTGGGAGGGTCACTTGAGCCTGGGACGTCAAGACTGTAGTGAGCTGTGATCTCACCACTGCACTCCAGCCTGGGCAACAGCTTGTCTCAAAAAAAAAAAAAAAAAAAATCAAAAAATTAGCTGGGCATGGTGGTGCATGCATGCCTATGGTCCCAGCTACACAGGAAGCTGGGGTGGGAGGATCGCTTGAGCCCAGGAGGTTGAGGCTATAGTGAGCTATGATCACACCACACCACTCCAACCCTGGGAGACAAAGTGAGATTCTGTCTCCAAAAAAAAAAAAAAAAGGAATTTGAAACAAACAAAAAGGCAACTTCTTATACAATAAAAAGTTGTACAGGAAAGGAATTGTAATCATAGTTTATCACATGCCCCAGCTCTAATTAGTACACATATCATACAATGTAAATCTTGAGTACTAAGCTAACTAAAATGATCATGTAACTATACTGGGAAACTGAAGGGGCGGGGATGTAGACTGGAGAAGAATTAGGAAATGGACTAAAACCTCACCTTCCTGAGTGGGAGTCAATAATTAAGGTCCAAAATGAAAAATAAAGAAATTGCAATAAAAGCATTTTTTGTGGGGGCAGGGGGTGGGGGAGGACAGAGTCTTGTTCTGTCGCCAAGGTTGGAGTACAGTGGTGAGATCTCAGCTCACGGCAACCTCCACCTCCCAGGTTGAAGCAATTCTTATGCTTCAGCCTCTTGAGTAGCTGGGACTACAGGTGCCTGTCGCCATGCCAAGCTAATTTTTTGTACTGTTAGTAGAAACAGGGTTTCGCCATGTTGGCCAGGCTGGTCCTGAACTCCTGACCTCAAGTGATCTGCTTGCCTTGGCCTCCCAAAGTGCTGAGATCACAGGTGTGAGCCACCACACCTGGCCCAATATAAGCATGTTATTTGGAGATGTGGAGATAAATATTAAAAGGATCAAGTGCCAGGTGCGGTGGCTCACATCTGTAATCCCAGCGCTTTGGGAGGCCAAGGCGGGTGGATCACCTGAGGCC